>NC_000011.10:117475454-117778485 GCF_000001405.40 Homo sapiens | reverse complement strand
CCAACCCTTGTCCAGGATCACACAGTGGGCCAGTGGAGGAGGCAGGGCCCGCTTGTTAGATGCCGTTAGCCATTAACCTCTGCTGACTCCCTGGGACATCACAGGTGGCGTGCACCCCAGCCCGCTCTTTCCACTCCACCACCTTGCCTCCCTCCAGGGTCCATTCCCCTTGTTCTCCTCTGTGCTCTCCCATATCTGGAGGCAGGGCTCTGCCCAAACCTTTGGAAGGGCTGGACCACAGATCCACAGAGCCACCAGTGCCTCTCCTCTCTTCTCTTTCTTCCACCTCAACCACATCTTCTCCTCATCACAGCCACAGCTTGGAGAAGGGGAAAGAATAAAGGCCGAGGGAGGGCCGGGAAGAGCCAGGCTGACTGGAAACACAGTCAATTAAGAGACTCTTGATGATGCCAGAGGGGCTGCAGGTGCACAGTCAGGGGGTGGGGATGGGCTGCCAGGGCCCTAAGTGTCACCCTGGCAACCATGGCAGGGAGAGGAGGAGGGCACGCTGCCCAGGTGCCTGCTGAGGGACAAGGTCGGGAGGCAGCAGGGCTCTGGATGTTCCAGCTTTGCTTGGCAGATAAGGGGGTGGAAGGATCAAGCGAGGCCTGGGAGAGGCCAAACAGAGGAGGACAAGGCAGAGGCAGAAGCCTTGGTCCCATTCCTAGGGCTGGGTCTGCCTGCCTGTAGGGCCAGACACATACAGCGGCTGCAGTTGGCAATGCCCTAGAAGCCAGCTGAGGCAGGAGGTGGGCACGGTGGGGGAAGGGATGGTTCTGAAAGCAGGGGCAAGTCTGGGGGTCAGGGAGGGGTGCTGTAGAGGCTGCAGCCAGGGTCAGAAGCAGGAAGAAAGCAGCAAGAATGCTCTGTTTTGGAGAATCTTGGAGACTGTGTCCATGTCTCTAGGATTCTGTGTGCTCAGAGACAATCGTAGTCCCAAACATTCTCTCCCTTTGTCCTTGTAAGCTCAGGATCTGAACTACATTTCCCAGGCTGCCTTTCATGTTGAAGGAGCCCAAAACTCAATTGTTAGAGCATGTGTCACAGGTTTTGTTTGGGTGCATTATGGTCACTGTGTCCAAAATAATTGCCACCCTGGGTCCAGCAATAATGCAGGAAATCCGGTTTGGTTTTCTTAGGGGAATTCTAGCATATTTCCTTATTACCTGCACATCCCCTTGGTGAATATAACATTGCAGGGCTTAGTGCTGCCCTCAAGGCTTTTACAATCTAATATGACTTGCTAATACCGAAATGGGAAAGGTAGGAATTTGGATGGATGGTCTTGCAGAGGGAGGCCAGATATTTTTGAGGGAGAAAAGGCTGCCCAGTAGGATGGGGAGGAGGTTGATGGAGAAGGAGTTGCCCAGACAAGAACAAGATCATGGCAGGGGCTTCTAGGCTGGCTAAGCAGGATGGGGGAAGGAAGAAGTGGGAAGGTGAGGCTGAAGGAGCAGAGGGAGTTGAGCTGACTCCCTGTTCCTTTCTGGGGACCCTCACCACATCCTTGTGACACTCTTCTCTTCCCCACTGCCAATCTCTCTGCAGTTTTCAGGGAACCCTACACCGTCCGGGTGGAGGATCAAAGGTCAATGCGTGGCAACGTGGCCGTCTTCAAGTGCCTCATCCCCTCTTCAGTGCAGGAATATGTTAGCGTTGTATCTTGGGAGAAAGACACAGTCTCCATCATCCCAGGTAAGAAGCGTCCCGGGGCTGCGGCAGACAGAGGTGCTCCCTCTGTGGGGACTGGATAAAGTAGAGATGCCTGAGCTGGTTGTTGAGCTCAATAAGATCTTGAGGTTGGCTCTGGGGAGTGACTTGTTATTGTTCTGGTGAAGCTTTGGCCAAAAAAAAAAAGTCTTTGGTCTTGGTCTGGCACGTCTCTCTGTGGGGTGTTGAAGACTCACACACTGGTGGTCTTGACTGGGTCTGTGAGGGTCCCATCAGACACCAAGTGCAGTGGAAGCCCCATCCTTTCTGACTGCTGGGGCTTTGCTTGACCCAGCCCTGAGGGACGGGAGGCAAGGCTGGAAGCACCTTACCTGCGAAAGGTGGCAAGGGGAGGAGGAATGAGAGGCGGGTTTGTGGTCTGTGTTCCTGCGTCGTGTGACTAAAACAGTGAGCACTGCCTCCTTGGAGGACCTGACTTCAGGAAGCATGTGTATGGGGACTTTCCTTCTTCCCTTCTTGAATGAGTTGGCTAAAGACTCCATTGGAATTCTAGCTGGCCTCGCATTGAGGCTGATGTTGGGAAATTGGGTTCATACCATGTTGTGGGTTCATCTCATCACAGCTGCCGTGATTGTGAGTCCCTCATTATTGGCTCCTTTTACCTCTCTGGGGTTGTGTCAGCCACAGGAAAACAGGTATAGAAGCCCCAAGAGAGGACCTTGGGTCTTTAAAATACCTCTAGGCCTCCATTTACAAAACTGCGGGATTTTTCCACCACCCATTTCTTCATCTCCGCACATTGCAGGGGTTCTGCTGCGTTTTCTTCCTTTCTCTACCCAGGACCTTTGTTTCCCATGCTGTAAATTGGAGCAGCTTGACCAGGTGATCTCTGAGTGCCCTTTCAGCATTAAGGTCTCATAACTGATTGTTTGAAATGATTCTTGTTCCTCAAGGTTGATGATTTAGTTGGGGAAGATAAGACTTCTATTCATGGAACCTGTAAAGCAGGGGTTCTTAAGCCTGCTACCCATTTAAATCCCCGAGGAGCTCCTTTAGAAACACCAATGCTTAGCCCCAAATCAACTGAATTAGACTCTCCCAGGAGTAGAGCCTGGGCATCAGCCTTTTCAATGCTCGCTAGGTGGTTCTGATGTGTACCTAGGACAAGAACCATGCTCTGGCGTGTTGACAGCTAATGCAGCAGGAGACTTTCTTTGAGACATTAATTTGCCTTTTACACTCAGTACTTTTTCCTTCTCTCAGTTCCAAGCAGATGGCCAGGCCATTATATCTCCTGACTTCAGAGCTTGTAGCAGGATGGGAATTCGAAGCTCCTGGAAGACAGCTGCTCCTCCTGTCTTTTGTAAAACCATAGGCTAATAGCAAAGGTTAGGAAGGGTGTTTTGTCTGGGGAGGAGAGCCTCTGAGGGCAAGGAACAAAGAGGAGATGAAAGGATGCCAGGGATGAGGATGGTGCTGAAGGCTGCTCCATGGACGCAGCCAGAAGAAGCGGTTGGACCCCGCAGGGGTGGCTGTGTGGGGTCCTGCAGGGTCTGAGGCTGAGTCCAGGGTTCTTGGGTTCAAATGAGTCATGAGGTGCACAGCCCAAGAGCCAAAGCAATCATTCAGGCAGGGACCATGGGCTGGTGAGGAGCAGAGGTACCTCGGACCTTGGCATACCCTGGGAGAAGCCCCAATAATGTTGGGGACAATCTCCTGCCTATCTAGCAGAGTCAGATTTAAGGTGATTTAAAGAACATAAAGAAATGTGGTATTTCTTATATACTTAAGTTTATAGACTAAGCATTACATCCATTAAATAATGATAATTATTGCATTAAAATTTGGGGGGTGCTTACTATATCCCAGGTACAGGGCTCAGAAACTTCCATACAGGATCTCTTTGTATCATCACAAAAAGTCCGTAAATGTGTTTTCCCCTCTCCACTTTACAGAAGAGGAAACTGAGGCTCAAAGAAGTAAAGTACCTTCTGAATCACACTGAGCAGAGGGTGGGGCTGGAACCAGAGTCTGTTTTTTCAACCTGTGTGCTTAACCCCACACAGACGTGCCTCACCCACCGTATAAATGTATCCAATAAAGTGTTACTCTGGCTACAGTGGAGGCTTTAAATGTGTACTGTAGGCAGTGAGGCCTTTGGCTTTAGGAAGGGGAACAAATTGATGTGGGGATGGCTTCATGGAACCAAGTGCAGTGTGGTGATTAAGAGCCTAGAATCTAGGACCAGACTACCTGCATTTAAGACTCACTCCATTGCTTACTAGCTGGGTGAGTCATTTACCCCCTCCATTTCCCCACCTGTAAAATGGACTCATAGGGTTCGAGTAAGAATGAAATGAATCAATATATGAACAATGTCTAGAACACTGCCCGACAGTTGCTGAGCACAGGTTATTGCGATTATTAGGTGGAAGAGAGCATTTGCGCTTGCGGTTTGCTGCAGTGGTGTGTGTTTCTGGTATGGAATGGTGTCTGTGTTCCCCACACGACTGCAGTTCCCACGGGCCGGAACTGGATTGTTCTCATCCACACATCTCCACTTTCTGCACTCAGGGTAAATAAAAGCTCACTAAATGATCAGTGAGTATATGAATGGATGGCTGGAAGAATTCCAGAGGAATCTGGGGAATGGCATGGACAGAGACATGGAATAAGACAGCAGGCTGGGCATGGGATGGGGAGAAGACCAGATCAGATAGGAGAGAAGGAAGGTTAACTGGTTCCTGTGCTTAGGAGCTGGAGGCAGGGAGCTTCCCCCAGGCGGCCCCTGTAGTTGGTGCTTCAGGGCTGTCTTTGATGTCAAGACTGGGCTGGTGGCCCCATAGGGCATAATTATCAGGAAAGTGGCCTCGATGCTAATCTGCAGGGCTGTGTTAAACTTCGGTTTTGCAGAACCCCTTTCTTTAGTTTGGCATTGGAGAATTTTCCTCTCCTGGCCCAGCCCTCCAGCCCCATCTATAATCATTCTAGATCATTCTACAGCTACATGTTAGATCCGGGGCCAGTCTTCTCCAAGTGCAGAAATCCAACTAGCATGATCATGGAGGACTCCATGAGAGCCAGAGAGAGTGGAGTTTTGTCTTGTCCAGGCTCTGTAGGTGCAGGACCAGAACTTGGGCCCACATGCCACATGCTTTAATTTTGGCAAATGAAAGTAGTTCGATTTTTTATAAAAATAGGATTTTTTTCCACTAACCATATTCACACTATGCCCAGTGTGTGTGCTGTGCTGTGTGTGTGTGTGTGTGTGTGTGTGTGTGTGTGCATTTTGAGGTGAGGAGGCTGGATGGCACTTCTCATGGTAGGGGAAGATTACATGGCAAGTTGCCCTGAAGGTTAATGGAGGATGGAAGAGCCAGGGATACTTCCCTCTGACACTTCAGGATCAGCTTCCGGAGCCAGAGGAACTGTGTTGACTTTGATTTCTGGATCTGCAGGGCTGGGCTCAGCTTCACAAACCACAAGTCCAGCAGGAGCTGGAACACAGAAGGAGCAGGGAGACTGGTGTGGGCCCATCAGAGCCCCAGGAGGCATCCCCTTGGGGATGCAGGTGCCCTGGGAGGAGGGGGCCCTCATGTGGGTGCAGCCCCTGTGGATGGGAGCTGGCTCTCCCACGCCTCTTTCTGAAGGAGTCTGGGAAGAATTGAAGGCTTGGGACCAAAAACAATCTCCATGAATTGGGTGCTTACTCACAGGTTAGCCTTCCCGGCTATCCCTGGCTATCCTGAAGCTGGCCAAGGAAACTCTCACCAGCTTTTTGGCTGTGCTTTGCCCAGGGCAGGGAGAGTCTGGAGAAACAGCCCAAAGTGCTACCCTTTAGCCACCTACTATACCCGCCTCCACTCCCTCAAGTGGGTCATCTTTCCATCCGCTGTTTAAAGATGTGTGTAAAGCATAGAGCCTCTCACTTTGTATCTGGCAGACTCCCACCCTTGCTTCTCTCTCCAGGGAACTGATCCTGGTGTGAACTGGCTCTCCAAGGCTGGCAGGGTTGGGGTAAGAGGGCCAAAGGCTGTGCACAAACATAAATTAAAATTAACGCCTCCAGTGAAGCTGAGATGTGGTTTAATTTCCCATCTGCATGATCACCATTACAATACATGTTATTGGATATAAAGATAAATCTGGCCCTGTTCCTAATAGCTTTTAATTTCCACCAGACCTGATTATATCAATGTGGGCCCCTTGTGGGAGTCTCCCAGCATGCTCTTCCCCAGCATCCTGACTGGCTATCTTGGCCCCAGCGGGGAGTTTGGGACACTGCTCAGATGTGGGCCAGATGTGTCTGCTGCTGCTCAGGAAGACAAGCCTGCATCAGCTCCTTTGTCCATGCAAATGGGGATACTGAGTTGTCACCGTGCCTTGCCAGGCTGAAAGTGCGCTGAGGACACTGTTTATTGTGGGTAGGGAGACACGGGCAAGGACGCCTCTGGCCAGAGGGGTCCTGTGACATGAGAAAATGTCTCTTAGTGTCATATAAGGATTCCTATCAGGCAGTGCTTCCTCCCTGCAGCCCACCTTTGGCCAAGAGAGCAAAGTAAACTACCAGCCTCCCTAGAATAATGAACTCCAGAGTTCCAGGGTGCCAAATGGGTTTTCATAGCTCTCATTCAATTCAGCGATCTCTTCTGCCTGGGGTACAGTGGCCCCCTCCTCTCTCTGTTGACACCCTGCCCCTCTTTTGTCCCTTACACTTCGTCCACATGCCCTCTTCCACGAGGCCAGACATAGGCCTGCCGGGCAGACAGTACTACCCTGGTTTCATTCCTGGAGCCCTGCCTTCATTCTGTCTTGCGTCCTAGTCCGTTATTTCTATCTGTCTGCCGCAGGAGGGTGTACAACTGTATCTTTCATCTTTTTATCCCCAGAACCAGCATAGGACTGTCACAGAGGAATAATAATAATAATAACAAGATTAATGATAATACCTATGCTGTATGGAGACCTCTTTTGGGTTAGGCATTTTATATATATTATCTCTAATCCTCACAATAACACTTTAAGAGAGATAATGTTTTTATGTTCTGTTTTTGTTTTTATTTTCTCATTTTATAAATGAGGATGTTGAGGCCCAGAGCAGTTAAGCACGTTACCCAAGGCCACACAGCTAATAAGAGATGTGGCCCGGATGTGAGCCGGTCTTCCGGTTCCTCTACTTCCCGCCGCCTCTCTGGAGCAGACTGGGAATCATTAGGAATCGGGTGTCCTTAGGTTTCCACATAGGAGGAGGGCCCATCTCTGTCTCCTGCACTTGCCTGGGAACAGAAATCTGCCACCAACCCTTGTGCTGACCTCTGGCTGTGTGTGCAGTGACCAGAGGCTTGGGCTCCTCTGAAGGGCAACAGATCTCCAGCTTAAAGACCAGTGAACGAAACAGCCATCCTAACAAGAAGGCTTTGTTGGGCGCTGGCTCTGTTTTTGGCCCCATGGGAGACACAAAGACTGTCCTAAACTGGGAATTTAGGATTCAGCTCATGTTGTCGGCTCTGATGGACGGGGATGGATAATCTCAATACAACAAACAAATGTGATCTTGGTTTGGCTTTGGAATGCAAATTCAATTTATTAATTACATTTCGTTCAGGCTGACATGAAGGTCACTTCTTTGGCTCCCACGAATCTACACCAACTCGAATGGGAGATGGGCACAGAGAGGGGAGGTGGTGCCGGTGCTGGAAACCAGTTTGGGCCACATGTAGGCTATGAACATGTGGAATCACAGACTGAGAGCTGGAGAGTGCCCTGGAGACTGTGTCATTCAGCCTCTGCATTTATGGATAAAGAAACTGAGGCCTAGACCAATGCTGTCTCCTGCCATCTTCTCTCCTCTCCTGCTCACTCTCAGGGCACATGATTTTAACTACTCATGGGGCACCTTTGTATTTCACTACAGATACCAGTTATTTTTCCTCCTTTGTCTGTCTGAAGCCTATGCATCTTTCAAAGTCTGGTTCAAATACTACTTTTTCCATGATGTCTTTCCTCGATTTCTGCTAAGAATGGATTTAAAAGTCACCCAGATTAACCCACTCCAAGGGGCTCCTTTTCTGAACTCCCTCCAAACTTTATCGGTTCCTTGCTCAAGACGCTAATCGTACTTTGTCCTGTATTTTTTTTTTTTTAGGTCTGTGTTATCCCCATTACAGGAATGTATAATCATCAGGGGCAGGATTCATATTTTATTCAGACCTCTCTTCTCTCCAGTGATTAATGGTGATGACAAAATGACAGTCTCTCCCCTACTGAACCGTCCTGTGGAATGGAGGACACTGGGAGACCTGCCTAATGTCCCGTGGCAAATCGGTGGCATTACCAGTGTCTAATCTTGGTGGTCCTTCACCTCCATAATGCCGAGTTGCTTCTGTGTGTTCCTCTTGTGATTCTCTGCTGTTCAGATGTAGAACTGGGGACCTAAGCTCTTAACTACTTATGAGTCTGGAGAAAAGTGGCTGGGATTGTCACCCTGCACTAGTGGGAAATAGATGATAGATCCGAGGCAATTCAACAAAAGGAGCTTGGACCCCTGCTGGGTGCCAGGCACAGTGCCAGGCCTTGCAGAGGAGTCCAGGTTGGCCATGATCTGTTCCTTTCCTGGCTTCTGTCTTGGGACTATAGTGTCTTCCCACAAAGAGGAGGATACCGCAGGACCACTCTTTCTGCTGATGGCCACACAGTAAGGCATGCTGAAGGAGACGGGCCCTCAAGTCAGGCCCTGGAGTCTGTGACCAGGTCAGAAGGGCAGAGAGAGCACTTTAGGTGGAGGTGACAGTGCAGGCACAGGCAAATGGGCAATGAAAGGCTGGGGTGATCTGGGAACATGGCTGGAGGGTTAAGAAGAAGTGGTGAGAGACCTGAGAGGTCACTGGGCCATTTAACTCATGAAGGTACTGCCTAGATCTAGGGAAAAAGAATAAGGGACAACATGATAATAATGACTAATATTTATTGAGCACTTACTAAGTTGCCAGGCTCTGTTCTAAGCGTTTGACATATTTAGCTTGTTTCACCTTCTCAGCAATCTGAAGACAAGGGGACTTTTATTCCCCCATTTTACAGATGGGCAAGCTGAGGCACAAAGACGCTAAGTAAATTGCTTAAAGTTAGTAGGTGGTGGAGCCACAACTTAAACTTATGCATTCAGACTCCATCATCTGTGCTCCTAAGTGCTGGACTATATTATCTCCCAAAGAATTAACATACTATATATATATAAAAAATATATAATATATATAAAATATATATATAAAATATATAATATATATAAAATATATATAATATATATAAAATATATATTATATATATAAAATATATATTATATATATAAAATATATATTATATATATAAAATATATATTATATAAAAATATATATAATATATATAAAATATATATTATATAAAAATATATATAATATATAAAATATATATTATATAAAATATATAATATATATAAAATATATATTATATATATAAAATATATATTATATAAAAATATATATAAATATATAAAATATATAATATATAAATATATAAAATATATAATATATACATATATAAAATATATAATATATACAATATATATAAAATATATAATATATATAAAATATATATGTATAATATATATAAAATATATAATATATATAAAATATATATAATATATAATATACATAATATATATAAAATATCTATTATATATATAAAATATATATTATATATAGATTATATATATATTTTTTTGAGATGGAATCTTGCTCTGTCACCCAGGTGATCTTGGTTCACTGCAACCTCCACCCCCCAGGTTCAAGTGATTCTCTTGTCTCAGCCTCCTGACTATCTGGGATTACAGGCACACACCACCACGCCTGGCTAATTTTTGTATTTTTAGTAGAGACGGGGTTTCACCATATTTTAAAACTCCTGCAAATCAACAAGAAAAAGACAATCCACAGAAAGTTGGGTAACAGTTATGAGCAAACAATTCACAGGAGATATAGTGGGATGTGTTGGAAAGAAGACAGGCTGTGGAGTCTGCTAGTCTTAATTGGTGACCTTGAGCAAGTTACTTCCAAAGCCTCAGTTTAATCATCTATAAAATGGGAATGATAAAACCTATTGCACATAGAATCCTTGAAATAAAAATTGGGCCTCTGAGGAGACTCAAATTCTTAGATGGGAAAGGAGTCACCTAAATGCATCAGAGAAATTGCCCATCTAGCTTCATGCAGTTGTCCAACCTTAGACCTCACCTCCCTCGCCCTGTCTTCTCCATCATCTGGCATCATTACTCACCACCTGTGCTCCCCTTTCTGGGTGCTGGGCTAGAGGTGGTAAGCTAGGGGCTGCAGCCACCCAAAGAGGTGGTGGTCCTGGAGTCACAGATGGAGAGTGAATCCACCTAACTATGATCTTGAGAAAGCTACAAAGGACTGTGCAAGATGGATCACCACCATCATGTTTTTATCTCAAATATTCCATGATAATAACTGAATAGAATGACAGAAACAAAGTGCCTAGGATGTAGTATTAATCTCTAGATTCACTAGTACCTTGCAGGGTACCTGATAAACATTTTCTGTTGAGGGAAGGAATGGAGGTGCGGTTTTGTACCAACATAGTAAATAACTCCACAAACTGCGGGGTGTCTAATTTGCTCCAAGTGCTTAAGCCCTGGTTCAATAATAACTATTGTCTCTCAAATGATACAGTTTATAAAGTGCTTTCAGATGATGTCACTGGCTCCTCAAAACAGCCCCCGTTACCTTGCCCATTTTACAGGTGAGGACACAGAGGCAGTGTGGCTTAGTGACTTGTGCAGGCAGAAGAGGAGTGAGAGGGGAGGCAATAGACATGTATGAGTCCATAAGTGTATGTAGGGTCCCGCGGCAGGCACCTGCATGTCATCTCATTTAATCATGCTTGGAACCCTCGGAGGGAAACATGCTACCCCCATTCTTAGATGTAAAGAAAATGAGATTCAGAGAGGCTGAGCAATTTGCTCCAGGTCACACAGATTCCAAGTGGCAAGGCTTGGGCATGGACCAGAGCTTCTGTACCCAAAGTGCAACCTTCTTCCTTGTAACAGTGACTCCAGGCAGAGCGCTGTCCTAGGAACTCCCAGCAATTACTGTTTCCCTCATCAAGGCAGTCAGAGAGTGGAAAAGGCAGCTGGTCCTTAATTTGGCTGTTGTTTGTTTGTTGTTTGCTTTGGTGAGAAAGGAAGCCTCGGACTCAGACATCTTGTATTCTTCCTTGAAGTGTGGAGAAAATCCTACCTTCCAAAGCTGTTAAGCGTACGTTGCAGGTTAGTGATTACAAGAAAGCACTCGGAGGCAGCAATGGGATTCTCTCCCTAAACTGAGATGATACTCATAGTGGCAAGAATGGTTTGTAGGAAAATAAGTGATCAGTTATTGAGCTCGTCCGTGATAAGTGCTTTTCTCCATCATTTTATTTAAGCTTCACAGGTGCCCTATGTAGTCCGTATTATTATTATTCCCATTTTGCAGATGTGGGGCCTGAGGCACAGAGAGGTCAGCCTTCCCAAGGCCATACCCTGAGGAAATGACGAGGCAGAATCTGAGCCCAGGGCAGTTTGACTTCAGCTCTTGGAGATAACTTGGGCCACTTCTCCATCTGTGCCCTGCGGCCGGCATCACCTTCGGTTTGTATGGTGCTCTCCGGTTTATAAAGCCCGTTCACCGGCATCATCTTACTGAATCCTCCCAAACACATCTGCGGGAGACACAGGTTTAACAGACAAGGAAATCAAGGCTTGGGGGCACTGAGGGACCTGCTCAAGGTCACACAGCCAGGGAGGGGTACACCAGAGCTCTGGTTTTGATGCCTATGCCCTAGGAGCTCTCAAAGCACCCCCTCCCAGAGAACATGCCCGCAGCTCCCTAGAACTTCTTCCAATATCCCAGCAGGCGGGCTGCTCTGCACTTGCACGCCAGTTGGTTGGTTCCAGAACCATCAGCCACACTCCTCAGTCAAGCAGAAATGTCTCGTGTTCACAGGTGCCTCTGGCGGCGTGTGCATGTGTCATGTTTTGCTTTTCCATTTAGTTCATGGCAGGCGCTGCATTTCCAGAGCACCCCCTGGGTGAATTTCAGCAGATTTAAGACAATTGCAGGCAAACGCTCTGCCCCGGGATCACACCCTGGCGGTGGACACAGAGCAAGCAGCATTGTTTGGTTAAGTTGGCACCTCTGAAAGTTACCCTGAAATCAGAGCGGAATTCTTTATAGAAGGTTATCCTACACATAAATCATCATTAGACTACCTCATTTTTGTTTAATGCCTACCTAACTGTGCTGTAGTCTAAAAATGTGTGTTTAGTGAAGTCAAGGGTTGCAGGGAAATTATAGGGTTTTCAAAAACCCATTTGCTTTGCTGGTGTTCACATCAAAATCAATCTTGCTTTAGTTCTCAATCTCATCGCAAACATGCAGTATTGCTTGCCGAATTCTGGCATTTAATGTAGGGTAGCATTTATTCAGAAGAAGCCAACGGTGCTTACAGAATGGTAGAGCTATGTATAGATGGCACTTCCTGCCAAGCCTGTGATTTTGAACTCTGTTGTGTATCAATGAGAGCCAGAGCTGGTGGAGACGGTGCTGCGGTTCTGTGCGGAGGCCTGTGCTGGGTAACATAACTGCGTCCGCAATGCCACAAGGCTCACTGCATATGAGCACATAGTAGGCACCCAGGCAATGTTTGTCGAATGCCTAGAGGAAGGTTTAGCTGGGAAGGTGACTGATCCTTTAGATTAAGTTGTAAATGGGATGGATGAGAATGAAGGGGCAGGTGCGGTTGTACCTGTTTCCGTGGTTGCTGGAAAAAAGCCACCATCTGCTCCTGTTTTGCTCTGAAGAAGTGGGGCTTGCTTGGAGTCTCTTTTGTGATGAAGTGAAGCTGTTTAGAGAAGCAAAATCCTGTGGGCTCTGGCCTCAGAGGGAACTGGGTTCCAACCCTGACTCCGCACCTAACTTGCCTTCTGACCCTGGCCAAGGTCTTAACCTTTCTGAGCTGCACTTTTTTCAGTTGTGAGGATTCAAAATCAGGTACTTTCATTTTCTGTATAGAGAAAATACATTTTCCATGTATATAATGTATTTTTCTGTATAGATCTGTTTTCTACATGCAGTTTCTCTATGCGTAGGTTTTCAATTTTTCCTAGGGCTAGACAGACGCATGTCCACAAGCTGCCCCAGCATTAGTAGTCTTTGCTGTGCGGCCTGGGAGGTCTCTGTGAGGAATGAGAACATAGGTGTGATCGTAGGTGTGAGCATTTAGGAGGGCAGACACTGCTGCTCTTACACAGAGGGTCACAGGCTCATGGGACCTTCAGGGCTAAAGGCCTGAGGGCTAGATGGGGAGGATCCAGACCCTCATGGTGGGACAGAGAGGCAGGGACGCCCTTAATGTTACCCCCTAAGGCCAAAGCCCAAGCCTCCCATTACGCTCTTGGCTTTTGTGGTCCTGGCATCTTGCTGTGTGCAGAAGCCTCTGGAACTTAAATACGGGTCTCTGTAGCTGCCAAGCTCGACTTTCACAGTGGAATAGCAAGCCGGTTGGAGCCAGGCACAGAGCTTCTGCATCCCAGTATGGAGGGCAGGAGGGGCCCTGGGCCTGGACAAAGGCCTCTAAGGTTGAGGTGTTTCCTCTCACACTTAGTGACTCCTCCTCTTCACCTTTGGCTCAGAGCAGTTTGGGGCTCAAAGTATGTCTGAATACCCAAGCCTTTAGGGTCACAGGATCTGCCAGAATCCTGAAGAGACCGCTGAGAAGCAGACAACGGAATGGGAGAAGGGCCTGTCGAAGTGGGTGGCCATGAAGGCGGCCGTGCATGTGGGTGGAGTCTGGGGCTCTGCCAGGTGTGGAGTGAGCTTCATTCTATGTGAGAGTCTGGGGGCTTCTCTGAGACTTTGTAACAAAGGAATCCCTTCTAAGAGCGTGTGGCTGGGGTCCCTCTTCACCACCCCTCATAGTGGGACACAGGGAAAAGACTTGCACTGAGAATGTTCCAGATCCTGCTGCTACTGCCCAGGCCTAGGAAAGCCATTTTGCAAAGCCTGATGGAGCATGGTTGTACCCCAGGGCCTGCGCCCAGGAAGGGACACAAAACCACAGCTTCTGGTTCCGTCAGCCTGTAGCTGTGCCAGCCATGTCTGACATCGATGTCATCCCCTAAATCTATCTAAATGCCTAGGTTGGCATAAGCAACAATCCGTTGATTGGATTTTTAGTTCATTATTTAATTTAGCAAATGTTTTCTGAGTGCTTCCTGTGTGCGTGATGGGTGCTGTGTTATGTAGACAGTGATTCCCAAGGGTCTCTGCTTGAGGATCTCAAGGGATTTGGAGAAATTCCTCTTCCCACGCACCAAAGAAACTGATTTTAATTAAAATATATATGCGTGCATGTGTATAAATAGCATGCATGCATGATGTAATTTGTACATATTGAATAGGTACATAGATGTGTTCACACACTCATGCACACACTAATCTTTTTTTACCCTTGGAAAGGGGAAAGAGACTTACCTGTGTAGACCCCAGCAGTGCCCCAGAGCAGGGACCTAAGAAAGACGCCTTGGTGTTTTGAATTTTAGGGACAGCCTTGGATGAACCACTGTTTCATGAGCCCTGTTAGGGGTAAGAAGGGTGGGCAGAGGTATGGAAACATTTGGAGGCACCGTGCCAGCCTTCAGGGTCTAATAGGCAAGATGAGTATGGGACACAGGTGACCCCAACACAAGGAAACAACACAACACACAAGAGTGTGATGAGGGTGCAGGAAAGGAATCAAGTTCTTGGGGGACTGAGAGGTGGGGGACACCCATCTTTTGTGATTAGAGAAGATGCCCTGTAGGAAATGGCACCTCCCCCTGGGTCCTGGAGAAGGGGTCTGTTTTGGCAGGCTGAGCTCCTGCAGGGGAGAGTGTTCTAGATCTGCCAGCTCTCAAATTTAGAGTCCCCTGGGGAGCTTTCGAAAACCACCAGTGTCCAACCCTGACCCCAGAACAATTAGATCAGGATCCTTGGCAGTGAAACCCAGGCATCTGCAGTCGTTAAAGCTCCCTGTGTGATCCCAGTGGGCAGCTGGGGTCCGGGCAAGGGAGGCTGTGTCAGTGAACTCCTGGAGAGCTGAGAACAATGGGCTGCTCTTGGGGAAAAGCAGCCTGGCTGGGCTCAGGATGCATCACAGGTGGGATATAAGTGATGCTGCGTGAGTTGTATGTATCGAAGGGCAATGGGGAGCCAGTGAAGATTTTGGGTGGGGCATGGTTTGGAAGGAATTTTAGGGGTTGCTCTTCAGTAATCAAGGATGTTTCCAGAAAAGTGGAGGTCATCCCTGGCTTCAGCCTCCTGGAGTCCACGTCTCCCGTTGTTCTCAGCTCTCCAGGAGTTCACTGACACAGCCTCCCTTGCCCGGACCCCAGCTGCCCACTGGGATCACACAGGGAGCTTTAACGACTGCAGATGCCTGGGTTTCACTGCCAAGGATCCTGATCTACTTGTTCTGGGGTCAGGGTTGGACACTGGGGGTTTTCGAAAGCTCCCCAGGGGACTCTAAATTTGAGAATTTCCCAGGATTTATCACTGGGCATCCTTCAGGTGGGTGGGACCAGAGCTGCCTCCGTCACATACCCCACACTCCTGTCTTACTCCTGTGCCCCTCCTCGGGCTGCTGGCCCTAACCCCAGGAACCGGCAAGGGGAATGTGGGAGCTCACCAGAGTGGTCTGTGGGAGGAAGGACCCCACATGGCATACCCAGAGTTTAAGCAACGTGGGGATCTAAGGCAAACTAAATAGTCTCTCACTTTTTATAAAATAATAGTCAAATTTGTATTGTGCTTTTCTGTTTACAGCACAGTTTCATATATATTAAATTATTATTATTATTATTATTATTATTATTATTACTATTTGAGACAGAGTCTCACTCTGTTGCCCAGGCTGAAGTGCAGTGGCACGATCTTGGCTCACTGCAACCTCCACCTCATGGGTTCAAGTGATTCTCCTGTCTCAGCCTCCACAGCATCTGGGGTTACAGGCACCTGCCACCACACCTGACTAATTTTTGTAATTTTAGTAGAGATGGGGTTTCACCATGTTGGCCAGTCTGGTCTCAAACTCCTGACCTCAAGTGATCCACCCGCCTCCACCTCCCAAAGTGCTGGGATTACAGGCGTAAGCCACTGTGTCCGGCCCATATATATATAAAATTTGATTCTCATCATGATTCCATGTAGCATGGAAACAATTACCCCCATTTACAGATGAGCAAACAAAGGCCAGAGGCAATGGCTTTACCTCTGCAATTATTTCCAGACTCAGGAAAGGAAAAAAAAACTTATTGACAGCAGGAAGCAGGCACCAGGGGCAGAATTTATTCAGCTTCTGGACTGTGGACCAGACACTATGCCAGGCACTGTCACAGACACAACCTCATATTTTAAAGACAGAGTGTTTTATCTGTTTCCTCATGGTCTATAGCCCATGATGAATGGGAAAACACTTGGCCCGACCGGCAGACCAGAACGAGATAAATAAAACAATCACTCCATGTCTGCTTTATGAACTTATCTTGTCAGAGCCCTTTGAGTTGTTTGATCTCATTTTATACTTGTGACAGGTGGTGTCATCACTATGTTCAGATGAGGAAACTAGGGGTCAGAGAAATGTCTTGCCCAAGGCTAAGTAGCAGAGTGCGACTGGGAGATGAGATCCTGCCGCGTGGAGTGAGTCGATGCTGTACTGGTTGTTGTGTGGAATGTGCAGGGAGAATAAAGCACAGCACTTGCCATGTGCCAGGCACTGTGTGAATAGCTTGATATAACTGACTCTTTTAGTCTACCCAGTATCATTATAAGGTGGGTGGAACTGTTATCATCCCCACTTTTTTGTGTTTTCTCTTTTATAGACAAGGTCTGGCTCCAGCACCCAGGCTGAAGTGCAGGGGCATAGTCTCAGCTCACTGCAGCCTCCATCTGCCATGCTCAAGGGATCCTCCTGCCTCAGCATCCCAAGTAGCTGGGACTACAGGCACACGCCACCACACTCAGCTAATTTTTTAATTTTTTGTAGAGACAGGATCTCACTATGTTGCCCAGGCTGGTCTTGAACTCCTCGACTACAGTGATCCTCCCACCTCAGCCTTCCAAAGTGCTGAGATTATTGGCATGAGCCACCGTGCCCAGCCATCATTCCCATTGTACAGATGAAAAAAAATGAAGCACAGAGAGGTGCAGTAACTTGCCCAAGGTCACATAGCAGTAAGAATAAAGTTGGGACTCAATCCAAGCCATGTGGTATCAGAGCCCACTATCTGTCTCTAGGCCATCACATCTGGGGCTCCTGGTTCTTGGTTCCAGGGTCTTCCACTGGACTGAACTCTCTGTAGGAGGAGGAAGGGAGGAACACAAAAGGCAGGCCTCAGTCTGGGGGCTGGGTGTCCAGAGCTGAGGCCCTGGTCTGAGCATGTCCAGGTGTGAGGCCTCCTATGGCGGCCAGGTGTCCATGTGTGAGGCCTCATCTGGAAGGTGAGTCCAGGTTTGACGCCTTCTCCGGGGGCTGGGTGTCCAAGTGTGAGACCTCGTCTGGAAGGTGAGTCTAGGTGTGAGACCTCCTCTGGAGGCTGGGTGTTCAGATGTGAGTACTCCTCGGTGGGCTGTGTGTCCAAGTGTGGCTTCATTTTATCGGATGAGTATCCAGATATGAGACCCCCTTGTAGAGGCCAAGTATCCAGATGTGACCTCTTTATGCCCCTCTCTCCTTTGGATCATTTTTCTAACAGTCTTTGGCTATCCTAGAGTGTGGTAGGGATAGGGCTAGAAAAATGGAAAAGGGCATGGGGTTTCTACTTCCGGCTCTGTCTCTAAATAGTGTTATGACCTCTTTCTGGATGTCAGTTTCCTCATCTGTAAGTGAAGGGGCTGGAATAGATGATCCCTTAGGTCCCTTCCAGATTGGTCCAGTTTGACAAACTGTGCCCATGTGCCTGCATTACTCTGGGAACTTGGCTATGGTGACAGGTCTGTGCCCTTCAGGGGAGAGAGATAAGAAAGAGCTCAAAAATTTAAATTCCTTAAAGAAACTCACACATGTGCACAAAAAGACATGGACAGGATTAGTCATCGTAGCCATGTTTGTGATAGCAAAAAATCAGAAGCCAATATTGGCACATTAAATATGTTATACTCACACAATGAAATACTATGCTGCAGGGGAAATGCGTGAACCAGAGCTTTACAAATCAGTGTGGACGTGTCGATTGAAGAGAAAAAAGCAAATTGTAGAAGGATGCCATACATTATGGTGCCATTTGTACAAAGTTTGAAAACATGCAAAACAGTCCTCTGTATTGTTTCTGGATGCATACATATGTAGCAAAAGTATAAAAACATGCATGGAAATGATAAACACCATATTCAGGGTAGCGCTTACCTCTGAGGAGGAGGCGATGGGCTGGTGGAGGGAAATACAACTGTTTTCAGAATGTCTTCTTTCTTAAAATGTTCCTTCTAAAAACGATCTGAAGAAAATATGCCAAAAGAAACATGGGTCTCTTTCCATTATTTTTATGCTTTTCTGTATGCATGATATGTTATCATTAGAAAACAAACCATTTCAACACCATGTGCAAAGTTCTAGGATGGTGGAGGTGGACTTCGCATCCCACTATGATAATCTAGGGCTGGGGGAATGGGAGTGCGGAGATAGGAGGTTGTTGGTGAAAGCGAGGTCTGGGGGCTGATTCTGGAGGGCTATTGTTGATGGAGATGGGAGGGGTCAGGTGCTCAGCAGTGCCCTCTTTGCCCTATTTATTTCCTGCCCCCTCTTCCAGGGCCACCTTGAGCAGGGCTTGGTGCTCTCAACTGTTGTAAAATAACAATTAAAAGTGGTATAAATACAGGAGGGGAAGAAATGTGTCTGCCTCGGGATCCTGTTGTAATCTGTTTCCCAGTTTAATGAGGGCCTGGAGACTCAGCATGAGGCCACTGAAAATTAAGAATACTGGGAGTATTTATGGGGCTGCGAGGCCTTCTTTTTTCACTGCTCCCTGTAGCTGGGGGTGCAGGAGTGACCCAGCAGCCCTCTGTCCTCCCGTCCAGAGAGGGAGTCAGTCAGTATCTGCAGCCTGTAGACAAGAGAGTGGGCCTGCGGGGCAGGGATGGGTGGCCTCAAGAGGCCCGGATGATCGCCCTCATGGAGAAGCCTACTCCCAACTCCAGCTCACATTACAAGAGAAAGTTGGGAGTCGAGGTCATAGCCAATAGGGAAACTTGAGAGAGAAATGTGATCCCCTGCTTGCCTTCCAGCCCTGGGGACGAGGCCCCCCTCAGGGTCGGAGAACAGAGGGTGTCCTGGGCAGAGGGCGGGGCAGGGTCAACAGCTGCTGCCTTCTTGCTTTAGCTCTTAAAAGCACCTAGGTTTGTTCCAATGTATCCTGAAACAATGATCTCCCCTGTCCTGCCCCTCCTCTATTTCCCCCTCCCTCTTACACACCCAAGTTCACAGGTGGCACATGCAGGTGGTAGAATTGGTTTGTCAGGGCTATAGGGGGCCTTGGAAATCACAAAGCCTAATGCCCTGGGTATTTCTTATAGACGCCACTCACAGCCTTGATGGGACCGGGGACCCGGGTCTCAAGAAGCATCCTGCTACAGGGTGAGGGAGTCTGTCTCATTCTCAACAGGGTGGATTTGTATTGGGGTCCTCTAAGGTCTAGAAGTATCGCCAGAGTTTACAAAGAGGACAGAATTAGTTAATGTGCATATCAGCGTGTGTGTTTGCAAGATGGAGTTGCTACCTTGTTTATCATGGGTAGGCATGTAACAGACGATCTCCTGAAAAGCGATATATCAAGTCTCCTCCTCGATGGAGGAGTACTGTTTGTAGGGAACCCTTGAGGTGATTTTGGCAAGCAAACGCATAGTTGGGGACGCTCACATGCTGCTCGTGCAGGTAGGCCCCAGCATACCTTTTCTGGAAAGCATTTGGCAATATGTATCTGAAGTCTCAGATGTCCGTGTCTGTAAGGCTCTATCCTTAAGAGATAACCAAAGATGGCAATAAAGAGTTCTGCCGGCCGGGCGCTTTGGCTCACACCTGTAATCCCAGCACTTTGGGAGGCCGAGGTGGGCGGATCACGAGGTCAGGAGATCGAGACCATCCTGGCTAACACGGTGAAACCCCATCTCTACTAAAAATACAAAAAAATTACCCGGACGTGGTGGTAGGCGCCTGTAGTCCCAGCTACTCGGGAGGCTGAGGCAGGAGAATGGCGTGAACCCGGGAGGCAGAGCTTGCAGTGAGCCGAGATCGCGCCACTGCACTCCAGCCTGGGCAACAGAGCGAGACTCCGTCTCAAAAAACAAAACAAAACAAAACAAAACAGTTCTGCCAACTGCAATGTTATTTACAACCCTGAAAATTCAAATAAACAGAGGAATGATTAAATAACTTACGGTAGAATTTTTTTTTTTTTTGAGATGGAGTCTCACTCTGTCGCCCAGGCTGGAGTGCAGTGGCGTGATCTTGGCTCACCACAGCCTCCGCCTCCCACGTTCAAGCAATTATTTGCCTCAGCCTCCCGACTAGCTGGGATTATAGGCACCTGCCACCATGCCCAGCTAATTTTTGTATTTTGAGTAGAGACGGGGTTTCACCATCTTGGCCAGGCTGGTCTTGAATTCCTGACCTTGTGATCCACCTGCCTCAGCCTCCCAAAGTGCTGGAATTACAGGTGTGAGCCACCATGCCTGACCATTTTTGTTTGTTTGTTTGTTTTTGCTTTTTGAGGTGAAGTTTCGCTCTTGTTATCCCCGCTGGATGCAATGGCGCCATCTCGGCTCACTGCAATCTCCACCTCCTGGGTTCAAGCGATTCTCCTGACTCAGCCTCCTGAGTAGCTGAGATTACAGGCATTCACCACCACACCTGGCTAATTTTGTATTTTTGGTAGAGACAGGGTTTGTCCATGTTGGTCAGACTGGTCTTGAACTCCTGACCTCAGGTGATCCGCCCGCCTCAGCCTCTCAAAATGCTTGAGGTGATTTTGAGGATTACAGGTGTGAGCCATCATGCCCGGCCACAAGGAAATATTTTTAATGCATTTTTAACTTACAGAGAAAAAGATCCTAATATGATGTTAGGTGGAAAAATAATTGTGTGTGTGTGTGTGTGTGTGTGTGTGTGTGTGTGTGTGTGTGTGTATAGGCTCCTAATTGGTTAAAAATGCGTATGCTCTATACATCTTGTAGATGGATATCTTTTGTATTAGTACATAATATTTTACATATGTGTGGGGTACATGTGGTATTATGTTGCATGCATAGAATGTGTCCTGGTCAATGCAGGGTCTTTGGGATATCCAGCACCCCTTGAGTGTTTATCATTTCTATTGTGTTGGGATCCTAGATGGATATCTTGAAAGAAATACTTGAAGGCTATTAGTGATTGTCATGATTATTTCTAGATAGTGAGATTAGAGATGATTTCTGGCTTCTTTTCCATCATTTTCTAAATTGTCAAATATGTGTTAAGAAGATTAGATATGAAGTAGTTTTGAACACCAAAAAGTCATATTGAAGTGTAGGTACCTTGGCAAAGTAGCTACTACTTTTTCTTTTTTGCTTTTTCAGGGAGTCCTCTGAAGTTCCTTCTTAGATGGGGGGACTAAAATCTGCTTTTGTGAGATTCCACCCGTAGGTCCTCCTCCTGCCAACTCCCCACCCTGAGCTTCCACAGATGTTTCCTTCTGTCTCTCTGCACCTTCATTTCTTGAGGACAGTGCCCATCCTCTTCTATCTCCCACACCTCACCCTGGTGTCCCATCCTCCAGGTCAAAGCAACCCCAATTCTACAGCAATCCCACCTAGGATTCATTGGATCTGAGTTCATCCAGGGAGCCACCGCTGAGCGTGCCCTGTTGTGTCAAAGTCTTTCCCAAAGTGAGTGCCCCACACCACAAAAGGTGTGAGCAGAGGGCAGAGTGAGGCCATCACCCCCTCCTTGGTCTGAACGTGCTGTTTCCACCAGCACCATCTGGAACCGGGTTTTTCACCAGCTACCTCTCGGTGTTGGCTCTTTCTGATCACTGGCTTTTAGTAGCCCTTGGCCCTTTACCTAAATTTCTCAACTTTCTCATGTCTAAAATAAGAATAATAATAGTTTTCTACAACCCAGATAGCAATAGGATAGCCTCTGCCTCTGAGGAGCTACAAAAATTGTCTCTAGTCTTAGTTAAGCCCTGGAAATGTCCCATGTCCTTCCCAGGATGTCTGCAAGCTCGCAGGAAGATTTGTATTCTCATCGTGGTCGCTGGCTCTGGCTCCCAACTCTGCCGAATTCTGCTTCCTTGCTCTGAGTTTCACGGATGCTTCTCTATCTCTGCTCTGGTGCTGACCAAATGTTTCCTCAGCCTTCTTCCTGGTTTTCCCAAAAATCCCACCCTCACAAAGACCCACACATATCGTGCAGACCTTCCTGAAGGTTTTTTGGGAGGCCAGATAATGTGGAACACAGAAAGGCATCCCTGCCCCTAAGAGTCCACTGGGCACCTGCCATGTTGAGTGACCTTCCTTCCTGTCCCCAGCTCTGAACTGGGGCTGCCAGGCAGCCTCTGTGCCCCACAGAAAAGGGCCCTGAGCCACTTTTCTTTTTTCCACTTCCTAAATTAATCTTCCTAACTAGGGAGAATTCAGAGGGTCTTTCAGATCTTTCACACAATTTCAGGGAGTGTGTTGATGTGTGTTTCACATTTAATCATAAGAAAACTCATGGCAGTAAGCTTCCGCCTCTTTTCCTCTGTTGGTATTACCCGACAGCAGAACCGTCCTTCTCCCAGGACAAAGGACCTCTGCTGCTGATGGTAGTGGGTATGGCAGGAACTCCAGAGGAGCCGGTGGCTGTAGTCTTGGTGGGAGGGGTACAGGTGCAATGTCTCATCTCAATGACAGGGTGGGACACACCTTCCTCAGTCCACAGCCAGGTGCTCCTTTGTTTCCATGGTGTCAGCCCCAACACTCAGAGATCTCCTGTGGGTGGGGAAAACTGATCATCTGATTTTGTGACTCCATCAAAAGGAAAGGTCAGACTTTCTTACGAAGGTTAAAAAACAAAACCAAGAATCCTTTAAAATGGTTCCTTTTTGCATTTCTGACTTGACTCTGTAATTTGATTGTAGTCAAGAGGAGATGTTGTCTGCATAGAATTCCTGAGCAAGTGGGAATCTTCCCAGGGAAGGAAGCTCTGGGGTAGGAAAGGGATGACAATCCGAGGAGACGGGGGGCAGGGATGGATTCTTGGCTGGGTCTCTCCTTGCACAGGTTACTTACCTCTCAGAACTCCATCTAGAAAATGGGGATGCTGATAGAAAATTATTTCACAAGCGTTATCTCTTTGGCCTCACCTCAACCAGGAGCCTGGATTAGCTTCTAACATTTCCCTGACAGAGCCATGGCCTTCCTTGGGGGAAGTTCCTTAAACAACTGTCTTCCCATCATAAATTAGCGTTCACATAATTCAGGTTCCCTGTCCCTGGTCTTTTGAGTGTTTCTGTTTTCTTGCAAGTCCTGGACAAATCTTTAGGGGATCCATAGAGAAGGAAGAATTAAACCCAAGCGCTACCCAGTGACTTCCAATAGACATCATTGAAAGGTGTAGCACAATTTCCTCAGACTACAGATGTCAGAGCTGGGGGCCTTGGGGGCAGTTCTTCCAACTGTTTTCACCTCTCAGCACAAGCAGAACAAAAATAATACTGATTCATAGCATTAGGGCAACAGGAGAAGGTTGTCTGTGGCCGGGGTAACCAGTTCCCCATGGATTGGGAGGGATTTACCTGCTCCAAGTTCTGCCCTGGCTCCTCCCACGCTGGGGATCTCAGCACATGGATGGAGTTAGGAGAAAACTGTGGGTCACACAGAAGGCAGGTAGGCAGGTAGGGAGGGAGGCACCCGTAAGTAGGTGAGGGGATCATTTGGAAGCTGTGATTTTCTATGGCCAAAGAGGCAGCACGGCACTGAAGAAGGTCCCAGCAACTTCCCTCCAGCCCCTTCTCTGTTTCCCCCTCCTCCTTCCCCATATGACTCCCTCCTGAAGGGATTTTAATTATAAAGTCGCTGTTTCAAGAATAGCTAAAATGGGGTGAGCCAGTTAGCTGTCACCATTAGCTTTCAAATCCTTGCTTCTTCTGCTGGTGGTGGAGAAGGATCCCTCATGGCCTGTGGTCCTTCCCTCACCTTCTCTCTATGAGAGTGCGTCCATTCTCACACCCCCCGCTCCCCCATCACCCCTGTGCTTCCCCACTGCACCCTCCCGAGCTGAGCCCTGAGTCCTGGCCCACGATATAGTCATAGCTCAGGTGACAGTCAGGAGAAGCTTCCTCTCTCAAGGAGAACTTTCGACATAAAGGTGTGGAAGATCAAAGAGCAATGGCTGTTGAGGGAAAGGGTGAGGGAGACAGAGTGACAGCAGTGAGTTGAATTAATTCCCTGGTGTCGGATTTAATGAAGGGCTGCCTTCTGTGCTGCCTCAGAAAGGCACATCATGGAGTGATTGGTGCTGGATGCACGCACAGCTCCAATTAAGAGTTTCTGCATCTCACAGGGGCAGGGTGTCTTTGAATCTCTAGGCTCTGGGGGCTTTCTACCCCCCTCCCCATTCCAGGCTTGCTCAACCCTGATCCAAAAGTCGGGAATCTCTGCTCCTCTTAAAGGGAAAGGACCCCAGGATCTTTTCTTGCTGCCTCTCCACATCCTGGGTGGCCCTATTTGCTCCCTTCTCCCTTACTTGTCCTCAGGTAAGGCCCAAGACTCTCCTTTGCAAGCAATGCCTGCTTCACCTTGTCCCCAGGAATGAATCCTAGAATCACAGAGGCTTAGAATTGGGAGAGGACCTTAGTGACAACCTAGTCCAGAGTCACATAGAGTAACAGCATGAGAACTAGAACCAGGGCCTCTAGAACAATCTCTCTGGCCTCCTTTCTAGGTTCTGGCAACATGCAGCGTGAGTGACAGCCATGTCTAACTAAGGGCCTGCAGTCTGGATACTGGGGGCAAGCCCTTCTAAGTCACAGGTCTCAGCTGCCAATTCAAGGTGATTCTCATTACCATGACTGAATCGTGGCAACTTAGCCACGCATCACACTTGACAATCAACAAAAGTGTGCCTACATCAGCTCATGTTATGCTCAGTGTTTGAAGGCCACAGAGGTATTATTACCCTGAGGTTGCTATCCCTGCTCAGACACTAATACGTGGCCTTGTGAAACTTTGGGTGCTTAACTTCTCCTTTTCTCATTTGAAAATTGAGAATAACAACACTTATAGCACAGGTTGACAACGGAGCAGACTCTCATTTTACAAGTGAAGAATAAGGCTCTGAGATTAAGTGACATGCCCCAAACATAGCAGCAACAAAGGGCAAAGGGAGGAGAAGAATGCGGGACCACTCAGCCCCAGGCCTCTGCTGTTTTCACACCACCTCTTTCTAAAATGATGCCGCCCATATTCCTCTCCTTCGTCACCATCATCATTTATTGAGGCTTTACTCAATGCACTTTCTTTATGCACTGTGCTAAGTGCTCTGTAGATCATTTAATCCCAACAACAACCCTGGGAGGTGCATTTTAAATGTATTTTCATTTCCCTTTCAAGGAAACAGAGGCTTAGAGAGGTTACATTGTCTGAAGTTGAGAGCTAATAAGCGGCTTAGGCAGGACTCAGCCAGGTCTGTCTACCCTCCAAGTCCGTGCAGTTACTTGCTGTGTCCCCACCACTCCCGTGCTCCCACCCCTGCCACCATCCTGGGGCCACAGCTCCCCTGGGACAGCCATGGGCAAAGTGACAGGGCAGACCTAGAGACTCGTTTTTGCTGGCTCACTGGGCACCCCTGTGCGCAGGCTCTGTGCTGGGCCCTGGGAGAGCCTGCTCAGTGGTCCTGGGTGTCCTCGCCGCACCACAGGGCCCTCGTGCTGCAGCCTCATCCCTGACACTAGAATTTGCAAGGTTTCCCAACGGTGACAGAAATAGGCTTCTTCTCCCTCATTTTCAGACTGGGAAACTGAAGTCCAGAGAAGAAACAGTTCTTAGCAGAATCTCACAGATCCTTTAGCAAACCTCAGCATCCTGACTCCAGACCCATTGTTTCCCCGGGGCACCCTGCTGAATAGGCCCAAGTTCCAACCAACCACCAAAGAAGACATTCTCGGGCTGCCTCAAAGATGTCTTCTTTATCCAGTGACCTGCTAGTGCCCCTTTCTGCAAAGTGCACTGGCCTGGAGGAGTTCTGGATTAAGCTTCTTAGGGGATCTAGCATCCTCTCCTGACCTCCAGGGCTCTCTCTTAACTCACCTTTGAGTAAAATGATGTGCTGTGAGATACACTTAAAATTGTGTGTTCCCCAGCCCCTCCCTCTCTATTGGTGGGATTATTAATGAGACCCTAACATGAGTCACCTGAGTAAATAAACATAAATTGTCGTTCCACCCCTAGGCTTTGGCTGACAAAGCTCTCCCCTCCTTGTTCAGCTATGGCTTTAATAATGAGCCACTTTCAGCTTTCACAGGCATTGAGTTCAGTTCCCTGAGGCTTCCGTGCAAGAGGCCTCCTGGAATCAGGGCTCCTATCTCCCATACCTGGGAATTGGGACTTTTGACAGAAATGAGAAGGCTTGTTCTAGGGAGAGAGACCCTGCCTTCTGCAGTATACTCTGAAACATTGAAGTGACACACACACACACACACAGAGCTGAGGTTTGTGAATTGGTGGTGTTAAATAACAATTAGGTCAATAATTCCCTTTATGAAAATCCTTTTAACAAATTACATCCATTGGTAATTAGCGCCTATGAGAATCTCGGCCTAGGGAAGCCCTGATGAAAAGTGGATCCAGACATAGACCTGGTGTGGGGAGCTGAGTCTCTCACTTTTCAAGGAAAACCTCTTTCCCTGCTCAACTCCACTTGGGAGAGGGTAAAGCCAAGGCCCTGGGTCAATATCTGCAACTCCTGTTGCCTTGACCTTGACCAAGGGCACTTTGCCTTTCACCCCCTGAGCCTCCATTTTTTCCCCCAGGTGGCTTTCTGGGTTACTGAGGAGGCTGTGGGTTTTCAGGATGTGTTGCTGGCTCGGCAGCTTCAGGCATACTTGGCACTAAGAGCATCACTGAAAGATGAGCGCTTTCCTCTGCTCGCCCAAGGCTTCCCAAAGAGCTGGTGCCTTCTTCTCTTGCCTGTCTTCCTGTCCAAGCCCCGAGATGGTGCCCAGGCATGTTACAGAGAGAAGTAGCTTGAGAGGGGTGAGAAACTGTCTGAAATAATTCCATCCTTCCCTGGAGACTTGGCGTGAATTTTATCTAATCACCATGGCAACAGAGAAAAAAAAAAAAAGAAAAAAGGTGTGAGCGTATCGCCTTTGCTGTGATAATTCAGATTTATATATTCAGATCAGATTGGAGTTGGAGATTTTTTTTTAAGGGAGCATATGCAGCAGAAGGTGTGACTGCAAATAATGTAGCACAAATGTTTGATGATCCTGCCCTTTAAGAAGTGGAACACAGTTTCCTGCAGTTTTTCCAGAATATAATTATTCCATCAAACCCATTGCAATGAGGACTCATTACGGGCCCGGATAATGCAGAGTCACGTCCGTGCCAACAACACGCCTGCGCACACACAAACACACACAAACATGCATGCATAGGCAGTCCCAGCCCCTGCCCTCTGCCTCTGGCTGCCCCCCAATGGAAACCTCAGAAAGCCACCCCCAAAAGCACGAGGCCTGGGTAAGGAGCCTGGGAAGACTGTGACCTGGGGGCAAGATGGAGACAGCTCAGACTTCACAGCTGGGGCAGGGTGGCAGGACTCCCTCCCTTTGCCATCCTGCCCATGGAAACCTACTGCCATTTGTAGAGCATAAGCCCCTGGAGGGCAGGGGCTGGGGCTGGGGCTGGATGGTCCTGGTGTATAGTCTCTGTCCAACCTGAGTGATTAATTCAGGTATTTTCTTGAACTATGTGGCTCTGCTTATTTGCTCAAGGTCACACAGCAGTTAGTGGTGGCACCTTCTGATCTGAACCAGTCTTCTGACTCCCAAGCCAGGGGTTGTTCCACTAGAACCTTCATTTTGGGATTAGGATAAGCACAGAGGCCTACACTCTGTTTCTTATGTCCCCGCCTTGGGCACCCAGGGAAGGCTGGCATGAGTGCAGCAGCCCGTGTGCTTGTCAGGGAGTAGACACGCCCGGGAGACATTTCATCCACGTTCACTGGGTGTTGTTTATCCTTCTCTGCCCAACACATGTGCCTGCAGGTACAGCCTTTGAGGAGCTGATGGGTTCTCCAGGTCCCTTGCTCTCAAGCCTTTGCAAGTTCTTCCAAATGTGATCACCTTCACAACTGATTGTCCCTGGGGTGTGCTCCTTATTCCTCCCATTCTGCTAAAGGGGCAACAGTCTCCCTAACCTGGGTCCGACAAAGACACAGATATCTTTACCTGCATATCCCCGCTCGGTCAGGAGTAGGGGCAGTGCCAGGGTGTGCAGCGTGCAGGCTGGGGACAGAGTCCCTGGGCACAAGGCCCTCAGTGCTGCCCTTAACTCCTTGCTGGAGGCTGAGACATCCCTTGTTCTCTCTCTTCCAGCCAGATGCCCCTTTACCCAACATTTCCCGAGTGAGAACTGCAACCCAGAAAGGCTACACAACCCTATAGGACAAATCGAGAACAAGAACGTGGATCATCCAATTTCTAGGGTACCCTTCTCAGTGCCTTTCATCACCCAGATCAAATCCTAATATGTCGAACAGTGCTCGAACCAAGGCTTGTCACCCTTACGTTTCCATGTTCCCTGCTTACAGTCTCCACTGGCAGATTGGGCTTCCACTATTATTAAGAACCAGAGCTCAAGTCTGCACAGGCTGGAGGTTGTCTGTTCTAACACAGGTCCCGCTCCCAGCTCTCCCCGCTGTAAGGGGAGGCCCTGCCCTCCTGTGCTTTGGATCTCATGCGTGGATGCCCAGGCAGAGCTTCTGCCAACCTGCACTGCCTGCGATTCAGCTCAGCCCGACCGTGCTGGTTCTGACCCATTAGGAAACCTCCACTGCCCTTGCCTGCCAGGCTGGGTTCATCTGTGTTCTGGGCCTCAGCATCTTGCCAAGAATCCAGATCACCCACTGCCTCCTTCCCAGCAGATGGGCTGGTTCCGAAGGCTCAGGTCTGCTGGTCGCCTGGTGCTGTTGTCTGCTGCCTTCTCAGCAGAGGGCTTATAAAGCTGTTTTTGCAATCATTTACCTGAGATCTCTGTGCTAACAGACAGGGAGTGTTAGAGGCACAGGGCAGTTCGTGGCCTCTCACCCTAGCCCTGGCCCTGCCTTCTGTGTCAATAGCGTTGGCCTTCACCCCACCATGAGGAAAGAAAGCTGCTTCTGGGAGGAAGGCTCGTTCTCTGTACATGCCGCTCTCTGAATGGGGAGAGGCAGGCAGCAGATTGTTTGTGTATGGTGTGTAATTTATTTACCTGGGAAGGCACAGCTCCGCCACAGCATCTGGTTTCCAGCATGTTTCCAAACCCTCGTCCCGGCTCAAGCCCCGTCTGGCCTGGTTGGGACCAGGGAACCAGGGCAGAGGGGGCTGGAGGAGGAGCTGGTAGTTCTGGGCCTCATCCTTTCGTCCTCTGCATCCTCTCTGGGAATGAAGATGTTCTACCTGCACAAGAGAAAGTCAAGGAAGACCTCAGAACCTCTCCCTGGAAGCCCACAAAGCCAGGCAAGGCACGTGTGTCAAGGGTGAGCTGTGGGCCATGGGGCCGCAGAGCCAACTAGAGCCTTACCCGCCAAGCTCTGCACTGGAGAGCTGCTCAGCCAGCTCAGACCAACAACTGGGCCTGGGCAGTGGGACCCTCCATCTTGCTGCTCATAGCAGCCCTGCCTCTCCTGCTCCCTCCCTGGGAGTCAGCCACTCCTGTTGGACGTGGGCAGAGGAGGGGTAGATAACACAGGTCTTTCTCGGCCTCCCTAGATGGTCAGGTCTCCCTGAGCAGGGGTCAGTAGGGCATGCAGTACCCAGGCTCCTGCACACATTAGCTGGGCTGGGCAACATGCAACACTACCAGCCTGGAGTCCCAGCCCTCCCCTCCTTAATCCTCATCTCCAAAGTGGATTGCAGGCGAAAGAGGACTGAGCCCCCGCATTCCACACCTGCTGGAACTTGTGGTCCATGTGTGATGGGCCCTCATGATGGTGCATTCACAGTACACCACCCAGGAGAGCCAGGGCTGACACAAAAGCTGAGGGAACTGGGCTGTGTGGCTGAAGGTGGGAAGATGTGGGGAGACATGACTCCTGCCTTCTCCCAATGTCTAAAGTGCCATCAGAAGGGAGAGGGAGCAGGCTTATTGTATGAGACTCCAAGAGGCAAGACAAGGACCAGTGGGTAAAAATGACGGGGAGTACAACTGGCTCAGGGTCAGTGTGACGTTTCTAATGGTCAGCAGCAGCTTGGATTCCCTCATGAGGTAGTGAGCTCACCATTACGGAGTGTGTCCAGGGCAGGGAGAGAGAATATTTAGTTACCATTTGTTGAGTGCCTGCTAAGTACCAGGTGTTCTTGCTCTGTCTTCACTTTCTCACAATAGTCTACAATTTTGGTATCATTGCCGCCATATTGTGTAGGAGGCAATAAGCTCAGAGAGGTTAAGTAATTAGCCCAAGGCCACACAGCTTGTAAATAGCAGAGCAGGTCTGTGTTTCCAAGAAAGCCTGTGCCCTTCTTGGCATTTTATGGGACTTGCGGAAGGGAAACCTGTTGTGTTGGGGAGAACCCAGATGATCTCCAAGACTCTTCTCCTTACTAAAGATTAGAGGGCTCCTTTCCTGGTAAAGTCATCCTAGCTTAACCTGCCTCTGAGCACCTTGCATTTCAGTCTGACCCCAGCATTTAGGTTCCCCTGGACCCTCAGGGCAAGGTTCCTGCGGTTTATAAAACTCTGCCCCACACAGCACTGCATCCCACATGCAGCACGATTGTGAGATTGGGTATTGTCCTTCTCCTGTTACCTGAGGGACCGGAGATCAGAGGACACAGGCGGTCTCTCTGAGGTTGAGAAGCTGCAAGGTCCCTGACTCAGGTAGCCCCTTCCTCCTGAAGCCAGCTCATTCTTCTGGCTGCCATGGTGTGCCAGACCCTCTCTCCTTTGTGTCACTCAGGAGGACTTGCTGTCTTTACGCATTCCTGCATTTATTTGTAAATAGGAGGCATTTTCATGGAGTCATGTGTAACTCCCTACCTTGCGTTCAGTATTGTGCTGGTGGTGCGTGATTGAGGAGGGATGGGGAAAGGACAGTGAGAGCTCATTGACTGACTGGTCACTGGTCACCCAGGCCATGGAAATAACAAGGATGCTGTGCATCGGGACCTTCAGCAACCCCAGCCCAGGACTACATCAATATAGTACCTTGAATTTGAAGAAACCCGCTCCCAAGGCTTAGGGTTTGGGGCTGCTAAAAAGAAAAGAAAATTTTTAAAAATCTGCGGTGCTTGATTTGTTATGGAGAGAACACCGGTTAGGGGAAAGGTCAAGGTCAGCAGGCAGAGGCCGCAAGAGGAAGCATCAGTAGAAGCAATAAAGGCTGGGGTGGTGAAGACTCAGGAAGGGCAAGGGAGGGAGAGGGCGGTGAAGGCCAGAGGGTGGCAAGGAGTCTGGCTGCTGGGCTCAGGGGTGGCAGTTAGATGGCAAGCTCTTGGTAGACTGGATTCATTCTTCATTCATTCATCTACCACTTATGGAGGGCTCTCGGGGAGCCGCTGTCCAGAGGCAGGACAAATCTCGCTGACCCATACTTTCTAACCCAGTGTTATTTTGTGCTGTGTTGGAGGCATGTCCAAAGCTCTAAGGGAGCCCAGGCTTCCCAGGGAGGTTCCATGGAAGACCTGAGATTTCAGCCGAGTCCTGAAGCCTGAGCAGGAGTTTCTCAGGCGAAGAGTGGGACTGGAGAGCCATTCTAAGCCATGGGAACAGTGTGTTGCAAAGGCCTGGAGGAGTAACAGAGCCCTGTGTGTTTGGGGAGCACCCTAGGGTCCCTGGGTCAGGGCATGGCAGGAAAGGTTGTCGTCCCAGGTTGCCAGTAGCACACTGGAAGCTGGGAGTGTCAGCAGCTGCTAGGGGTCTGAGGAGGAGGCCACGTTGGCAGGTGTGTACACCAGAAAGATGCCCCCAATGGCAGCGCGGAGGGAGGCTTGGATCTGAGGAGACTGGCCCCTCTCCTGAGGGCTTCAAGCACTTCCCCAGGTACCACTGGACTTCTCTTGGCCTCCTGGGTCCAAGAGAAGACGAGAGGCAGAGAGGAAGCCACAGAGCAGCGTGCCAAGGCACTGCACCTCAACCACACTACCAGCTGGGGACAGCTCTACCATCAGGTCTCAGGTCCCAATCTCCTAACCCTGGTCTGCTTCCAAATGCCCATATCCAAGGCACCTAACACATTTGCAAAATGCTGGATTATAATAATAAAAATTCACTTATATAGCACTATGTGCCAGGCACTTTTTTTTTTTTTTTTTTTTTTTTGAGACAGAGTCTCGCTCTGATGCCCAGGCTGGAGTGCAGCTGCATGATCTGGGCTCACTGTAAGCTCCGCCTCCCGGGTTCACGCCATTCTCCTGCCTCAGCCTCCCAGGTAACTGGGACTACAGGCTCCCGCCACCACACCTGGCTAATTTTTGGTATTTTTTTTTTTTTAGTAGAGACAGGGTTTTACTTTGTTATCCAGGGTGTTCTCGATCTCCTGACCTCATGATCCACCTGCCTCCGCCTCCCAAAGTGCTGGGATTACAGGCGTGAGCCACCGCGCCTGGCCTGTGCAGGAACTGTTCTAAGCACCTTACCTAAGTTAATTAATTCACTTAATCCTCAAACTAATCCTATGAGGAAGATGCTATTATTATCTCCATGTTACAGACGAAGACATTGAGGCACGGAGATGTCAAGGAACTTGCTTACAGTCACCTACCAGGAAGTGATGCAGCTGGGATTTGAACCCAGGCAGAGTAGCTCAGATGCTCCATGCTGAGCTGACGTAGCATAACGAGGCAGGCAGATAAGCTGTTCAAGAACTGGCCTGTGAAGGGAGGGAGCCATTCCGGAGGAGGATGGACATGCCAGGACACCTGTCTCACATGGAGTGACATGAGTCTGTCTGGGTGCTGACATCCCATAGCCCCCAGCCCCAGTGAACAGGGCATGCTGTAGGTCGGTGAGACTAGGAGGGCCGGGAAGACCCCAGTGCTGACCACCTGCATGGGAAGGGCAGAGGGCCAGAGGGTTATGTGCTGCCCATCCCTGTCCCCCGCCCCACCCTGTCTTGGCCTCAAGGGGAGAAAAGCTCCCTTGGGGTGGAACAGCTTCAGCTCCCTCGGTAGCCTGCCCTGGTTTTGTTTTTGTTTTGCAGTCAGGTGTTGTTTTTTCTTAATTGACTTTTTAATGAAGTTTAACACACATACAGGAAAGTACACTGACCTTAAGTGAATGTTTATGAAATGAACATGCTCACGCAGCCACCCCCGCCCCAGGTAGCCTCACCAGCCCTCCGTGAGCCTCCCACGTGCCCCTCCCAGCTGTCATCCCCCCCACCCAGATGACCACCCTCCTGAGGCCTGTCACCATGGATTAGTGTTGCCTGGCTTTGAACTTCATACAAAATGGAAGCGTTCTCTTATGCCTGGCTTCCCCCACTCAATGTTGCATCTGTGCGGTTCGCTCAGGAGGTGTGCTGGTTGTCTTGGTAATCACTGCGGCTGTCAGGTAGCCCCTTGTCCTGGCCACCTACCCTCTGGGCAGCACGTCCTCTGGGTTGGCCCGCCCTCCCTGCTGGGGTGAGACAGGCCCTGGCATGCAGGGGAAGGTTGGGGCCCCTGTACATCTCAGAGCTGACATGCTTCTTTTTGTGACTTCCTTCCCCTTTGCCTGTAGTTTTGGGAACCTTCTGTGCCCCCTGTGGTCTCCCGTGGGTCTCCAGGTCTAGAATCAAAGCCAGGCATGCTGGATGGAGAGTCCCCTTCCTGCCCTCTGGCTCAGGCCAGAATAGGTTGCACAGACCCAGGCCAAAGGCAAGGTTGGTGTGGACTTTGCCCCCCGGGGCTCTGGCTACTGGGGTGGCCAGTGGCTGGGGCTAGTTGGAGAGTAGAGGGAACACCCCCCAGCCACAGACCTGGCAGGACGCAGAGGAGGAAGCTAGGGACCGCTAAAGTCCCTTCCGATGGGGAAGCTCCAGGAATCCAGGCTTCTTGTAAAGGTCTCACTCACTGTAAGAAGTGAAAGGGAGAGAGACTGATGCGTATCCATGAGGCCTCACCTGGCATCAACTGGGGCTTGTTAGCAATGCAGGGTCTCAGGCCCCACCCTGCCCTGCAGGACTGGAATCTGCATTTAACAAGTGTCGTGGAGGCACTAAGGTTTTAGAGGCCCCGCTTTAGGGAGTACACTGAGGTGGTCAAGAGCTGGACGCAGGCCACACTGCCCAGGTTTGCATCCTGGCTCAGCCACTTGATGTGTGACCTTAAGCAAGTTACTTAACCTCTCTGAGCGTCATCTCAAAAATAAGGATAATAACAGTACTTACCTTGCAGGGTTGTTGTGAGATTTAAATGAGATAACCCATGTGAAATGCTTTGAGCAGTACCTAGCACATGGCAAACAATCATTATCGATTATGATTTATTACTCAGTGCCAGGCACTGTGGGCACAGTGCTGTTCTCGCATCACCCCATCCAGCTCTGCAATAATCCGGAGCTGAGTGGTGGTATTTAGACGTGTTGTCCAGATCAAGGAAGTCACTTTTCAGCTGAGGCCAACGAGTGAACATGTTCCTGGAGACAAAGGAGGCAGAGTTTATAGACGAGTTTTCCTCGGTGTGGGGTGGAGAGCACCACCTTCTCCCCATGGCGGCGGGAATGTGATGCCTGCAGGTCACAGGCAGGCTGCGGGTGTGTTTGTGGGTATTGAATTCTGTCTGTTAATCGCTAAGGATTAATTGTTAGGGATAAACACAAGGTGTTTGTCTGGCTCCCAGCAAGCTCTAAATTAAATGAGAGAGCGTTTGAAGCAGGGGTGGCAGTGGCCTGAGAGACTGAGTGAGAGTCTTCAGAAGGATCTGGGCTTGGGGAGGACCTGCTGCCCTGGGGAACTGGGCCTGGAGCCCAGAGGGTGGTTACGCCAGACAGCGGGAGCTGAGGTGGCCCCAAGGTGTCAGACGCTGCTCAGCATCCTGTATGTTGGGGAACTGGTGGGCAGATGGCTCCCTGTGGAGCTTGGGGGGACAGAGGGCCTGTGCACACAGGCATGGGCAGGACAGTGAGGTCCAGAACTGAGGGATGTCAGGAAGCCTGGAGTTTATGTCGGTCACAACTGGGATATGTGACTACTATTGCTCATGTGTGTGCAGCCATGTGGATACTGTAACCCTCTGGGGACTGGCCCCAATCCAGGAACCTGGTTTCCTGCAGGGCACCCTTGCTCCTCCTCCTCCCTGGGCCTCCACTCCTCTCTCTCACCACTTTCTCCCTGGCTTGTGCTCCTCGTCTGTGCTATGTAAGACCATGCTGTCACTGCTTATTGACTTCTCTGTCTCCCCTATGGACTAGAAGTGCCTCGAGGGCAAGAAAGCATGTCTTATTTTCTCTGTATTCTCTCTCCTAGCACAGAGGTTGGCTCAAAGCAGATTCTCTGTACCTGCTGAATGGATTGATGGATGGACGGATGGGTGGATGGATGGATGGATGGATGGATGAAAGTGGAGTGAGCATCTCCATAGCTATACTCCCAGAAGGGACACATGGGAGACAGGGAGAGGCCACCTGAGGCCACAACATCACAAGTAACCCAGCGACCTCATGTTAATCGCCATTTCCTGACATAGGTCTCTGGGTATGTCAAGGCTGGATTCTCCATAGCCCATTCTCAGAGACAAGACCACACCCTCCCCAAACCCTCAGCAGCCTTCTCCTCCAAATATTTTTCTCTGATTCGAGTATGTTGACTCTCTGAAGACAGAATAGGATCTGAGGAGAGTAAACTGGTCCAAATGCTGTGTGCGTTTGTTGATAAACCAATTACCTGGAACTCAGTGTGTGCACAGTCCAAGGACCCTGGATGCTGACCCGGCTCTCCAAGTCCCCAGCTTGACTCCCTGTATGGAGCTGCCCTGCTTTGTCTCTGCCCTGGGCATGCTCCTCACCGCCCAGTCACCTCCACCTCCTCCAAGCTCAGAGTGTTACCAGATGGACTTGATCCTATTATTTTTTAGAGCATTTGAGATTCCTGCATTAGTGAATAGGAGGGTCCCACAGCCAGCCATGGGGTGGGGCCCCAGGACAGACCCAGTACCACCAGCGTCCCAAAATGGGCCTCTGGCTCAACCTAGGGATTTAGCTCTGTCTGTAAATTGCACCATGTTTGTCCTGTCATCACTAGATTGGGAGTTAGGAGCTCTGGGTTTGACCTCAGGCTTCCTCTCTAAGGTAGCACCGTCTACAGTCTTGGGTTAAGTCATTTCACCACTATGGGCCTCCTCAGTGTCTCAGTCTGTGAAGTGAGGGCCTGAACTCAGGATTGGGTTTCGCAATTCCTCCTCCATGCATCCCTGAGACTTTCCTAGACCCAGTTTCTATAGGTGAGTCCCTATGAGATGATGTGCCATCTGTCATCTAGCAATGGGCCAGCCATCGTCCAAAGACCCAAGGTCAGGTGTTGGAGCTGAGGAGAGGAGATGTCTCATTCTGTTTCCTCCCTGAGAGCATTTGCCCAGGGTAACCTTTCTCAGGGGTCATGACTACCCAGTAGGCACAAAACCTGCTGGCCACCAGGGTCCAATTTTCCTTTCCCCTCTTGTCCTGCATTCCCACCATGATACTAAGCCAACTTGGACTTTGCCTGTGGTATGGAGCTTGTGGGCTCCATGCAGCATCCCTCAGGATGCAAGAGTCACTTAAGGCCTCCTAGTGATGCTGAGGGATGCAGTGGCAGAGGCCCAGAACCAGAGTCCAGAGGCCTGCAGCTTCATGGGGAGGGAAGCTGGACATGCTTTAACACAAAGAGCACTGTGTTGTGTGGAGCAGCCTGGAAAAGGGGAAAGAACAGGAGCATTGGTGGTTCCACCTTCCCTAATTACTATGTGTTCTTAAGGGAAGTTCCCACACATCTTTGAGCCTTAGTTTCCTCATTTGTCAATGGGAATAACACTGCATTCCCACTTTGGTGATGCAAGCTGTTGTAATAGAAAAACCCTAAATCTCAATGGCTTAACACAATAAATTATATTTCTTGCTCATGTAGAATCCAATAGGCAGTGGGCATCTGCTCCATGCAGTCATCCAGGGATCCAGGCTAACTAACAATCCATTGTCTTTAACCTCTGGCTCTCAAGATTGCACTTATCATCACCATTCAGAGAGAGATGGCAGAAGAGATCGAATGTGGAGAATGAAGTGGGAGGTTTTTGTAGACCAGACCCAGGCATGGCATTTGTCGCTTCCACCCACATCCCACTGGCCAGGAATCAGTAGGTGCCCCACCTAGATGTAAGGAGTTCTGGGAAAGCAGAGTCCCTGGCTGGGCGGCTGCTTTACAGCAACAACTCCATACTATGGAAGGAGAGGCACAAATCTCTGGTGGAGACCATCTCTGTCAAAAGCACCTACCTCCAGGATTGCTAGGGATATTTATAAATAAGAAAACAAAGAAAATGTACCCCACATTGGTAGTTGCCAGGTAATGTCCAGTTCACCTTTTCTTCTCAAACAAGGAATCCCTCCCCTCCAGCTTGCCTGACATCTGCATTTGGATCTGATGGCCTGGCTGGCTGGGAGCTGCTGTTCTCATGCACTTGTTTCAGGTGCACACTCTGTCTTGGTCTGGCTTAGCCAACCCCTGCTTCTGGTCAAGCCCAGCTGTACTCCTTCTGGAGATGCGAGTGTGCAGCAACAAATCTGTGGCCATAGTTATTGGCAGTCCTCATTTCTTGAACAATAAATATGTAACCTTGGAGTTAGGATGGCCATGGCTGGGGCTTGCCCCTTGCTAAGACGAGGCTTGTCCCTTCTCAACATTTGCTAGGTGGCTGGAGTCAACGGTGTGGCAGGAGTGAGCTTTTGCATGATACCTGGGCAGTGGGGTGCTTGCCAGGGGGTTGACAGCATCAGTAATGAGGTCTGCTGACGGGGGCCAGGGTTGGAGAATAGGAAGGGACTGGAAATGGAGTCTTGTAAGCCCTAAAGATGAAGACTTTCAGTGTGAGACAGGGTGACCAGCTTGTCCTGGTTCTCCCAGGACTCAGGTTTTAGCACTGAAAGTCCCATCTCCTAAGAACCTCCTCTCCACCTCAGTCCTGGGCATACTGGGATCATTGGTCACCTTAATGTTAGATGTAGATAGAACACTAATGGGGAAAGAGTATGAACTTTGAAGTCAGAGTCAGACCAAGGTCCAAATTACCAGCTGCATAACCTGTGGCAAGTGCTGCATCCTCTCTAAGCCTGTTTTCTCATCAGTAAAATGGGCTTAATAGAGTACTTTTTTTCCCACAGAACCATTGCCATGATTAGGTAAAATAATATATGTAAGGGCCCTGGTCCTCCCTTCCTGTGGGTAGTTGTCCAGCCCCTGCCTGGCTCTTCCCTGTAACCAAGGAGCCCCTCTCTCTTGAAGGTGCCCATTCTCTTGCCTACATCTGGTTGTTGGAAACATCCCTTTTGGGAATCTCTACCCATTGGTTCCTCTTCTGGACTTGCACACGTCACAGCCCCTGAATGCTAAAAAATGTTGGTCATGTGCCCAAGTGTCTGAGCAGATGGATCTGAGCAGAGGTGGAGATATTTTATGTCAAAGGGGCTGCAGCTGAGTCTGTGGTGAGACCAGGGGCTCTAGAATTAGAACCAAATGGCAGTAAATATATGACAATGCCTCCTCCTCCTGTTTCTGATCAATCTCAGATTTGCCCATTGCAGCTACCATGTGAGACCTTGGGTGTTGGGGTGATCAACTCATCCTGGTTTGCCCAGGACTTTCCCAGCCACCACTAATGGCCATGCAGCCCATCTTCAGGGGCACTGTTGCCTTTGAGTCGTACAGTGCACACCCTGAATAACCATGCACAGAGTCCAGTATCCACTGTGGGGTTCTAGTGGGTAAATAGCTTGACTTCGGTTTGAGGGCACTGCGTGGCTCACGCTGTCTACAGATGAAATAAGCAGCCACCAGCTGCTCCCAGGCATTCTCTGTTGATATGTAGGCTTTGTGGGATTAAAGTCCTTTTATCTGTTTTATCTCATTATCCATTCCCATGTCCCAGGTCAGTGTTCTCGAACTTGTGTGCACAACAGTATCGGCTGGGGGGCTTAGTGAAGCACAAATTGCAGGGCCCCAACCCCAGAGTTTCCGATTGAGTAGGTTTGAGATGGAGTCCAAGAATTTGCATTTCTAACAGTCTCTCAGGTGATGCTACTGGGCCAGGCCCTCCTTCAAGAACCACCATCCTAGGAAATCTTTCATGGTAGCCTGTGCAGTGGGAGTCAGGAGACCAGGAGTCAAGTCCCTTCCCTGCCTGTTATTAGTGACATTAATATAGGCATATCTTCTCACCTCTCTGAGGCTTAGTTTTCTTTCTTTATCAATTGGCAATGGAAACCTTTGCTTTTATTACCCTGAGGTATTATTTGGAGGATCAGATTAGACAATATGTGTTCAAGCCCTACAAGTGTTGTTCAAACCCTACAAACTACATGTGTTGTTTGAAGCTGGTAATTTCTTCTCTGGGGTAGAGGTGTTTTCCCTCTGTCTTCTGGTGGACTGTTCTAGTCTTCTCCTTTTAGGATGTGACAATACATCTCTTCATCTCTTACCATGAAAAGTACCCAGATGCAGGGAAAGGGACTGCTGCAGAGAGACTTGGAGTTGCATCCAGTAGACTGTCAAAGTCAGCACTTCCAAAATAGAGATACAGTTATACCGGTGCAAACCTGCACTGTGGCTCCAGACCACAGAGGGGTGGGGCTGCCAGCAGACGGTCATGAAAGTTACTCTCGGAGAGGCTCATGCTAAACCTCTTCCCTGGGCATCATGGAAATCCTTTCAGACCAAGGAAGAAATGCCTGGGCAAGCCAAAGCTTTGAGCCTGGAGACCCAGTGGAATGGGCATGAGTCCAGTCATCCATGTTTTTATGATTACACTTGTAGGTACATTTCATATGGACACACAAGCAGTCTGCATGGGAACAAATGTGCATTACCTGTGTGCGCAGACACATGATAGCTGGTGAGGAGGAAGCATGGTTGACATTGACGTTGTATGAGTAATGCTGACGTCAGCCAGAGGGGTCTGGCTGACGTCAGCATCTAGGGGAAGACTTGAGAAACACAGAGCTAATTACTGCTAGACCCACAAAATTCTTCTTAGGGAGGGAATGACCTAGAATGCAAAATAGGTTTCATTTTGTGTGGAAAACTGGGTGGATTCTAGCAAGAAAAGTACTAAGAAGGTTGGAATCGCTGGAGTGCTGGCAGAAGGTGAGAAAAGAGTTCAGAGTATGTGGGTGGAGAAGAAATGAATTGGTGCCATTTGAAACTGTCCCCTTCTAGAACAATGCAGAATATGTATCTGTATATAGATGTACACACACACACAATCATTCAGCAGTAAGCATCTATTGAGTAACCTACATTCTGCCTGTTTCAGGCAGTCATCATCTTTCACCCATGCAGCCTGCAATTGCTTCCTAACTGATTTCAGTGCCTCCAATTTCTTTCCACCTCTATCTAAAATAGAGATCTGATCATATCACTGCCTGACTTTAAACCTTTCATGACTCCTCACTGTGTGTGTAATAAGTATCTACACTCGCTGTCACAACCACACTGGACTGCTCCCAGTCCCCAGAGCCTGCCATGCCATCTCATGCTTCTCTGGCTTCCCTCTGGTTGCTCCCATTGCTGGGACTGCCCTTCTTGACATGGAAGCCTGCAACTCTTCATAAACCCCTCCGCGAATGTATCTCCTCAGTGAAGGCTTCCCAAGGCCCAGCAAGTGAACCCTTTACAGTTGCTGGATTATAGGATGTCATTGATTCTGAGCTAGACTATGGATGGATGATGTACCATCATTTTAGCAATCATAAACACCACCTTAAACATATACATCAGCGGTACGGTGTGTTCCATATTCAGGAACATGGCCACCTGGGGCAGCATGTTGGTGCTCTGTAGGCCCCCAGCCTGCCCCGCTGTCCTGCTGTCCCGGTCTTGGACAGCATTATGCCACGATCCCCTTTGGGTGCACTGGTCGCTGAGCTCTGAGGTGTGCTCCCTGGGAGCAGGCGGCACCTGGCATTCCCCCATGCACTGTATGCTTGCTGATCTAGCGACTGCCTGCCTGAAGTCCACTGGGAACATCAGATGGACCAGATGCGGAACCTGGCCCTTGTTCACAACACTCAGACTTTAAATCCTGAAAAGCCTTTTACAGCTGTTCTTCCTTTTTCATCATAGAATAACTGGAAAGGATGAAAGAAGTGAAAATTATCTTTTCTAACTTATAACTAGGGGAGCTGAAACCCAGGAAGGTTTAAAGCACCTTGAATGGAGTTCAAGCTTCCCGATTCATAGGACCGTGTTCTTTCAGCTGGACAGCGTTGCCTTCTTAAATAGTGGACCTCAAAGGAACAGCAGATCTCTCACCTGGAGCCTGATACCCACACTGTGTATAGCAGCTTGTTGAGCTCTTGCTGTGTGCCGGTGCTTGACAATGTGGTCTCGTTTGCCCCCTGTAATGCCTCTGCAATCTAGGTCTCATTACCCCCACTTCACAGAGCAGAAACTGGGAGCCGAAGGATGAGAAAGAACTTGCCCACATTGCAACAGCTAGTGAGAAATGGGCTGTGAATCCCACACGGAGGGACCTACAATTCACAGTTGTTCTGTTCCACTGTGTGAACGATGTCTTCCGTGTTATTGCCAAAACCATTTGCTTGTCAATAAAATGAGGAGATGGGGCCAATGGTTCTGTGATAAGAAGCAACCCTAAGAAGCTTTTGGAAATGTGTGTGTGTCAGGGAAAGGGGATCAGGGAGGAGCTGTTAGCTGTAGAATGACTGGTGGGAGCTACTGGCATTCAGAGGGCAAGACCAAGGATGCCAAACACAGAGAAGAATTTTCCCACCCAAATTGTACCCCCATGGCAGCCAGCCTTCAGCATGACCCTAACCATCCTCCCTCTTGGGTCCACACCTCTTGTAGTTCTCTCTCATTTTGCACCAGGGTTGGTTTGTGTGACCAGTAGCATGTGATGGAGGTGATGATGTCATTTCTGAGATTTGGTTGTAAAGGACTATGGCTTCCATCTTGGGCTCTCACCCCTGGGTGGCTGGCTTTTGGGGAAGCTGCCATCAGGTTGCAAACAGCCATATTGAGATGCCCACATGGTGAGGAACTGAAGCCTCCAGCCAACGGCCAGAAGAGATCAAGGCCCGACGCAGACACCTGAGTAAGCTGGACGCAAATTCTCCAGCACCAGCCAAGCCTCGTGGTGACTGCAGCCTGGCTTATAGCTGCACAGTCTCATGAGAGACCCTAAACCAGAGTCACCTAACTCAGCCACTTCAGGATTCCAGACCCTCAGAAACTGTGGGGTTATAACATCACTTTAAGCTGCTGAGTCTTGGGGTGATTTGTTTTGCAGCAGTAGATAATGAATACAGCCCCAGTAAGAGACACTGCCAGTCTGTGATTTCTGGGAGCTCTCTGGGGAGCCCTATAGATAGGGGTTGGGTTCTGAGAAGCAGTGCTGAGATCACTATAGGAGTGTGCACTAGGAACTGTGGCTCTGCATGGTTGCCCCTTAGCTGGGTGCTGGGTCTCCTGGCTCCTCCCTCAGCCCTGATGCAAATGTATCTGTTGGTCTGCCCCTTTCCAGGAGCCCTGGGGCTTGGGGGAAGCCAGGGTGCAGGAACAGCTAGGCTGCTGTCTCCTGGTCGTGACAGTGACAGGACCCGCTGGACGCAGCTCCGGGCCCAGCATAGTCTATGCTTTATTATGGTCTCTCTTGTTTTTCAAAACCTCTTTCATTTTGTATGAGCAGACAGATGTGAGGTCCTCGCAGGCTCACACAGGCTGCCATTCTGGGAAAGAAAAAGATATTCTGGGTTTCCCTCTCTTTCTATGGAGGGCCAGCCTTCTTCTTGCTTTATTTTTTCATGTGCTTTTGAAAGGCGTTATTGTCCTCCTCTTGTAGACAGCCCCGCCCACCCCTGCCCCGCCCAGCCTCTCCTCTCTTCAGGGGCAGGTGTCTTGGACCTGTTCTTTTTAACCTGTGTGACCTTGAGCCAATGCTGCATCTTCTCCACGCTTTAGTTTTCTCATCTGTAAAATGAGGATAGTAATACATGCCCTGTGAGATTTGGAATAAGATCATGAACATGAAAGTCCCTTGTAAACCAGCCCCATGGCTCTGCTGCCAGGATTCTCTGTGGCCGTAGACACACTCTTTGGCGTTCCTGGGCTTCAAATTCTTCCTGTCTTCTTTCCTTCCTCCACCTAATGAAAGCCCATCTGACCTTCCAGTGGGGACTTGGGGCCAGCTGTGAGCTTTTGGGAAGGGGGATGCTACGGGGTAAGACAGTCCATCTGCCCTTTCCACCCTGCAAGGCCAAAGATGTGGTCTGGTCCCCCGAGGGAAGGCTGGCTGTGTGGAGTAAGCAAGGGCTGTGAGGGACTCTCCACAGCCTGACCTGAATCCCCATTAAACGCCCCCCTCCCCAAGTCCCAAGCTTTCTTGCAGGAAAGATGACTTCAGCCACCCACAGGCCCAACCAGCAGCCAGAGGCAAACAGCAGCAGCTCCGCCCCTGGCTTTCCCTGGGCCCACTCTTTTGCTGTGATGCATGTCCGTCCTTATCCTCTGAATCCCAGCCCCAGCCTCAGTCCTCCTAAACCACCTTTCTCACCTGTCTCGTCTTTCCTCCCACTCATCATGTACTCTGCAAATACTTATGAAGCACCAGCTATGCACCAGGCCCTGCAGATATGGCTGGGGAACAAAACAGGCATAGTCCCTGCCCCCTCTGGAGCTTACAAAAGAGAACAGGAAACAGATGCCAAGCAATCACCAAGCAATCACAAAAGCTACGGAAGAGATCAGGAGAGAATGGGGGTGCAGGGATGGGGCTCTGAGAAGGGTTTTCAGAGGAGGTAACAATTCAAGGTTTAAAATAAGAGCAGGCACTGACCCAGCAGAGCTGGGGGAGAGCCCGAGGTGGCCCAAGTCTACTGAGAGTTGGTGCTTTCTAGGAATGGGGAAGCCAGTGTTGGGGAAGTTGAGAATGTGGGGACCCGAGGGGCCAGCAGGGATTTTCTAGTCTCCCAGCAAGGTTTTCCGGAGACTGAAGATGGCTCTATTGGACCCATCTCTCCCCACCTTTTCCATCACTGGGTTCCCCCACCCCGTAAGTGCTCTTGCTTCCTAGAGAAAGATCTCCCTAGGGCCAGGTAAATCAGGGTGAAAGGCCATGCCTTTGGAAGTGTCCCAGCAGTGAGGTCACTGGGCAGTAACTTGGAGAGGTGAGAAAAGAGGAGTGACCAAAGAGGTGACTTCCCCGGACAGTCCCCCAAAAGACAAGATGCATGCTTACATGCATGCAATTGGTCCCTGAGATTCGAGGCCCAGAGGAGGATGACTTATCCAGATGCTCCCCCAAAAGACAAGATGCATGCTTACATGCATGCAATTGGTCCCTGAGATTTGAGGCCCAGAGGAAGATGACTTATCCAGATGGTCCCCCAAAAGACAATATGCCTGCTTTCATGCATGCAATTGGTCCCTGAGATTGGAGGCCCAGAGGGAGATGAATTCTCCAGACGGTACCCCAGAAGACAAGATGCATGCTTACATGCATGCAATTGGTCCCTGAGATTTGAGGCCCAGAGGAAGATGACTTCTCCAGACAGTCCCCCAAAAGACAAGATGCATGTTTTACATGCATGCAATCGGTTCCTGAGATTCGAGGCCCAGAGGAAGATGACTTATCCAGATGGTCCCCCAAAAGACAAGATGTGCACATATATGCATGCAGTTGGTCCCTGAGACCTGAGGTCTAGAAGGGCTCTCTTCCAATACCCTCAAATATTTCCCCACCCCAACTAATGCTTCCTTCCTTGCCGTGTCGAGGGACCGCAGGCCTGACTGCACTCTCTTGCAGGAGGGTGTGACTGTGGCTTTGGGCAATAGCCACAGGCAGGTTTCATCTGTAATCCTTTCGTAGTCAGCAGACTGGCCTGCCACCACCTTGAGTCTACCACTTCCAAGAGTGTAGGGACAAAGCAGCTGTTCACAGGGCCAAAAATCCATGCAGATAGAGGCACATCATTCACCCCCACTCACTGAGCCCCACTCTGCACCAGGGATTCTTCGGGAGGCAGTGCGCTACCAGACCATGCTTCCTTAGCATTCATTCTGGATTTGTAGGGAGGCTACTACGTGCTAAGCACTGCACAGGGCCTAAATGGGGAGAGCAACAGGAGGTTCACAAAACAGAGCAGATCAGGGATGGCTGCTCTGGTCTTCCGGGATGTGCAGGGCCACCAACCCTTTCTGGCCCCTTCCCCCGCATGTCCTCCTGATGCTCCTCCCTGCCTCTGCCCCGAGCTCTGGGCCCTCTCTGTCCTCCTCTCCTGCCAGTTCACCCCTGATGATATTCCTATTTAAAAATAAATCACTGCAGTCTTTAATTGCAGACTAAATAATTGCTTCATTTTATTTAAATGTGGCTCTTGGAGGCTCTGGAAACAATTAGAAGAAAACATAGGGCAGTGCTGGGTGCATGTTTTCAAGCATATAATTTTTTTTTGTTATTATCATACCGACGTTCGTAGGATCTGGAAAAAGAAAGTGTGGCCCTCCTCCCGAGTTAGTCATGCATAATTTACATGCAATAATAATAATAATAATGATAATAATAATAATTCCTGGCTTTTCCCATATTTCATGCTTGGCTCCCAAGGAAGCTGGGCAGTCGTCACTGTGCTCTTTCCGGAAGGAGAGAGGTAAGAGCAGGCCCAGCTATCCCTCTGCAGACCTTTCAGAAGTGACAGCAGCCTGGTCCTTCTGTCCGGAGGCTGGGTTTGAGGTGGGCCCAGAGCTGGCCTGCATGTGTGTGGTCTAAGTCCTAAGAGGTTCCCCGGTCGGACCTCTCACCATGTCTACAATTCCAGCCTTCATCCAGATACAGTGTGAGAGCCAGATAGGGCCTTGGAACTCGTCTTTTTATAATAGAGGCAGCCAGGCCCCCAAGAAGTAATCTTACCCTCAGGTTACAAAGCTTGTTAGTAGCAGAACAAGAAAGAAGACTCGGTGTGTGAAATAGGTGAGCAGGGTCCTTAGAACCAGGAAGACCTAGGTCTGGGTGCCTCTGCTGCCACATCACTGTTGGTGCAATCCTGGGCCCATTTCTTGGTCTCTTTGTGCCTGTGTCTTATTTTGGAAAATAAACTGGAAAATAATAATACTTGTTTATCATGAGGAATCAAGAATGGAATATATGCAAAAGCTTCCAGCACAGCACCTGTGCACCATGGAGGCTCATCAGCATTCACCTGTTCTTCCCAAAGCTCTGCAGTCTTCAGGAGTCTGCTGTTTACATGCAAATGTCCCTGGGAGGGGCAGTGCCTTTGACTCCTGGAGGACAGTAAGGGCTATGTGACTCCTGGAGGACAGTAGGGCCCTTGAGCCTGGAAGGTAGCTATGGAGAGGGAGGAGAAGGAAGAGGAAGATGACATCACCCCGGCCCTCTGTCCAGCCTGATCTTGCGTGGACCATGCTGAGACACCCATGCTGAGACACCTGCTGCTTTTTCTTTCTCTTTACTGTGGGTCCCAGCTGTGTCTGCCCAGGTTCAGCCTGGAAAAAATAGCCTGTTGTGCCATTTCATCCACATTTATTGAGCACCTGCTATGTGCCAGACAATGCTAGATAGTGAAACTGCAAAGACAAATAAGAGGTGTTTTCTGCTCTAAAGGAACTTAAAAGCTATGGTGAAAGAGACATGTAACAGCTACATGTATTGTGGTATTAAACGACAGGGAAGAGCTACCTGTAAGGATCTATGTGCTATGTGACCCCGAGGAAGTATGGAGGAGGGCAGATTGCCCAGCTTCTGGGGGGATCCAGGGGGCCACCTGGGGAAGCCACAGGGGTCTTAAAAGATGTGTAGGAGTTGGGCCAAGGGAGTTTACAGGGAAAAGAGGCAGTGTGATCTATGGCTGGCAGGTGGCAGCTGCATGTGAGGATGACTTCAGTGGTTCAGAATTATAGCTTATGCACTGTGAGGCTGGAACAGTGACATACAAGGCCAGAGAGGTGGGCAGGAGTCTTTGTGGATGGCTTTCCAACACCCATGTTGAGGACCTTGGGGTGTGGGAAAGCAGTATCTCCCCTGTTCTGGCGTCATAACTTCTCAGGTGAACCAGAGGGCTGCGGTTCTTTCTATTGCACTTGGCTTGCTAAGACAGAGCTGAGGCGCCCCTGTTAATCTGTGATTGACCACCTTCTCTGGGCACAATAGGGCAGGCAATTTTTTTTTTAGTAGCAGCTTTATTGAGATTCACATACCATACAATATACCCATTTAATGTGTATGATTGAATTGTTTTTAGTATATTCACAGAGCTGTATAGCCATCACCACAATCAATTTTACAACATCCTCATCACCCTTAAAGGAAACCCCACAACCATTAACAGTCATTTCCCCCATCCCTTTCCCTGACCGAGGCAAACACTAATCTGTGTCTGTATAGTTTTACCTATTCTGGAATTCACATAAATTGAATCATACAATATGTGGCCTTTTGTGTCCGGCTTTTTTCACTTAGAAGAATGTTTTTGAGGTTCATCTGTGTTGCAGGATGAATCCACATTTGATTTATCAATTCGCCCATTGATGGATATGAGGTGTATTTCCACTTTTGGGCTATAATGAAAAATGCTGCTGTGAACATTTGTTTACAAATGTTGGTGCGGGTGTATGTTTTAATTTCTCTTGGTAGATACCTGCGAGGGGAATTGCTGGATCATATGGGAATGCTGTTTAACCTCTTAAGGAACTAGCAGACTGTTTTCCAAAGTGGCTGCACACTTTACATTCCCACCAGCAGGGTATAAGGGTCCCAGTTTCGTCACATCCTCTCCAAATCCTGTTGGTATCTTTCCTTCTGATTGCTGCTGTGTTGGTTGCCTCTTGCTACTCTAACAAATTACCACAAATGTAGTGGCTTAAACAGCATGCATTGATTGTCACACAGTTCCGGAGGTCAGAAGTCTGGAATGAGTCTCACGGGACTAAAATCAGTGTGTCATCAGGGCTGCATTCTTTCTGGAGGCTGTAGGGGAGGTTCTGTTTCTTTGCCTTTTCCAACTTGGAGAAGCTACCCACTGTCCTTGACTCCTGGCCCCCTCCAGCTTTAAAGCTAGCAATTGTATCACTCTGACCTCTGCTTTCTTGTCACAGCTCCTTCTCGATTTTGATTCCGGATTCCACTGCCTCCCTCTTTTTTTTTAGATGGAATCTCACTCTGTCGCCAGGCTGGAGTGCGGTGGCATGGTCTCAGCTCACTGCAACCTCTGCCTCCTGGGTTCAAACGATTCTCCTGCCTCCACCTCCCAAGTAGCAGGGGCTACAGGCGCACACCACCACGCCCAGCTTATTTTTGTATTTTTAGTAGAGATAGAGTTTCACCATGTTGGCCAGGATGGTCTCAATCTCTTGACCTCATGATCCACCCGCCCTGGCCTCCCAAAGTGCTGGGATTACAGGCGTGAGCCACTGCGCCCGGCCTGACTCCCTTTTTCAAAGGACCTTTGCAATTACATTGGGCCCACTTGGATAATCTCCCCATCTCAGATTCCTTGATTTAATCATACCAGCAGCATTCCTTTTGCCAGATAAGCTAACATATTCACCTGTTCTAGGGGATTAGGATGCTGGGCATCTTTGGAAGGTCATTATCCTGTCTATCACAACAGCCACCCAAGGGGTGTGAAGTGGTATCTCATGGCTTTAATTGTATTTTCCTGTAGCTAATGTTGTTGAGCATCTTTTCAGGTGTTTATTGGCCATTCATATATTTTCTTAGATATAAAGACATAATTTTCATTTTAAAATTGAGTTGTCCTTTTATTATTGAGTTGTAGGAATTCTTTATGTATTCTACACACAAGTCCTTTATCAGATATATGCTCTACAAATATTTTCTTCTATAGTCTTTTCACTTTCTTGATGGTGTCTTTTGCACTTTCTCGAAGTGCAAAACATTTTATTATGATGGAATCCAATGTACCCATTTTTTTTCTTTTGTTGCTTGTGCTTTGGTATCATATCTAAAGAAACCATTATCTAATCTGAGGGCATGAAGATTTATCCCTATGTTTTCTTCTAACAGTTTTATATTTTTAGCTTTTACATTTAAGTCTTTGATACATATTGAGTTAATTTTTGTACATGGTATGAGGTAGTGGGTCCAGCTCCGTTCTTTTGCATGTGGATATCCAGTTGCTATAGCACCACTTGTTGAAAACATTGTCCTTTCCCCTCTCCTGAGTGGTCTTGGCACCATTGTCAAAAATCAGTTGACCCTATTTGTGAGGGTTTATGGACTCTCATTTCTATTCCATTAATCTAAATGTCTGTTCTTACACCAGTACCACACTATCTTGATTACCGTAGCTTTGTAGTGAGTTTTAAAATTGGGAAATGTAAATCCTCCAGTTTTTTCTTCTTTTTCAAGATTGTTTTGGCTATTCTGAGCCCATTGCAATTCTTTACACACTTTTTTAAAGATCAGCTTATGGAAACCAGCTGGAATTCTGCTAGGGACTGTGTAGGCCAATTTGGGGAGTACTGCCATCTTACAGTATTAAGACTTTTTGCCTATGAACATGGGATATCCTTCCATTTATTTATGTCTTCTTTAATTACTTTCAATAATGTTTTATGGTTTTCAGAGCATTCTTTGGACACATTTTTCTTAAAATTATTCCTAAGTAATGTATTCTTTTTGGATGCTATTGTAAATAGAATTATTTCTTAATTTCACTTTTGGATTGTTCATTGCTAGTATATAGAAATGCAATAGATTTTTGAGTATCAATATTGTATTCTGAAACCTTGCTGAACTCACTTATTTGTTATAATAATTATTAATGAATTCCTAAGGGTTTTTTATATACAGGATTACATCATCTACAAATAGAGAAAAGATAGTTTTACTTCTTCCTTTTCAATCTGGATACCTTTTATTTCTTTGTCTTGCCTAATTGCCCCGGTGAGAACCTCCAGTACAATGTTGACAGAAGTGGTGTGGTGAGGATGGACATCCTCGTTTTGTTCCTGATTTTAGGGAGGATGTATCCACTCTTTCATCATTACATATGATGTTAGCTAGAGGTTTATCACAGAGTCCCTTTATGAGATTAAGGAAGTTTCCTTCTATTCCTAATTATGTTGAGTGTTTTTGTCATGAAGGAGAGTTGAATTTTGTCAAATGCTTTTTTGTGTGTCTATTGAATGATCATGTGGGTTTTGTCCTTTATTCTATGGATGTGTTGTATTACATTAATGGATTTTCTGATGTTAAACCAGCTTTGCATTCCTGGGATAAATCCCACTTGGTCATAGTACACAATCTTTTTTATATGCTTCTGGATTCAGTTTGCTAGTATTAAGCAACCATTCTGATGTCAGGATTTCTTAGGGACAGCAAATCACTGCTCCCTCCTCCTAAAACATTCTATAAATTCATCTATAAGAATCTTTCTTACTTCCCTTGGCTCCATCTTTCCCATATTACCCCAAGAACTGTGAGCTGATGACAATTAGAATGATCACTTCTGAGCCCCTTGTCTTTTACGCTTGGCTCAGATATCATCATGGGTAGTAAGCTCTACTCAACAGCTCCCCAGTAGCTCCCTCACCCAGGAGCACTGACAGCCCCTTCACCTCGCCTGTGCTCCCATTCTTGGCCTATAACTTCTTGTAACACTAGCTGTATTCTCCTGTGGTTGGTTATTTAACTGTTTGTCTTCCCTGCTAAAATGTCGGCTTCTCAAAGACATTCATGTGGGGACTCCTGATCCCTGCCGACATTCACCTGGATACAGTCCCTTGCATTGCTGGGCTCTGGTGTTTTACGATTGGAATTTCATTCCTTTGACCTCAGAATTTGTGCCAAGTTAAAAAGCAATACATCAAGAGAGGTAATATGCTATACTCAGCAGTCACACCCAACTTAGGGTGAGTGAGTGAATCCATCCTTTCTGGAGAGAAAGTTTTGCTTAGGAAGGTGGAAAGTGTGGATGCTGAAGACGGATGGAGAGAGAGAAGATTCTGGGGTCACTGTCAGCCCCTGGGCAGTACCTACTGTTTTCCTGAGGTTTGTCTATAATCTGTGGATCCTCTTAATCCCACAGTGATTCACGGGACTAATTAACATGGTCTTGTTGGTTAGACCTATTGGAAGAGAGGCAGAACTTTTATCATCAACCTCAAACCAGGATTCAAATCCCAGCTTCTCTACTTATCAGCTGGTGACCTTGAGTAAATTATTTAACCTCTCCCTACCTCCATCCTTCATTTATAAATGTGGGGTAAGAACAGTACCTACTTAATAAAGTTTTGCTAGAATTAAATCAGTCAATGAATGTACAAGGTGTGGATAGTACAGTGTACTATCTGGCACACAGTACACACTTAAGAGTGTCAGCTGTCACCATTATTCATAGGAGCCAACATTTGTAGCATGCTATGGCCCCAGTAGGCTACGTGCTGCCTGGGGTACAATATGTCATGCTGTTGCTTTGGCTGCTACCCTAAAGTCTCCTGTCCCTATAGAGCTGCTTATGCTCCCCTGCAGTTCCCAGAGACCTCCACATCACAATCCAAGCTCATTCTCCCGCGATCACTACCAAAGCACCTCTCCATGCTGGGGGTTTAGCAGGTCACCAGCTCTCACTCTGAGCCCCTCTTTGGGGATCATGGGGTCCTTTCCCACCCTCAAATCTGCTGCAGTGCCACCCTGGCTTACTCAGCAGATGGCTTGAACACTAGATCTTGCGAAGAAAGAGTGGAGGTCTTGCTTGGTCTTCTTCCTTCCGGAAGCCTCTTGAGTTTCTCAAATGCATGGCTCTACCTCCCTCATGGTCACATACACCTGGGGTAGGGCAGCCTTTCCAAACAGAGACAGCATCCTGAAGGGCCCTTTGCTTAGGTCAGGAGTTACCCACTGACCTTATATTTATATAAACATTAAAGTATACTATGAAATAAATATAAATGTTACCTAAGGGATTTTTTCCTATACTAACAACAACAAATTGCCCCAAGGTGATGTCCCTCCTCTCCCTTCCCCCACACAGAATATCTGGCTTAATGGTTTAAATGCCACTTCCTAAAGCATCCAGTCACATACACACACACACACACACACACACACGCACACACACACACAGAGATACACACACAACCTCATTCAATCTTTACAAAGTAGCGATTATTACCCTTTTTCTAGATGAGGAAACTGAGGCTCAAAGAAGCTGAGCAATCTGCCCAAGCATTTCAGGCCCAGAACTAGTACTCTTGATTCCCACTTCGTCCTGCTTCTCGTGGGTGGTGTCCTATGGCTGCGGTGCCCTCTGGGGATGATCCATCAGGGAGGATGGCCAGCCTGGCTGCCTGACCTGGGCTGAGGATGTCAGGCACTGGTGAACTTCTTCTGTCACTCAATATGGTGGGGAGTGCATGGGACCTGTGGGTAGGGCCCAGCTGGAGAGGCTGCAGGGGCTCAACTGGAACAGGTGGGGAATGTGGCTGCCTCTGCTGGGACCTGCTGCCTGCTGCCTCCCTACCTTTTTGTTTTGTTTTGTTTTGTTTTGTTTTGTTTTGTTTTGTTTTGTTTTGTGTAGCATAACCATGGCCTGTTTCCTCTGCAGGGGCTCCCAAAGCCTCCGGACAATTCCCCCAACCCCTGGAAGATGGGGTTCAGGGGCCAGCCCTGTGTCTAGGCCCTGGGAGGCCCGGCCTCCCTCCTCCTGCAGACCTCTCTGCCAGTAAGGCAGCAAGAGGGGTGTACTTTTGGGCTGAGCAGCAGCTGATCGGAACGGATGATATGTTTTCACTCTGGTGTGCTCAACAGTGCGGATCGGACAGGGAGCGGAAATGGGAAAGATAAGTGGGAAATAAATCACCCAACTTGATTTAGTCATAATAGTAAGGAGAGGGGGATTGCAGAGCTGTGATCAGAGCCTCAATCAGAGTCTGGGCAGGAGGGTCGGAGGGCAGAAGTTGAAGCTCCCTCTGCCCTGCACCAGCCTTCTGAAACCTCCTGTGGATGGAGTCACTCTGGATAAGGGATGGACGGCAGGTGAACATAAGTCGTGCACTCTGAGCTTCTGGGAGTCCCAAGGCACAGAGGCCTGTACTGCCTGGCAAGCCTCTGCCCTCTAAGGGCAGCAGACAGGGAAGACAGTGGTGTGGAGGGCCCAGATCCAACTTGCCTCCCGTCCACGGAGACCGGCCCAGCTATGCCTGGGGAAGGGGCTCTGCTGATTGAGTTTCTCAGAGGCAGTCAGGATTGGTGGGGAGGCAAGGGAAGTGCTTGGGGAAGCAAATCCCTCCTATTTTTAGTGCTTTCCAGAAAGCATCTTAGCCATTTCCTTTTTCCAGTTAGTACTGGGCCCACCTCTGCCAGTCTAGCCTTTGGGGGTGTCCAGAGAATTTATGCATTCCCTCTGCCCTCCCATTTCCTTCCAGTGTCTTGCCCCTTGGAATGAGTTCAGGTCTAACCTGGGGTCCTCCTGCTGCACTTCTAGGCCTTTCCCCCATGCCTCTTGTGGAGTAGTGGATGATGGTTGACATATTCCAGGCTCCTTGTTTCCTGAGCAGGGCTCAAGTGCAGAGAGTGTCAGGGGGGTGTGGAGAAGGGCAATGATTCTCAGAGGCCTGGCATTCAGGAGAAGACAGCTTAGGTGATGCAGGAATATCTATTCCAATTCACTAAGGGTTATCTGCTCTGGCAAGTTATAAAATACCATTTCCACTGAGGCTGTAGAATTACTTACAGGAGCCACAATGCAACCAGACAACCTTTCAATCAAGCTGCCTGTTGTTCCCGCTTCAAGGCTGGTGAAATAAATACTGAGCAAATAAAGTTAGCCGGCATCTGAGCATTTTAATGAATAAAGAGTAGCAAGAGGGCTGGGGATCTGGGAGCTTCTGTACATCCCAGTGGACAGACCACAGGAGACTGGTGTGCTAGCTCCAGGCAGGGTGCCTCCTACCTCCCACCCTCACCTTCCACAGCCCAGCCCCCTCTTCCTGGCGGGTCTTCCTCATTCTTCTTTCCCGCTCCAGTCCATAATTCCATCCCTTGTCTCATGTGGTGCCTGGCGGTGCTGCCTATGGACGAGGACCCAATCAGACCAGGGGACCCAGTGACTTCTCCTATGGCCTCAGCGAAGTGCATGCTGCCCCTGAGTGATTGACATTCTCAACACACTGGAAGGCCTTTGGGGTCAGCTTATTGCTCTCTATAAGGCCAGGGTCAGAAAGGCTAAACTCCAGATGAGGTGAGACAGGAGGGGGAAAAATGTTGTGATGGCCTTTAAACAAAGCTTTTAAAGTTGCTTTTGTAGCCAGAAGAAGAGAGTGCAGGGTTGCTTCTAAGTGCAGCTAGTGTAATGTTAATTGGAGATAAAGGACCAGCCGTAGCCAAGCTCTCTTTTGCTCCCTTCCTCTCTGTCTGCGAGCAGGGTAGTTAGTCTAGGAAAGGTAATAAAAACCTGGGCAAATGCCCTGAGCCCAAGATGGTACAGAGGTGGGAGGAGACGACGTGGTTGAGCCACATAGGTGTGTCTTCTGGCCCCATCATTCCCTCCCTCCCAGGGTGTTGGGAGGAGACGCTGCAGATGAGGTTGCTAAATCACCAGCGATCTCTCTGGGGAACTGCACAGAACTGGAGAGAGGGCTCTAAGTGGGGAGAAAGGCAAATGTCATTTTACTTTTCAAGGGGGAAAAACAGGGGACTGCTGCAGTCAATCCACAGATGAACTCAACGCCAACCCCGGGCAGGCTTCTAAAACAGCCGCGGAATGGGTCATTTTGAACACAAAGGGAAGTAAGGGGCAATCACCAGAAATCAGGGTGGGTTCACTGTAAACTAGTCATGCCAGATGAGCAAACCTCTCTTTTTTTGTAAAATACTGGAAGGTTAAAATAATGTTCTGGATATAGGAGGAGGATTTTAGCACGGCATTTGTTGTAATCTCTCATGGCAATCCTTGTACACAAGCTGGATATTTGTAACCTGGATGGTATCCAATAAGGAGTATTTGGAACAGGTCAAGGGAATGAATGCCTAATGGACCGAGATCAAAACTGGAAGAACATATCTGGAAATATGGGGATCCCCTATTTTTTCCAAAATGTGTTATCAGTGACTTTGGTGCAGATATAGAGGATATACTAATAAAATCTGTGAATGACCTAAAGCTACAAGGGGTAATAAATACCAGTATAGTAGTAATACTTTTTAAAAAATAGCTAACAGCTAACATACTACAGCACTTACCACATGCTTGGCACTTTTCTTAAACACATCACGTGTTGGCATTTAATTTTTGTAGCAGCCCAATGAGGTACTTCACATTGTTATTCTCATCTTACAGATGAGGAAACTGAGATAACCAGTTGCAGAACTAAGATTCAACCTCAGGCCATCTGGCTCCAGAACCTATACTCGTAACCCCTTGCTATGAAATAAACATGATACAAAGCTATTTCAATAGACTGGAGTTATGGGTAGGACATGAGATGAAACTGAATAGGAATATGTGGGAACTACTGTTTCTAGAATCAGAAGGCATTGAGACAGGATGGGGGATGAGATTTGTCAGCAACATATCTGAAACACCCAGAGGAGTTTGGTTGTCTACACCTCAGCCTGAATCCACAGGGTGGCAAGGCGGGCCAGTCCACAGCCTGAACTCCAGGCTCCATGCTTCTATCTGTTTATTTATTGTTTCGTTTTTCTTTTTAGTTGCCATACAATTGTATATGTTTATGAGATACAGAGTGACATTGTGATACCTGTAACAATGTGTAATGATCAAATCAGGGTAATTAGCATATCCATCACCTCAAACATTTATCATTTCTTTGTGTTGGGAACATTCAGAATCCTCTCTTCTAGCTTCTATAAAACATACAATAAATTGCTGTTAAATATATTCACCTTACAGAGCTTTAGCGCACTAGAACTCTTTCCTCCTATCTAGCAGTAACTTTGGATCTGTTAATCAACCTCTCCCTGGCTCCCCTCCCCCTTATCTTTCCCAGCCTCTAATAACCACAGTTTCACTCTCTACTTCTGTGAGCTCAACTTTTTTTTTTTTTTTTTAGCTCCCCCATATGAGTGAGAGCATGTGGTATTTATCTTTCTGTGCCTGACTTAGAGAAATACATTTCAGCTGGAGCCCTGGACATAAGCCTTCTGGCTTCCACCCTCAAGTTTTTCCTGTAGAGCCATGATCCTTCCCAGGAGCTGGGGCTGGTTAGCAGAATCTAGGAGGAAGGATGTCACGAATTACAAAGCAGAGAAGAAGCTGATGTTGAAAGTAACCCATTGTGCTATTCTCCACTTGCAAGGAGAATTAATGGTCACCCTGAGAATACCGCAAAAACAATACCAAACCAAAAACAGTGGCCTTTTCAAGATCAAAACAAAATTTTCTTTGGAAATTACTTGGTAAAGAACAAATGACTTACATTTTAAACATCATGATTAGTGTGAGTTTAAAAAATATGTAATATACGGAGCCTTCAGTGAGCCGAGATCGCGCCACTGCACTCCAGCCTGGGCGACAGCGAGACTCTGTCTCAAAAAAAAAAAAAATATATATATATGTACATATCATATATATCATATATTTATATATTTTCTATATGATGTATTTATATATGATATATATTTATATATGATATATGATATATTTTATATAAACATTTTTATATATAAATATATGCTTATATATTTATATATTACATATATTTAAATATATGTTTACATATTTATATATTACATATATTTATATATACATATAAGAGGAACATGACGAGTTTTAAACAATTTAGGAACACAGGTTTAGATACTCAAGTCAGAAAATATATGGACAAATGGAGCAGGCCCAGGCCAAAGAACAGGGCCAGGAGGGTGAGGTCAGGAACCCCTGACTGTAATAACTAACTAATATGTCAGCTGTTGAGGGATGGTTGGAATACCCAGAGTAATTCCAGGTTGGGGGAGGGGGTGACTATTACCCTTGGCACCTGGAGAGTGACATATGAACAGGGTTGGACTTAAACTACGGATCTCCGAAAGGAAGACTCAGGACACGTGGGCAGACATTGTAGCACATTTTGGTTCAGTTGAGAAGAAGTTCTTTCTAGCTATCCAGGCTGTTTAAAACTGGGCCAGTAACTGGAGGAAATAGCACATGACTTGTTTAGCATAGTGCTTGGTGCAGTCCAAGTGTGCAGAACATGGTAGCTGTTATTGTGATTATGATGATTAACTTCAGCATCTGAATCCGGAATCTGCCACTTGTTAAGTATGAGGTTCTGAGCAAGTCAGTTCACCTCTCCGCATCTTGGTTTTCTCATCTGTACAATGGGGATTGCCACATCTGCCTTGGACAAACGTTGAGGATGAAAATGTAACAAGATTGCTTATGAGAGGGCCAGTAAATGTTTCCTCAGGACACTTCTTAGAGGACAAAGTCTGTGCCTGTCCCTCATGTAGGACTCAGCGTAACCTCAGGTTAATGATGGTTAACTAGTAATGGTAATGAAAACCATAAAAGCTGCCATTTATTAAGCACTTATTATGTGTCAGGTACTGTGCTAAGCACTTTGCAGGAATTCTCTCATTTAATCCTCACACACCCTGCTCAAGCCAAGCACCACTATTGCTGTGCACCATTTTACAGATGAGGAAACTGGAATTCAAATGGCAAGAGAGCCAGAGTTTGAATCCAGGTCTGGCTGACTCAAGTCCAAGACTTAGACACCGTCCCAGTACCTCTCTGAGACTCAGCAAATTCTTTGGGAAGTGAGAAGGAGGAGGAAGCATGGAGTTTGCAAGTGCAAGGGATGTGGTTCAGTTTTTACCCCCTTCATTCGCGTGTTCTCTTGGAGCCCTGGGAGAGGGGACAAGCTCTTGGAGCCAGCTCCAAAGGCCGGGAGGCTGGGGCTCGCCTCTCATGATTCAGCCCTCGGCTCCCTCCCCTCCCAGCCCCACTTCAGGCTTTTCTCTTTCAGCCTGTCTGACTCCATCTCGGTACTTTGTCCTGCTAATTCTGAGGCTGGGAGGGCGTGTGCACTCTTTATGCCATTCAGCCTTAATTAGAAGTTCCTGACAGCTTGTTTGGGGCCCTGTCAGGCTCTCTGACTTGCCTTGCACCAATAAGTAAAAAGGAAAATTGCTATCTGCTCCATACCTGGCTGCCTGGGTGTCATTATGAGTGGGCTGTGCGGGCGGGGGGCGCTGGGCTGAGTGCTCCTATTCTGGGCATGCCAGTGCTGACTCGGCACAGGGTGGGGGTTCTGTCCTTCCAGCTTCCACGGAGAGATCCAGTGCCTGGGCCGGGAGGGACTAATTGATTGAGACTTGATCAGGGCAGCTGGCTGGGGCTTTCATGTCCAGATTTCAAGTCCTTTTGCCTTTGAAACCCCACATATGTTCAGGGTTAGGGGGCCACAAAGCACAGTCAGCTCTTTTTCCTGTGACCTATTGTGGGGACAGGTGGGCACAGTCAGAGTAGGGATTGGATCTCATATTTTTCCAGTGATGAAGGAATGATTTGGCAGAGCTCTGCCCGCCTGGACCTTCTGCCCAGTGACCTACCTCCAAAGAAAGTCCTGAGCGTTAAGCAGTTAAGACACGAGATTGTGGAATTAGAGACCACTCAGGTTCAGACTTCTGCTCTGCCACTTTTGAGCTGTGTACCCTTGGGCCAGTCAGTTCACCTATCTGGACTTAGTTTTGTCATCTATAAAATGGGTATAATAATTGAGTTGTAAAGACAACAGTACCTGATCCCCAGTAACAGTACCTGACTCCATAAATCTCATCTACAAACTCTTAACTAGAGAATTAGAGTTAAGTGTTTGAATTGCAACTGGACTGCATATTAACTTTGTGATCTTGGTCAACGTACCTAACCCTGACTCTGAGCTTGCTTTCTTTCCTTCCTTTCCTTCCTTTGACAGAGTCTTGCTCTGTTGTCCAGGCTGGAGTACAGTGGCGCAATCTCGGCTCACTGCCACCTTCGCCGCCCGGGTTCAAGTGATTCTCCTGCCTCAGCCTCCTGAGTAGGCTTGCACCATCACCTCCGGCTTATATTTTATTTTTTAGTTTTATTTTTTGGATTTTTAGCAGAGATGGGGTTTCACCATGCTGGCCAGGCTGATCTCGAACTCCTGACCTCCAGCGATCCGCCTGTCTCAGCCTCCCAAAGTGCTGGTATTACAGGCATGAGCCACTGTGCCTGGCCAGTTTCTTTATTTCTAAAAATGAATATATAACAGCACCCTCCCCCTAGGTTACTATGAGGATTCAAGGAGATTATGCACTAAAACACTTAGCACACCGCCTAGAACAGAACTGACAAACTATAGCCCATGGGCCAAATCAGGCCCATGGCCTCTTTTTGCAAACTTGGATTTGAACACAGCTTCTCTCTTCCCTTTAAGTTTTGTCTGTGCTGCTTTCTAGCCACAGCAGCAGAGTTGAGGATGGCCCACAAAGCCAAAAACATTTGCTGCCTGGTCCTTTGCAGAAAAAGTTTGCTGACCCCAACTGAACATGGTTATGTGCTCGTTAAACACTAGTTGTTATTAACAAGTAATCATCATTGTAATTTCCACACTGCTTCACTGAGGTGTTTGGAGGCCAAGTGCGCAGTAACGAGTAGCTTCTAAGACACACTAGCCAGAGAGGATTTTTTAAAGGTCTCATATGATGGGGGGGGGGGGGGGTTTTGAGTATTCATCTTGTGTGTGTGTATTTTTAGAAAGAAAAACTGGGAGCGATATTTGGTCATACACCTTCCTGAATCACATATTTTCTGTCTTAAGGGATATCAGGAATCTCCTAATTCCATTGATTAATTCTACCAAGGAGGAAACTTTCATTGTCTACTGCTGCACAGCCCCCTCACCCTCAGAATACTCTTGCTGGATTTCAAATATCCAAAGCTTGCTGAATTCCTGGCCAAAGATACTGCACCTATGCTGGAACTGAGTTTGTTCCCGGCACACATCACCCATAACCCCTTTCACCCCCAACTTGGGGGCTTATGAAGGGTCCTGGGAGCTGCCTGGAGTCACTGAGGCCAGGAGAGCCCTGCCGGTTCCCAGCACTTTGGCAGACAGCCCTGCCATCCTCAGGCTGTGTCAGCCTCGGGAAGGGGGGTGGGGGATGGCGGGGTGCGTGAGTGGCTTCTAGAGAGGCTGGAGCCGGCGCGGCAATGCCCCACTGACCTCGCATACAGGCAGGCTATTATCACTCAATTTTTACGCTGTGTTCCGGATGCTGCTCCGCCTGCCACGGACGTGCAGCCGTTAAAATATTAATGTCTGGCATGTGGCAAACATTTAAAATATGCTGAGACTTGGGAGCTGTTGAGCTGGGCCTTGTTGACACACCGCCTCACCTGGGTGTTGTTTGCTATGTAAATGCCAAGGATTCCTCCCTGAAGCTGGAACCTGCACTCCTCTTCTCACCCCTCATTTCCTCCTGGGACTAGGTTGGTAAAGCAGTTTGTGCCCATCCCAGCATTGCCTCGCTGGGCCAAAGGGGTGTGTTTTAGTGCCAGTTGCTAGGGGGCATTTCAAAGGGGCTGGTTTCAGGGCATCATCAATTACAGCAACCCCCCAGATGTGCCTCGAGGACAGCTGTGTGCCAGGCACTGGGCTTGGCATTGTGGGAGCGTGAGTATGGGGTGAATGTGGCCACTACCTACCAGAAGCTTACAGCTCACCAGGGCGTCATTACTGTTCACCAGCCTAGAACACGGCATGGCGCCAGGAAGTCAGGATGCCCAGGACGGGCCTTTACCCTGTCCCACGCCCAGTACAGCCACTGCTGGTTGATCGTCAGGGTCTTTTATTTCTGAGCTCCCAAAGAGCCTCACAATCCTTATCCACACAGGAAGCCACCGCCAGTCAGTTGGAACCTGCCTGAGATGAAACCAATTTGTTGTCCCTGGTGGAGGAAATGATGAGTGATACAGGAGGAGTTCTGATGAAGAGTTGAGGGAGCGTCAAGGGGAGTGGGCACCCTTTGAGGCAGGGGCGGGGAGAGGTGAGGCTCCATGAAGGAGGTGGCCTTCGAGGGTGGGTAGGATGGAATACTTGAGGGGGGCAGGGCAGTGCAGGTGCAGGGAGGGGACCGGTAGGGTGGGCACAGGAGCCCCAGGCGGTGTCCTTGGCCGCTCTCGGGCCCTACCAAGTGACCGGAGGCAGCCTGATCGACCATCTTCGGCGTGGCACTGGATTCTGCCTCTTTGGCTTTGTCCCAGGGTGGTTTCTATAGCTGATGAAAACCTCAGATCTTTCTTCCCCCTAGAAGTCTCTAGAAAGGCCTGCGCCCTCCCAAACAAAACAGAAAGCAGATGACACAGCCTGGTGCTGGGGTGCATCTGGGGTGCATCTGGGATGGGAATTTCTGGCAACACCAACCATCTAGCCTAAGGGTCGCCAGACTTTCTGTAAGAGACCAGAGAGTAAATATTTCAGGCCGTGCAAGCCACAAGGTCTCTGTGGCAACCACCTCAGCTCTGCCGTGGCAGCGCACAAGCAGCTGTGGACAATACATGGGTGAGCGGGCATGGCTGTGTTCCAAAAACACTCTATTTATGGGCACCGAAATTTGAATTTCATGTAATTTTAATGTGTCATGAAATAATCTCCTTTTGGTGTTTTCTTTTTCCCCCCAACCATTTCAACCATATAAAAGCCATTCTTAGCTCTCAGGTTGTAACAAACAGGAAGGGGGCTGGATCTGGATTCTTACTCTGGCTGAATCATGAGGTCTTAGAGTTGGTTGGCATTTTTGACTTCTTCGAGCTCCCCTGGACTACCCTCCCCTCTCTGGCTAGGCACGCCCACCTGTTCTGATGGGGTGAGCTGGTTTTGCAGCGCTCATGGCTACAGTGTGTCTCAGGGACAGTACCGCTGGGGGTAAAGTTGGTCAGGTTAAGCTTTTAAAGAGCAAAACCCAAAGCTCTTGTTTGGTGACCCGCTTCAAGCTGCCTTTAATCTCTCCTGCAGACCTCCTGGGAATCAGTGGTCAGAAAGGGTCAAATATGAGGAAATCAAGACCCAGAGAGGGAACGTAACTTGCTCAAGCTTGTTCAGCTGGTTAACAACACGGCTGGGACCAGAACCCCGGCCATCCAGGGACAGATCCTTTCACTTTATCATAAAATAAAAGGGCCTCCAGGTTAAGCACCTTCTTGGCTCCTCGCTCCGGGCTGTTGGAAGCAACCCTGGCCTTTGCTACCATTACTGCTTGTGCCTACCTGTTACTGCATTTTCCTGAGAAGAGAAGGACACAACCAACAGGCGTCAGCCTGGGTTAGTACAGGCAGAAGTAAAACATGATAAATCGCTGCTAATGCTGCTGGGTGACTGAGATAAAGGCTTGATTGTTTGGGCAGCGTAAATCAACACCCTGAGCTGGGTGGGAAATAAAGCAATAATTTAAATCTATTTTCAGGGTCTTGTGGGCCAAGTGACCAACTAGGAATTGGTATCTGAGGACGGAATAATGGATAGAGGAGGGTTATATATGGTTAAACCACACCGACTGGATAGTTCTGCACTCGTCTGGGATGGTTACAAGCCCTGTGAGTGAGCTCCAGCCAGAACTGTGACTCCTGCCCCTGCTGTGTGAAGAGGGCCCAATAATTCACTTACCTGCTTCCCCAGCCAACCCACCCTCGGACAGCCTCTGCCTCTCCTCCAGGCATCCCAGTCCCGTACTCATCACACTTTGTGGAGGGGCTGTTTCTGCGAGGCCCTGTGCCAGGCACAGGGGATTCAAACGTTCACAAGACAAAATCGGCATCACCAGACTGTAAATTCCATGCAGGCAAGAGCTATCGCTGTCTAGTTCACCACCACATCCCCAGTGCCGAGCACAGTTCCTGGCACATAGTAGGCATTTGATATACTTTCTGTTGTAAAAGAGAATGGTCAAACCAAAAAAAAGAGTCCCATTGAAGTGCATTAACTTCTATACAGAGACTGGGCTACGGCTGGGGGTACAAAGGGAGTCGAGGAGAAGCCAGGAGGCTCCGTTTTTCCTGCAAGATCTCAGGACAGGCAAGGAGAGCTGAAGGAGAGGTGAAACCTGGGCTGAGTCTTTAGATAGGCGTAGTGTTGGCCAAGGGAACAAGGAGGGAAGGAGGGAGCAGTGCATGCTGAGGCCGGGAGAAGGCAGTGCTTCTGCTTCTGAAACCAAAAAGCCCTGAAGAAAAGTGATGGAAGCCAAGCCCGTGGGTTATAGTTTCCATTTTCTTTTTTTTTAATGACTTATTTTTAACTGACGAAATTGTATAAACTTAGCCATCTACATGTTATAGTTTCCATCTTCAATTTGTATTTGCCTGCACTGTACTTCCTCTTCCTCCTGGCATGGTTGGTTTGGGTCTGATGGCCCATGTGGATGGCAGAGTAGGCACCAAGTCAGGCACAGAATGGTGGAATAGAAGGACACTTGGACGGCTGGGGCCTGGGGCCTCCTTCCAGCTGCGTCATCGTGTGTCTCCATGGCTTTGGGCAAGTGTGGCACCTTCCTTTTTTTTTTTTTTTTTCCTCAAGATGAAGTTTCACTCTTGTCTCCAATACTGGAGTGCAATGGCGTGATCTCGGTTCACTGCGACCTCCACCTCCCAGGTTCAAGCAATTCTCCTGCCTCAGCCTAGCCTCCCGAGTACCTGGGATTATAGGTGTCCACCACCACGCCCAGCTAATTTTTGTATTTTCAGTAGAGATGGGGTTTCACCATGTTGGCCAGGCTGCTCCCGACCTCCTGACCTCAGGTGTATCACCTGCCTCGGCCTCCCAAAGTGCTGGGATTATAGGCTGTGAGTCACTGCACCAGCCAGCGGAAACTTTCTTGTTCTTCTTTTCTTCATGTGGGTAATGGCAAGATGGGATGTGTTGAACTCGATGACCTCTGGAGCCCTTCAATTCCTTCTAGGCTCTTGTTGCTGCTTTAAATCATTTCTGAGCAGGCACCACCTGCAGATGCTGAGCTGCTCTTTCAGCCCCTGATTAAGAGTTAGGCACTTAGAGGGCTCTAATAAATATTTGGTGATGGGTTCCTTTAGGGCAGATTTCCCTGTCTTTCAGAAAAGGGACAAAGAAAAGTTCCCCAAGAAATACTGAAGCTATAGATAGTCTCTTGTTTTCATCCAAACCATAATAACAGTAAGGCCAAAATAAACACAGGTAACAGCACACTTACTATGCCCCAGGTACTAGTCTAAGCAACTTAGATGCATTAACTCAGTTAATCTTGACAACAACCCTAGGATTAGGATTAACTAATTATTATCCCCATTGCACAGATGCAGAAACGCGGACTCAGGAAGATTGACTAATTTGCCCAGTGCCACACACAAAGCCAGTATTTGGACCAGGTAGTCAGGCCCCGGGGTTTCTGCTTTAACCACAGTGCTCTAACCATGGTGCTAACCAGTGCCGTGCTGCTCTGTGGACTGCTGGAGAGACAGGTGCAAAGATGAGTGGCTGGCAGGTGGTTCCAGGGACTTCCCTCAGTAGTAGTGTCTGGGGTGCTGGGGTAATTCCACCACCACTGCCCACCACCCACCACCACCTCCACACAGCCACAGGCTGCTGATCCCACAAAGTGTCAAGATGGATGGACTCCGCAGAATCTGTCAAGGCCCGACAAGGGGACACATCTGAACTGGTGACGGAGGTCATAAATTTTTATGTTCATTATGTTTGTTTTGTTTGGTATAATTAATGAATCTATTAAGCTCAGTCAAGCTCTGACCTCTTTTATAACCATTATAAATCAGCTCAAATGGCTCTGGGAGGGGGACGGTGAGTGTCATTTTGCAGGCCTCCCTGGGAAATTGTGGTCATTCCACAGAGTAAGGCTTTGGAAAGGGGTAGAGGGTAGGGAAAAGGCCAACGTGGGTTCCATGGTGACTGATTAGGGATGGGATGGGAAGCTATCAAGAGGGCATTGGTGGCCGGACGTGGTGGCTCATGCCTGTAATCCTAGCACCTTGGGAGGTCAAGGCGGGTGGATTACCTGAGGTCAAGCATTCAAGACCAGCCTGGCCAACATGATGAAACCTTGTCTCTACTGAAAATACAAAAATTAGCTGGGTGTGGTGGCGTGCGCCTGTAATTCCAGCTACTTGGGAGGCTGAGGCAGGAGAATTGCTTGAAGGCAGGAGAAATGCTTGAACCCAGAAGGTGGAGGTCGCAGTGAGCCGAGGTCATGCCGTTACATTCTAGCCTGGGAGACAGAGTCTCCCAAAAAACGGCATTGGGAATGGAGGAGAAAGAGCCGTGGGGAAACTGAGGAAGGGAGCCTTTTGTGTGACTCTGACTCTAGTGACAATTATTCATGTTTTTATAGGTCCTGGGTGTTGGGGGGTTACGGGTTGCTGCAAAAGGGGAGTTGGGAAGGAGAAAACAGCAGAATCTTTCATACCTCAATCTCTTTCCCTAAAAATGGCTTCCTGAGGAATGAGCACACTCACTCAGCCCCAGAAAGGGAGTCAGTCACAGGGTGGGGAGAGAGGCGGGGGGAAGACATAAGGTACCCAAGGAGGAGCGGAAGACACAAAGCCGCAGGCCCAGAGTGTGGAGCTGGCGAGAACGGTCGTCACTTTTCCATCTCTGCTGTCTCTGGTTTGGTGAGCAGAGTGATTGAGCGTGATTGAGCAGGGTTGCAGCCGCTCATTCTCAGCTGTTAGGATGAATGGATCCCTGGGACACCAGCGAGGATGCTGTCGGCGTGCGCGTGCTTTAATAATAATAAAAAAGAAACTAACAAAATACCATTCCCCATCATTAAAATGCAGAAGCAGATAAAGACCAGCTCCTGTGTAATTACCAAAAATTCTTATTTCCATAAGAAACCAGCACTTCATAAATTTTCCAGCCCTAACCTTTCTCTCCAGGGAAACCGGATTTCTATGAATATAGAAATTTGGTAATTGCCCCTGAAACTGTGCTTTTCTGTATTAATGAATAGCAGGAGCTTGCTTTTGCTTACAGCCCCAAATGGTACAGATTCCTTCCCCATCACTGTGTCAAAGAGAACCCTCCCCAACCCCCACTGTCCACACCCATTAGACCCATTTAGGACCTCCAGGTTTGGGTTTCAGGAAGAGTGATTTCTTCTTCAGGGGATGAAGGGAGTGGAGAGGGCCTGCCAGTCAGGAGCCTAGTTCTGCATTTTCCCAGTTGCATTCGTATTCTTCTTTACTACAGGCATGCATTTTTTATTTCAGTGCAACGTGTTTAAAAAAAATAAAATAAATGCACTGTTAGATTTAAAAATGTACGGCATTATATAGCTCATAATGCCATGGTAGATTTTAAACCTCTAAAAGCATATGCATTAAAGCAATTTTCTAAACGAATATAGCAAGAGGTCCACAAACGCACTGCAACATTTGATAATAGTTGCCATCTTCAGCTGAGGATAATGATGTTAACAAATGTAATGGGAGTAATAAGTGGAGATTCAAAAAGCTGCTTTTGTTTAATTTTTTTGTAATGCAAATTCAGTTTAGGAATAAAAGAAGTGGGGAATGGGGGGAAAACCCTCTTATTTGAAATGAATCTTAATCCTAGCTGATGATAGGCCAGTTGTAAGGAGAAGTGGCTTCATTGTGGAATTAAACAATCCAGAGATGCAGTGATTAAGGTGGTCAGGACAAAATTGGAGGAAAAAAAAGGACCGGCAGAATTGAATCTTCTTTCTTGAGCCTGGAATTGCAGATATTTGAGTAAAGAAGTTTCAGCACACCATGAGTGTTGTCCCTGGGGTTATCTGTGTCAGGAATTGGAGACGCGTCCCTCACACCAACTGCCAGACATGTCCCCGGTGCCAACTCCTAAGCCTGGTTCTAGGAGCAGCTGGTGTCAGAAGACAGGGAACGTGAGGGAGGAAACTGCCCTGAACCTTCACCTAAGCCAAGTTGCTCTATGGACCCCTGAGTTAGTTTATCAAGCCACGCAGCTGGCTCCCTTCAGGGACTTCTGCAAGCTATTCTGCCCCTCAGTTTTCTCTTCTGTAAAACGGGAGCAGCAGGGAGTTCTCACAGTCAGCACATTTTTGAGAGTTTGAGAGTGGTGGTGCTCACATCTTAACTCCTCAAAAGAATGGAAGGTGGAAAAAAGCTGGGCCACAACAACCTCCATCAACCTCATTTGCTTTGCCCTGGGCTGAGCTCAGCCTGCCCCATGAGGCAGAAATCATAACCATGACCCTGAGGCATAAAGGAAAAAGCCTGTTCAAGAATGCCGTCCTGGGAGGCTCCTCTGGGGTCATTCAGGAGTAGGCTTTATTTTCTTGGTTTTCTCTAGCGAAGACAGGAGCAGCAAAGCCTGAGTTACTGGCACTGCTTCTCCAAGAATCTGCCCATATGGGAGCTAGGATGGGCATAGAGGTAGAACAACCCTCACTGGATATAGTTTGTGACCTTGAAGTGATCCAACTCTAATTGTATTGATAACAGGTACTATGTGGCTTAGGGCTCGATGTGCTCTTTCTTTTCGAGTATGTTCTGTCTCCCCAGTTAGATTGTCAACTTGTAGAGAGCAGAGACATTGCTATATTTATGGTATTGTCCACAGGGCCCATCCAAGTGCTGGGCTCAGCCGACATTGCCTAACAGCTACCATTCATCAAGCTTTGCTCATTTGCAAACACTTGTCCAAGTGCTTTACATAGCTCATTTCATTTAACACTAATGACCTCACAGGTAGGCACTGTAATTATCCTAATTTTACAGATGGGGAAACTGAGTCACGGGGCGGTTAAGTCACACAGAAACACAGGTTGTAAGGTGCAGAGCTGAGCTTGAAACCAGAAAACTACTCTGCTTCTCCAGTGCTAGTCCCTAAGGATAAAGCTGTATACATGTGTGGGTTGCTAACGTTGCAGAGAGGGACTCTTTCTCCAGAACACATGTCAGCTCCTTCCCACTGTCCATAGCCAGGATGCCATGCCTGGAGGACAGCCCAGCCCAAGGAAGGCTGCCGGCTGGCAAAAGGAGGGTTTTGGGTGGTAAAAATACTCTGAGGAATAGAGTATTGTAAAATAATATGATTTTGAGATGGTGCAGAGAAGTGAGAAATATGAGTTACAGTCACTAACTTCCCCAATTTACAGCTTTAATTAATCTGAAATTACTACGTAGATTTTTATGATTAGCAGGGACATCTCAGTGAGCAGAGAAGGAATCTTTAACGATGATCTCAAGATGAATCTAGGAGATGAAATATCCACCCCATAAACAAAGTGGTGTTAGAGGAAGCAAAGTAAAATGAAAATCCCAGACCATCAGAACAGTCATCTGTCAGCAGGACAAGGTCTTCCAAGACTGTCCCTTGCAGAGGGGACAGCCATCCTTGCCCCAACAGCAGGACTGCACTGAGGCCAGGCAAAGTCCAGGGATTCATTCTTTTTGTGTGTGTGTCTCCAAGGAGGTCCTGGCTGGAGGCAGGGGCTCTGAGCCAGGCCCCTGCTCCTTCTGTCTGGACCTGTCTCATGGCCAGTCTTATCTTCAGGGGTCATTGGTTGCCCTCGGTCCCAGGCTGGGACCAGCTCCCTAGGGTCCATTCTTTTTCACAGCCGCTCCTTAGGGTGATGGGTCAGGAGACTTTCCAGTGCCCTGAAGATGTTGCCTTATTGGCTTCCCCTGATGAAGCCTTAGCCCAAAGCCAGTGAAACCAGAAAGAAGAGGCTGGAGGTGGGAGTTGGGGTGGGATTATGGTTCTGTAACCCTCTCCTGCACCTCCCCATGCAATGGGGGAAATAAATAGCCATTTAAAAATCCTTTTTGGCTGCCGTTATGGACTGAATGTTTGTGCACTCCCCCCAACCCCCGCAATTCATATGTTAAAGCCCAAAAGCCCCATGTGACTATATTTGGGGCTTCTAAGGAAGTACTTAAGGTTAAATGAGGTCATAAGTGTGGGGCCCTAATCCGATAGGATTAGTGTTCTTACGGGAAGAGATACCATAGAGCTCACTCGCTCTCCATCTGCCATGTGAGGACACAGCAAGAAGGCAGCCATCTGCAACCCAAGGGGAGAGCCCTCCCCAGTCTCTGACCCCATTGGCACCTTGACCTTAGACTTGCAGTCTCCAGAACTGTGAGGAAATGGATTCCTGTTGCTTAAGCCACCAAGCCTGTGGTATTTTGTCATGGCAGCCCATGCACACTTGTTTCATGATAGCTAATGGCCAACAGGGTCACACATTGAAACTAGGCAGTATCTGAGGTCCTTTAGTTTCATACCAAGTTTGGCAGGAGTCAGTCACCTTATTTAGGTTTATCCCAGAATGAAAAGTCCATGAGGTGAATATTATCGATATCCCCACTTCACAGATGAGGAAACTGAAGCTCAGAGTTTAAACTTCTTGCCCAAGTTAAAGAGCCAGTGTGTGCACTTGGAGGCACGTTCTCAGCTCTGACAGGCTCTGACTCTGGGGCAGGACCCAGCCTTAAATGAACTTGAGATGATTTAATGGGCAGCATGTAATGGGAGCCTACATCTGACATCCCACCCCCCACTTTGTACTCTGCCATGTGTCTGGCTCTCTGGAGTGAGAAGGAGAGAACGTTTGGCCATAGGTCCACGCAATGGTATCGCTTCACTTGTGTGTAATGTACCACCTCTTACACAAAAGCCCTGCCTGTGTCTCCAGAGCTCTTGGGGAACACCCTTTCTCAGGACAGTTTGAGTCCCGAAAATGAACATACCAGGAATGCCTTAGGTGTGAAGGAAGTTATCTGTTCCTCAAAACACAAAATATTAGCCACTAACATTTCTTGAGGGCTTGCTGTGTGCCAAGTACTGTGTGTTTAATGTTTCCTGTGATCCTCACAACAGACTTTGAGATGGGTATTATTGTTGTTATTTCCACTTTACAGGAGAGAAAATTGAGGCTTAGGTTAAGAAACTTACCCAAAGTCAAACAATTTAATTGGTTTGGGAAGACCAGGAAGACTTTAAGTTCCTAAGATCGTTTGAGATTCTGCATCAGGGAACACTTGACAGCAGGTTTATACAAAGACAGATTTGGTATCTTTGGAGGGAATGAGTTTCCAGTCATTGCAGGTGGTCCAGCAGAGAGGGCCACTCTCCTAATGGGGATGAGGATGCTGTGACAGAGCTGTAGCTTCGGATGGCAGGGTTCAACTAGACAGGTTTAAAGTCCCTTCAGCCCGAGTCTCCTTGACTCCACAGAATTAATGTGAGAAGACAGAGGGTCATACTGTCCTATGGTGTGTGGGGGGTACAGGAAGTATAGGGCACAGAGAGGGAGGCAGGAGGTGTTGAAGACATGGTGTTGTCCTGAGCAGCTGGTTGAAGCTAGTTGCAGCTAGCTTCACTTTGCCATTGCCCTAATGCAGTCTTCATGTCTTGGTAAGTCTAGAATGGGCATCCAGTCTCTGCTTCAACCTCTGAGGGATAGAGAGGACACTCACTTCTCCAAGATAAGAACAAGGACCTTATGAGATTGCTTCAGAAGGCTTCAGAATGCCATCAGGCAGCTGGACTGTTGAAAAGCTTCCTTGGGGCCAGGCACGGTGGCTCGCGCCTGTAATCCCAGCACTTTGGGAGGCTGAGGCCGGTGGATCACGAGGTGAGGAGATTGAGACCATCCTGGTCAACATGGTGAAACCCCGTCTCTACTAAAAATACAAAAAATTAGCTGGGCATGGTGGCACACGCCTGTAGTCCCAGCTACTCGGGAGGCTGAGGCAGGAGAATCGCTTGAACCCGGAAGGCAGAGGTTGCAGTGAGTCGAGGTCACGCCACCGCACTCCAGCCTGGAGACAAAGCGAGACTCCATCTCAAAAAATAAAAAAAAAAGAATAAAAAGAAAAACTTCCTTGGGTTAAGCAGGGGTCTGCCTCCAGCAGCATTTTGGAGTGCCTGGTGGGCTAAATGGGCTGACCTGGGAGATGTTCAGACTGCCAAAGCAGCCCCTGTGGGAGGAGGATGGAGGAGCAGAGAGGAGAGGTACCTGAAGGGACCTTCGCGACCATTCACTCTGTCCTTTTTTCCTTATCTTTGGGAGCCAGGAAACTGATTCTATTTGTTGCCACCATATTTCTGGCTTCCAGAAGGTGGTACTTATTTAATCACTTGAAGTTTAAGCTGATTCTCAGGGCAGGCAGTGGTCGTTCCTAAATAGCATGCTCCCCTACAGGTGTCCACTGGCCACCACCACCCACCTTCTGGGCTGAGGGCATTCATGTCAGGAACTTGAGGCACTGACACCCACAAAGGACAGGCTTTGTAGGTACTTAAAACCCACTCCTTTGCCATCGGAAGCTCAGCCAAAGCCAAGTAAGACCGTATCCCAGAGTACGAAGGGAACTAGATTCTGCTGCTCCTGGGTGCTTGTGTGTCTGGGCACAGAGGCATGCATCTTCAGAGCTAGAACGCTGGCCACATGATGCTGCTTAGGAAGGTGTGTGGTCGCCTCCCTTCATTTTGCGGAGGAGTAGACAAAGGTCTAAAGCCAGGGCTGTTAACCTGTGGTTCGTGAACTCCTTAAGATTATATATGATTTAACCCTTCAGGTCAGTGGTTCTGTGGAAGACTTCTGAGAGTCTGCACTTTAAAAGAAAGGCCCAAGGTGGTTTTGATAATTGAGCAAGTTCAGGAGCGATGATCTAAAGGACTTGCACAAGATATCAATGGCAGAAGAAGGGCTAGACGCTAGGCCTCCTTCCTCCCCAATGCTGCACACCTGTGTGCAGGTGAGGGCGTTGGCTGCGACACACGGCATTTGCACGGCTGTGTCTCCCTCTGCAAAGGGCTTGCAGAGCACCAGGAAAAGTCAATCCGGCCCAGAACGCCTGTGATAAAGGGATTCACTGTACAGAGGGCCTTCCCATTTACACCTCTTCCTTCTCAGCCCTTAATCCTGCAGGATTATCTAAACTAAACACTGAATTCTGATTGCTTTTCTCCCTGGGAATAGACCGGCACCGAGTCATGGGAAAGTTAGAAGTGATCTGAACTACGATCTCTGTACGCCTGTAGGCTTCTGTTTCTCTCAGCATAGAACAGGAGAGGCCGATTGGAAACAATCGAACAAACAAATAAAAACCTGGGGAAAATAAAAACAAAAACTAACTAGGACAGACCTTGCACTAGCAGACACAGCTCATGTAAATTGGAAGGGAAAAGAGGCACCTACTGGAGAGGAGAGGGCTCCTGCGAGAGGTGATTTTGGTGCTGGGCAGAAATCCGGATTGGTGTGAGGAGATGAGCTGCTCAGTGGTGAATTGAGGGCCCTTTATTCCCTGTGCTCCTTCAAAACAAAGCTCATTAGGCCAAGCCACCTGCACCTTTTCAGCTGTCTCGGACAGAGGAATGGAATGGGCTTATATTCTGAAGTCCCTCTGCCTACTCATGTTCACTACCAAAAGCTGACGCCAAGTCCTACTAATAAGTGCTATTCTACCCAGGGCGCTGGACAAGGCACTTCTTGCAAGGCACGTATTTGACCCCCATTTTATAAATGAGAAAATTGAGGCTCCAAGATTAAGTACCAGCCCAAGGTCACACTTCCCAGCCTAGCACACTTCTGGCCTTCCCCACTATGGAACACTTGGGAATTTAGAATCCCAAACTTCAGTGCTACAGAGATCAAGCATTATGAGGCTCTGGGAGGTGGGTGGCAGTAAGGAGAAAATCTTCACCTGTTTGAGATTATTTAGAGCTCTGCTTAGAGGCAAGACGTTAGACAGGACACATGGGTGAGGTGACAGAGACCCGTACTGGTCTCTCTTTCTGAGCCTCAATTTTCCCACTCATAGCCAGAGGTAATTCCAGGCCACTCCCACAGTGGTTTTGAACCTCGAAGAAATCTCCTTGTTTATCACAGAGATTATCTACTGTACAGAATGTGTTAATCATGGGAGATGATGGAGGTGAGAAGAAGGATTTTTAGCAAGAAACAAAATCTTTCTTCTCTGTGTTGCTGGGGAGTAGAAAGTACCTTGCTTCACAAAAGCAAAAAAATAAAATGTAATATTAACTTAAAAGAAAAACAACATTCATGCTTAGAGTACATCGGCTTTCAGTTAGGCTTGTCCAAGACAAATTTAGACCCTCAGTCTGGCTTTACTTGCCACCAAGCACTACCCGGCCTCTGTAACCATCAGAGGGTTCTCTGGGATTGCAAACTCATTTTAATAACAGCCGAAGCAAAATAAAATTAGCAAGGTGAGTCTGCTGGGGGGAAAATCATATAATGCAAGTCAAAGGCAAATGCACACACTATTTTTAGATTCTGCATTGTAGGGGCTTATCTGCATTCCCCGCCCCTCTCCAGCCCGCAGACGTCCCCCCCTCGGCGTGGGTACGCAGAGTCTTTGCACCACACACACATCCGGGGCGCACACTCGTACCTTGACAGCACTCCACTTAGCTCACTGCCTTCGCCACCCACCTAATGCGCACAAGGGAAATGGAAATGCTTTTCCAGTGTTCCTCTGAATGAAGAGTTCTCTATTAGTCACCACCAGCCTGGCTGGGCCTCTGGTGGATAGTACCATCCCTGCTATGAGGTACCAAAATAAATGGCTTTTGAGGTACCACGGGGAAATATACCGAGACTCGCATACAATTAAAACAGTTATTAATACTTGCATTGTTCCTGGCTGTGGGTGTGCATGACACCTACCTTTTCCCTTTGGCTGGAGCGAAACAAGAGAACATATGTTCTCATTGCCGAGGCTACCAGCCGAGTCACCGAGTCACTGGGAGGAATGCTAAGTGCGAGGCCATACACCCCCTCCTCCCCGCAGCTCCTGCTCCTCCCTGCCAATCAGCCAGGCTTGGCCCATGATGGTCCGGGTTGGGAAACTGCAAGTCTGAGTTTCAACTACAAGATTTTCCAGACTTCAATTTTGCCATCTGTCTAAAATAATTTTTTTTAATTTGTGTGTGTGCGCGCGTGCACACAACATATGGGAAGGGGTAAATGTGGGGTGCAGCCAGGGGAGGGTGAGAAGCACAAAGAGAGCAGCAGATACTTTGACTCACCTTGTTGGGTAGAAGGAAGAAAAAAGAACAGATGTGAGGACACTGAGCTTTTCAAGGAATAAGTCTGAGGAATGATAATTAAGTTTTTATCATTTTTTGGGTGGTGGCAGGGGGATTTTTATTATTATTATTATTATCTTGCCTGGTTGGCTTCAGGTCATTCTGTCCTTCCCTCCTTCCTTCCCGCCCTTCCTCCTTCCCTCCCTCCCTCCCTCCTCCCTTCCTTCTTCCTTCCTTCTTTGTCTCATACTTTCTCCTTCTTCCTCTCATTTTCTCCTTTCTTCGTTGGGATTAGAAGCATGAACTTTAGAGTCTCATGGGTGATCCTAGACAAGTTGCTTAATCTCCAAACTCTCATTTTCCTCATCTGTAAAATGGGGATAATGTTACTTGTGGGTATTAATACAAGAGAAGAGTTGGCACAGAGCCTGGCACATAGCCCGTGCTCTGTGATGGGGAGTGTTGGTAATGGTTGTTATGATGCTGATCATCATCACCGTCATTATTCTTCTTTCCTCTCAATGTTTCTTGGGCCACCTCTAGGTATCAGGTTCTGGTCCAGGCTCTAGAGATAGACATTTTGGTCAAAGTCCCTGCCCTTGGGGCACCCACAGTCTTGTGGGGTAACCGTCTTGCTTCCACATTCACTCGGCTGCCTTTTAAAGGATGTAAGATTGTGAGTGAGCAGGACTAAGTGAAGGGGATACCTTGATTGCCAGGTGCTGGGGATGGTCGGGAGTGGGCAGAGTTTTGTATTTTGAGTTTTGATAATAGGATGGGCTAATGGGCCTAAAATTCATTTGTCACTTGGGAACCAAGGTTTCCTGGGACCAGGAAACTAGCAACGGCAGAAGCACAGTTGGTTTCAGTGTCAATATTTGCCACATGTGGTGAGTAAACAAAGTCTCCTAGGTCAGAAGCCAGCTGTCTGGGAAGGGGAGATGGTGTCCAGCAGGGGCCCTGGTAGAGACCAGACAGCTCTCTGCAGAGCAGACAAAAGAATTCCAGAGGGAGGAAGAATAAGAACTATCTTTCCAGCTCCCCGTTGGAGTGTTAGGCGGGTGGTGAAGGCAGCCCAGATAATCTCAAGATGAAATAGCCCTGGGGTAATTGAGATTTGGAGACTGGAGCTCCGAGCAATATTCCTTCAAAATCACTGGTTTGCATAATGGAGTTGCTGGGCAGCCCTGAAATTCTCGGCAGGCTCTGGCTTCTGCTCCCCTACTGCTCACACGTTCACCACTGGCTGTTGCACCAGGTCCTAAGCCCTTTTATGTGCATCTTTACGGCATGACCCACAACTGCAGTCACATTTTCAGAGAAACTGCAAGTTTGCTCTGCTAATTTAAGAAACCTCCAAATTCAAACTTACCAAGTAGATAAATTAGGAGGTGGTTATTTGCATCCCAGAAAGTCTTCTATTTTACAATAGGATTCAGCCACAAGAATCCTTTAACTATCAGCTTCTTCTAGATCATTTTGGGGTTCATTTATACCTCACAGAGGCTTTGGGGGAAGACATAAAATTAAAGAATTAGAACTACTGTTGATGTTGATGTCTCAACAGTTGGAAATGAAGCTAAAACACCTAGTATTATGATGAAACTCAGTGGCAAATACTGTTTGATTCACAAAACCTTGATTGTTATACCATTATTTAAAAGTTGTATTAAATATGTTTTCATTCATTCATGCAACAAACGTGTACTGAATACCTACTATGCGCCAGGCAATGTGATCTAAGACATAGTCCTCATTTTCAGGGAGCAATAAATCAACAGTGACAGTGTGGAATGGGAATTGCTGTGAAGGAGGGTAAGCAGCAAATGCACTGGACTCATCAAGGAGGGTCTAGATCAAACTGAAAGAGGAGCAGTCAGGGAAAGGCTTCCTGGAGGAGGTGAAGCTTAAGGTAGGTTCTGGAAAAAGAGTAGGTATGTGCTAGCTAAAGAAGAAGGCAAGGGCTATCCAAGCAGAAGCAACATGCCATAGGAAGGCATCATGTTCTAGGGCCCCCAGGGGCAGTGGATGGAGGTGTGGGAGTGACAAGGATAAGAAGGAGGACAGAGGCCAGCCAGGGTAACAAAGGATTTTCTGCGCCTCATCAGATCGATTGAACTTTTCCTAAAAGCAATGTGGGCCGTTGAATTGTGTTCATCAGGGAGACCAACATGATCCTATTTGCATTTGAGAGAGATCATTCTGGAAGGAGGAAGGAGGGTGGACTGGGGAGCCACGCAGGGAAGAGGCAGCCACACAGGAAGTGGCCAGGGCCTGACTGAGGTGTTGGGAGGAGGGGTGGAGAAGCCAGTTTTGGTACCAGGTCAGGGGGTTGGATCCACGGGACTGTGTAACTGGAGGGATGTGGAGTGTGGAGCACTGCAGTAACCACAGCTGCCACGCGCTGTCTGTTTACCCTGCACCTGGCACCGGCACTGTGTGCCCCACGTACATCTGCCATGGGCATGAGGTCTGGGGGTTATGAGGCTGAGCGCGGGGATGACATCCCCAGGACGTCCAGGTCACCAGGCCTGAGGGTAGTAGGATGAGTACTTAGAACCAGGCACCATCAGCAGCGCCACAAAGGGTCTGTAGGTGACAGACAAGAAGGAGTGGGCTAGGAAGCCTATGCCCAGCAGCAGGATTGAGGTCCTGACACGGCATTTTTGTTTGAAGATGCAGGAATAACCACATGGAAGTGAGAATGGGATGGAAACACAGGCCTCCCCCACCCCGCGCTGGCTTTCTGAAGGGGATCTTTGCACAGCCCTCGTGGCTCTTCCCCAGCCGGCAGCCAGCTCTTCCTCCTCCAAAGAGGCCTGCCTGTGTACCTCCAGATGCATCTCATCCTGAGCTCAGTGGCAAATATTGAACTATTTTTCAGAAGTGTTAATTGGGATTTTTAATTGACCATAAGCGGGTTCTCAAAGGCTGTTTTTCTCTGGCGGTTGTTTATTCTCTGGGGGACGATCCTGCCCAGGGTGGTATCATCGTTCAGCAAAGCGCGAGCCTCCCTGCCCCCCAGTTGCCTCTCCTTCAGTTTTGCCTTATTTATTTATTTATTTATTTATTTATTTTGAGATGGAGTCTTGCTCTGTTGCCCAGGCTGGAGTGCAGTGGCACAATCTTGGCTCACTGCAGCCTCTGCCTTCCGGGTTCCAGCAATTCTCCTGCCTCAGCCTCCTGGGTAGCTGGGATTACAGGTGCACGCCACCATGCCCGGCTAATTTTTGTATTTTTAGTGGAGACAGGGTTTCACCATGTTGGCCAGGCTGGTCTCAAACTCCTGACCTCAGGTGATCCACACGCCTCAGCCTCCCAAAGTGCTGGGATTACAGGCGTGAGCCACCGCACCTGGCCCAGTTTTGCCTAATTTAAAAATAAGAGAAAGTAAAGCAAAGTCTGTGCTGTCTTAGGAGGAAGGACCTGAAATGCTTTGTTTAAGGGTAGGCGGTGAACCCTGACTGGCTCCATCTCTGATAGTGGTCCTGTGGCTTGCAGCATTGTTAAAATATTATAGAAGGTCCTGCTCTGCTTCTGGCTGGGCGGAGGGGAAGCCCCCAGTTCACATTACAGCTTCTACCCCTGGCACTGGTCCAGTGTGTGGGGGCGAGAATCTGGCACAGACATGTTTCTATCACAGTTGCCACTCCAGCCAGGGAGCTGACTCCTTGCTTCCCCATATTGATCAGTGCTCCTTAGAGCCATCCTAGGAACCCAGCTTGTCACGATCAAGGTGTTAGTTATCGATAGTGCAAAGCAGGTCAGTCACTAGCTAGCTGGCCTCACGTGTGCTACATCTGGCCCAATACTGGCCTTTGGCTGGCTGGGAGCTCCTGCTTCTCAGGATGTGGGTTCGAACTGGCTGGGCTTCCCTAGTGGTCACAAGAGTGCTGGGGAGCAAAGGCCGTTTCCCAGGGACTCTGGGTGAAAGGGCTTTCTTGGCATGAAGGAGGATAGGATAGGATGTGATGTGGTGTGGTCTGACCTTCTCTGGAAGGAGACCCGGGGCTGCAGTGGACTCCCGTAGTAGACTTCTCTGAACCTCAGTTTAGCATCTTTGAGACCATCTCTGCCCATCCTACTTCATGGGGCTGCAGATAGACTTGAAAAGATTTAGGAACATTGTAGAGCACTGTTATGATGAATAAACTCATTCATTCTTCAAACATCTACTGGGCAGTCGCCAGGCACCATCCAAGGCCCCGTGAATTCAGAATTGAATCTGGCCAGGCTTCTGAACCATCTTCCAAACTTGTGAGCTCCCAAAAGATGAAGGACGCCACACAAGCACGAGGTCTCTTTATTAAGTGACCTCCTGCCCACCCAAAACTGAATACTGGTCACTGCCCACCCTTGTGCCATGCTTTTTGTTACTAACTCTCGACCCTCTGTCAGCTTAGGCTGCCCCTGTTTTGATGATCATTCAGCCTCTGGAGTGATGGTAAGGACAAGCCCAGGAGGGAAGTGGGCTGGGTGGAGTGTATGTGTATGTCCAGCATGTCTTTGGATATCTTCTGTGTCAGTTTGGGTCCTCTAAGAAGCAGATGTCTGATGCAATCAAATGTGCAGCTGACTTACTGGGAGAAAGTTCTGTGGAACATAAAGTGGGGATGGAGCAGAAGTAGTTGGGGGAGCCTTCAGAGCCACTGTGGGTACTGGGCGGGGATGGCCCGGCTCTGTGCCTCTGGGCACTCACTAGTCAGTGGGGAGCAACCTGAGAGCTCCGGGTCTTGGTGTGAAACTGCGGTGCATGTGGATGTGGAAGGTGGTCCACCTACCAAACTCCTCCCAGCTCTTCTCCCTGGCAGGGAGGTCTGTGCAGCACTCTCCTGTGACTGCCACCGTCTGTTTTCCTGCGTCACCTCCCTTCGGACTTTGCCGTCTCTCCGTTCCTTGCAACACCAACCCCTCTGCTCTGGGGTGACATCGTTAAGCCCAAAGTTCCTATTCACATTCTCATTTCTGAGCCACTCGCCTGGACCTAACTCCTCTTCACATTCGAGACCCAGCCGTGTGCTACAGCCCCGTCCCTGTGTAATAATTCCTCCCGGGGGCAGCCACCAAGGCCAGAGCTCCCCACCACAGGCTCTGCTTCCCTGCCACCTTGGGTAGCTCCTGCCTTTGTCTGCTCAAACCCTGTTGGCCAAATCCATATGCTTGCTGTCTGGTCCCTTCTCCTCCCTTCATTGCTGGGTGTCACCAGGGCCAGCCTCTCTCTCATCAGGACCTGCCTGTCCTGTGCCTCTTTTCTGGAGGGATGTAACCCAGGCAGCTACACAGATTTAGGAATTCAAGCTAAAGTTCTGTGAGTCATACTGACTTGATGAATTACCTCTTCCGGGTAATATTACAGGTTCACAGAGGTTTGCAGTGCCGTAGCCCTAGAGTACGGTGTTGTGCGTAAGTGTCATGTGCGTTGGCAAAACTAGTTGGATGGGGCAGAGCAATGGAATACCTTCTTCTCCCTCAGAGCATCCCGCTGTCTGGGCTGCCAGTGAACTCTCCTGGGAATATGTGTGGGGCTGTGGTATACAGGGCAGAGGGTCAGGGTTTCTAAAAACATCATGGTTTAAAACAACCAGATTCCGAAATGGATGGAATAGACATTTCTCCAAAGAAGATATACATGTAGCCGATAAGCACATGAAAAGATGCTCAGCATCGGTCATTAGGTGATGATTACATTCAAATTAAAATCACGATGAGATGCCACTTCACACCCATTAAAATGACTACTATTTAAAGAAAAAAAAATAATAATAACAAGAGATCAAACCCCCAGGTGGATGTGGAGAAATTGGGACCCTTGTGCACTATTGATGGGAATGTAAAATTGTGTAGCCATTCTGGAAAACAGTATGATAGTTCCCAAAAAGTTTTGTTTAATATTTATAGATTGAGGATGTACAAGTGCAGTGCAGTTCTTTTTTACATGTATCTGTTGCATGGCAGTGAAGTCTGGGCCTTTAGTGGAGCTGCTAAAGGCCCAGACATCATAGGCTCAGACATTGTTACCCGTTAGGTAATTTGTCATTCCTCATCAAAATATTAAACATAAAATTCCCATATGACCCAGCAATTCCAGTTCTGGGTAGATTCCCAAAAGAATTGAACACAGGGTCAGTTTCCACACCCATGCCCACAGCAGCAGCCTTCACAATAGTTAAAGGTGGAAACAACCCAAGGGTCCATTGACGTGTGAATAGCTAAACAAAATGTGGTACAGCCACACAATGGAATATGATTCAGCCTCTAAAAAGAAGGAAATTCTGGCTGGGTGCAGTGGCTCACGCCTGAAATCCCAGCACTTTGGGAGGCCGAGGCAGGTGGATCACGAAGTCAAGAGATCGAGACCATCCTGGGCAACATGGTGAAACCCCGTATCTACTAAAAATACAAAAATTACCTGGGTGTGGTGGCGTGCACCTGTAGTCCCAGCTACTCAGGAGGCTGAGGCAGGAGAATTGTTTGAACCTGGGAGGTGGAGGTTGCAGTGAGCCAAGATCACGCCACTGCACTCCAGCCTCGGCGACAGAGCGAGACTCCGTCTAAAAAAAAAAAAAAAAAGGAAATTTTGACACATCCTACAACATGGATAAAACTTGAGGACATTATGCTAAGTGAAATGAGCCAGTCACAAAAGGACCAATACTGTATGATTCCACTTATACGAGGTACCTAGAGTACTCAAATTCCTAGAGACAGAAAATAGAAGGGTGGTTGCCAAGGGCTGGGGCAGGAAGGAATGGGGGGTTAGTGTTTAATGGGTACAGAGTTTCATCTGCAAGATGAAGAGTTCTGGAAATGGATAACGATGGTTATTGCACAACAATATAAATGTACTTAACACTGCTGAATGGTACACTTAAAAACGGGTTGGTAAATTTTATATTATGCATATTTTGCCATAATAAAAAAAATGTGGAAAAAAAGTCAAGGACTACCATAAGAGAAGAAAGAGACAAATAGATCCATTCCAGGTTTGCCTGAGAATCTTTATGTTGGATCTTCCCATCAGTGTATGCGACAGGGCAGGACCAATATCCTGAACACAGAGGTTAGAAACCAGAAAACTGTCAAAGGGAACCCTTACAAAAGAAGGAGCTATGTGAGGCAGGTGGCCTTGTGCAGGAGTCTGAGCACAAGAGTCAGCCAAATTTAAGTTTGATCCTAGTGCTGCTGACTCAATGCTGTGTGATGTTGGACAGGTGATCTAACCCCTCTGAGCCATGGTTCCCTTATTGATAAAACGAGATGACAATACTAACACTACCAGAGCCGTTACAAAGCTAAAAGCAATCTGTGATGTGCCAAAGGAAGTTCCTAGCAAATAGAAGGTCCTTGTTAAATGTTAGCTCCCATATTAGTCCCTGAAGAGTCTGTGGAGGAGGTGGGGTTTTCAGGCTGCTTAAATGCCAGCAGCTGCCTCAGATGACAAGGGAGGTTGTACTATTAATGGGCGAGCATGGGAGATGTCCTTTTCCAAGGTGTTGGGCAGGGATTGAACATGTTGGAAGTGAGCTGAATAGTGAGCACTAAGCTCGTGGTTGTAACTATGGGAGATTAGCATTTCCAGCCCCCATGTGAAGCCAGATAATGGAAGGGAGAGCAATTAAATAGACGCTTGGGAAACTCTCCACTGTATCAGGCACCCTGCTAAGCACTGGGGAAGCACAGACAAGGGGAGACGGGTCCTGACCAGCTGCTGCTCCCAGGCCAGGCAGCAAGATGAGTGTCCCTGGGATCTACACCCACCCTGGGGGGCCTGCAGGGAAGAGAAGTGCGGCCTCCCCAGGAAGATGGTTTCACATTAACCAATGACCAAACTGAAACAGGGAAAACACTAACTCCTGTTTTTCTTTAGTAAATAATCTTCAAAGAGCACATTATACATTTATGATTTCTACCCTGAGAGGTACCCCTAGTTCTCCTTGCAAATGCTTTTCTTCAATCCCCACTTCATTTTCCTTAAGAGCCATTCCAAGTCTCTTCCTTTCTCGATACCCCAAACCAGCTCACATCCCACTCAGGGGTGAGATGCCCTCCTCACCATTGAAGAGATCAAGCCCCCAGGGGGGAACCAGCTCAACTTCCCCCTCTGTCTCTCCGAAGTAGCCTCCTGTTTGAAAACTCGAGGCAGCTGTACCCCGTGCGAAGCTTCTTGCTCCCGTCTCCCCATGTCTTCCAGGATTTTCCTTCATAGTTGGGGATTACTCGCTAACCTTTCCTTCCTCACCTACTTCCCCTTTTCCTTCAGCTTTCACCGTGTTTAAATCTTCTAATAATTCTTTTTATGACATCTTGTTTTTCAAGCTCTTCTCCAGTGATCCCTCCACTTCTCCAATGGCCCTTTTCACTAAACCTCCAAATTTGTCTTTGCTGACATTTATTGAGCTGCTATTACATGTTCTAAATGCTTTACTTGTCGTATTTAATCCTAACAACAACCTACAAGGTAGGCCTTGCTATTATCTCCATTTTATAGTTGAAGAAACTGAGGCTGCTTGAATTAATAACTCACCCAGCATCACATGGCTGTAAGTGTTGGCACCAGGATTTAAATCGAGGCTCATGGCAAGCACCCGGTTTTCCAACCAGGAAAGAAGTCTCTCCATCGTCCCCACTGACTCCCTCAATGCCGCTTCTTGGAGTGCTCATCCTTTGGATCTCTCTGTACACCCTCAAAACTGTAGCATTTGGAATTCACGTTTTGGGGTTCCATGATACCACTCCGCCAGCTCTCCTCTAACCCCTCCTCAGGTTGTCTTAGTGAGCTCTTCCCTGCATCTACCTGCTGCATGTTGGCTTCTCACTTGCTCTGGCCTGAGCTCTCTTGTCTTGTTCTACGTGTGCTCTCTGGACAAGCTTACCTGCTCTGATTCTAACCACCCCCGGAACACTGGTGACCCAACATACACATCTGCAGTTCCTACCATGCTCAGCATGTCTTGAAATGAGCTCATGGCCACCTTTTTCATTTCAAATCTATTCTGCAGGTTGGTTAGCAAAAAAAAAAAAAAAAAAAGAAAAAGAAAGAAAGAAAAGAAAAAAAAGATCTGCCCTGTTATTTAGGACAGAGATCATGGAAAACATCATCTGTGATGTCTTTGCCTTTCTCGCATCCCTAATTCTCATAGATAACCAAGTCCTCTTGAGTCTACCTTCTCAGTAGCTGTGGACTCTCTTTCTCTCCCTTTTTTCCTACTGTCACTGCTTTTCTTTAGGACCTTGTAATATCTCCCTTGAGCACTTATTGTGTTGCTTCTGTTGTCTTCCCTCTAATCCATCCACCATACGGCTGCCAAGCATCTTTCTAAAGTCCTTTCTGTCATGCTGTGTACATCCCCTGTCTTCCAGTCACCTAAAGGCTGAAGGTCAAGTCCTTAGCAGGCATCCAAAGCCAGCACAGCCTGGCTCCAGTGCACTTCCGGCCTCATCTTTGATTACATACTTCACTTGCCACCCACCTGCACCCTGGGCTTTATTCATATTAACTATTCACAAGTCCCTGGAAGGAAATCATACATTCATATCTGCACCAAAGAGCAGGCAGTTCAAGATCTGTCTGTTCCACGATGCTTTCCTTAACCCCCAACCAGGATGGCTCCTTCCCCTGGGTTCTCATCTAAGTTAGTTCAAGCCACCAACGTGCCACTTAGCACACCATATTATGGCTTAATGTTTAAGTGTACACCTCCTTGGCTAGATGGTCCAGAGACCTAGCTTTTCTCACCTCCTTGGCTAGATGGGGCAGAGACCTAGCTTTTCTCAGCTGTGGCTCTCCAGAGCCCAGCATTCATTTGAAAGGAGATGGTCTGGGGGCATAGCACATTGTAGGCGCTCTATAAACCTTAGTTTCTCTCTATTTTGAGACACGAACAGAACAGGTTTCAAGAGAGTATATATGGACACATATCTTTTTTTTTTTTTCTTTTGAGATGGAGTCTAGCTCTGTTGCCCAGGCTAGAGTGGAGTGGTGCTATCTCAGCTCACTGCAACCTCTGCCTCCCAGGTTCAGGTAATTCTCCTACTGCCTCAGCCTCCCAAGTAGCTGGGATTACAGGCACCTGCCACCACGCCCAGCTAATTTTTGTATTTTTAGTAGAGACAGGGTTCCGCCATGTTGGCCAGGCTGGTCTCGAACTCCTGACCTCAAGTGATCCATCCACCTCAGCCTCTCAAAGTGCTGGGATTATATGCATGAGCCACCGTGCCCAGCCTATGGACACATATCTCAATTTAAAAAATATATATATATGTGTATATATATATATATATATATAAAGATAGAACCTAAAAATGACAGAGGGAGGGAAACCCTTATCCGCTACACAAAGCCACACTTCACTGAGAAAAGAACCTGCTTGTACATTCAAAATAAGTCATCTCAAAAATGGCATCTCATGTTTGCATAAAGACACTAGACTGGACAAGAAGAGAACATGATGGCCACAGGACATCTTGATTTGAATGACGCTTTTAACAAAGTCTCTGACTATGTCCTTGTGGGCTAGGCTGAGAAATATACTTGGAAAATAGTCAAACAAGACTTTGGGGTCTCAGTTTCTTCACCTGTAATATGAGAGGCTTAGATTGGACAGCCCCTAAGTTTCTTCAGAGAGGAGAGGTAAGAAACTGAGACCCCAAAAGCCTGTTTTTCTTTTTTTAAAATGCAGCTTATTAGTAGCATCACGGGGCCCAGAATTTATTTCTCCCAGCTCTGGAGCCCATGCTGACACAGGCTTTTCCCAGCATCCTTTGGTTTGTCAATGGCTGAACAATCATGTCCAAAGAATGTAGTTTAACAAGCTGATGTGTACCTGGAGGGAGATGTCAAATGGGGGGGTGCAGGGCTTGATCCTTGACCCTGCCCATTCAGTCATTTATAAAGCTTTGGAGTAAAACCCAGAAGGCATGTTTTTCAAATAGATGAATGACACAGAATGCAGAAGGGAGAGCTGATACGTGGGACTCCAGAATCAAGATCCGAAACACCTTTCAGATTGGAATGATGGGATGAAAGTAAGGAGATGGATCTTAACAGAAACAAATGGAAAGTCTTGCACTGAGGTTCCAAAAAATCGATTCTGTAAGTACAGGCTGGGGAACACTTGACTTGATGTAGGTTCAGATAGTAACGGTTAGAGTTGATAACAAGAGGATCTTAGGGTGTCTTGGCTGGCTGCTGAAATGCCACGGCAAGATGCTGAAGATCTTTCTTGAGCTGAATTAAAGTTAGATTCCAAAGCAGAGGACGGAATGCTTCCCGTACTCTGTGCTGTTCAGACCACATCAGAGCCCAGGCTCCAGTTCTAAGCATCACACTTTTGGAGGGACTTTGAGAAACTGAACATGTTGGAAGTGGGCACTCAAGATGGCGAGGGGTCTGGAAATGCTGTCTAATGAGAAACACAGGAAAATGAAAGGATGGTCTTCCTGTGCATAGGGGAAGTAGACCAGTTTCATGGGCTCCAGAGGGCAGAACTTGGGAGCTGTAGAACAACCGGTTTCAGTTCCATTCCATGCAGGGGAGTCATTTCAACGGAGTCTCCCCATCCAGCAATAAATACCTCCGTGCAGGTCATGAGCTTCCTACCGCTAAAGGTGTGCGAGCAGGGCCTGGATGCCCCTTGGTCAGGGAAGCAGAGGGGAAAAGATTGATTGAGGTGCTCTTGAAGGTCTCTTCTAGTGATCAGCTTCTGATTTTTATTATGATTATGATATTACTCTAATTATAGAACCATAGCGGCTATGACTCTACGTGTCTGCATACATTTTTAAAACCAGACCTCCCCTTTCTCAGCCCATGATTCAAGCTAAGTGATAGTTGTAGTTTAAAATCCTGACCAACATCTAGTTATCGAGTACCTACAATGGACAGAGCCCTATCCTGAGTGTGTTTGGGGGAGGGATGGGAGAGAGAGAGAAGTACAACAGAAAAGGCCTTTACCTTTTGGTATCTCAGACAAAACCCACTCAGAACGGCTCCGAGTGAGACTGTGGGGGTGGAGAAAGTGACAGGCAAAAGGTGGGGGTCTCCCCTGCTCTCAGTCACAGTAAGCAAGAAGGAGACAAAAGGGGCTGATTTAGCAAAGAGCAAAGAAGCCTGGAAAAGCAGAGGAGGAGGCGGCCAAGCAGCAGGGAGGCAAGGAGAGGAGAATGGTACTGTGCCCAAGGACTGCATCATTAGGAACCTTGCCTTAGGAAAAGGACACCTTGCATCACCTCTGCACCAAGGTGTGAAGACTTCACACCCCCGCTAGGCCCAGCTCTCCAGTGAAATGGACATATTTATTTTTAATAGAGCCCATTTCAGGTAGTTGTGTTTTCAAAGGCTGATGTACTCCTAAGGTACTTCTCATGCTCACAGCTTAAAAAAAAAGTCATTTCAGAGTGGAAATGTTGAACTAGGGCTGGGTGGAGGACAGTGCCCTCCTGCAGTAAGGCCCCCTGCAGCCCCACCCACCCTCGGGTGGGATTCCACTCCCATCTCTGAAAGCCAGAGCTTGTGGAAATGAAAGTTGTGAGCAAAACCCCCCTGGGGAGAGAAGGTAGAGCAGAAGAGAGGAGAAAAAGCCTCTCCCAGCCCCTCCCCTGTTCCTTTTTCTGAACATGTAGTGTCGATGTAGTCATGGCTTTTAAACAACATTACACACACTTGTCGTCCAAGATAAAATGTTATTAAGATTAAACGCCGAGCAGGGAACGAATCCGACTTCCCACTGTCATATTTCAGCTATGGTGAGTGATTGCCTTTCGGTAGCCCCGGCTCCTAAGCAGGGAAACGGCATTATTATCATTAATAAGCCCATAATGGGGAAGAGAAATTATAAACATTTCTGCAACAAGCGGTCCTCCAATGTTAACATTTTATGAGCACACAGAGAAGCCTGCAACTGAATGTAAATGGCAGAATTATACATAACCATAATGTAAACATGCAAAATTGGGTTGAGTCAGTGGGAGTGGGGAGGCCGTTGGCAGAGGGCTAGGTAGCACTTACAGACTGGGCGGGTCCCCAAAGGCAGAAAGTGGAAAGCTCCAGGGTCCCTGTTACTCAGACTCACCCCTCCCTGCCCCTTGTGTTTTCAGGGAGGTCCATCTCCCTAGGATCCCCGTGTGCAGAGAAGCTGCCCACCTGCTTCCTCACGTAACACGTCATCCTTGGCACTGGTCACTTTAGACTTACTCCTGAGACAGCCCACTCATTATCACCCTAAATGCTGTTTCCTGGGGATTTTCAAGTCTATTCACATGTGTGTGTTTCCTCCCTCATAAAATGTAGTATACACATCTGGGGGACAGAGATCCTGTCCTTTGTAATCTCGAAGGGCCAAACGCATGTGTCACGGGAGCCCTAGGGAGGTTTTCTGGCTAGTTGTTTTGGTTTGAGGTTTTAGCTGTGGAACCCTTGCTTCAAACCAACAGTCTCATGGGAGCCCAGTGAACAAGGCAGCTGCTCTGATGGAAGCAGGGTGAGCCCAGAGCCCCTCTACTCTCCCACACCCTCTTTCTTCCCAGGGTTCCCTGTGGTAGCTTCATGAAGCACAGAGTGAGAACTACTGAAAGGTTCCCTTTTTCTGTTTCCAGATGATAAAACAAGAATAAGTGTGACCTGCCTGGCCTACGCACAAGATCCCAGGTCCCCTGCCTTCCAGGGAGGGGTGAGCATGGTCCAGAGGTGGCTGGGCTCCTCCTCCAGCTCTGTCATGAACTGGCTGGTAGCCTTGGACATGTCTCACTACCTCTCTGAACCTCATGTCCTGTCTGTAAAATAAATGCAGATAGCTTGGTGATCCCTAATCCTTCCAGCTCGGAAATCTCAGAGGCGTACAGGCCTCAAGGAAATCACAGTGGCCACTGCTGTATCCAATGCGACTGATGTTGAAAGGCCCGTGAGGGCAGCTTGGAGACCCGTGGGTGCCTCCATCCCTTGGGAGGTCTGTGGTCACTTACCAAGCCAGCCTGGGTGCTGTTTTGGGGCTTTAAGCTTCCTGGGGCAGGAACTTTGTGAGACTCCCCCATGCTGGGATTGGACATACTGGGCTCAGAGCCCAGGACTGGAACTGGCCATGAGGGCAGGGATCACAGTGCCCCAGCACAGTGCCCAGCTCTTAATAGGTACTCAGTAGAATCTGTTGAACAAATAAATGGTTGGATTAATGAATTGCTTTATAGTTTTGTTAGTTAATGAAGTGAAGCAGCTCTGTCTTCAGCTTTACTTCATTGTGTTCTTTGGTTTTGTTTTTTTCAGTATAGTCTCTGGCTTTTGGAAACTATTTCTGGAGTGCCTACTAGGTGCTGGGAGCATGCTGGCGGCTTGATGAGAGGACAAGAACACCTCCGGCTAGAAGCCTGTCTCTTTTCCCTTCCCCCATCCCCACCTCCTTGACTTTCCCTTTCCCCCTGCTCCTATTCATTATTTCTCTCTGCAGTTATGTTATTATTGGCCTTGGCAAAGAGTTTCAGGGGTGTCGTTTGTCTGAGCAACATTATGCAGAATTAAGTTCCAGGGTAATTTCTGATGCAAATACCTATCCTCCAGGAGAATGTGAATTAAGCCTGCTGGTCTCAGCTCGACAGAGGCAGCTGCATTTGAATCCAGGTCTCCAGCAGTCAGGGAAGCTCCAGGAGGGTGTGGGACCCCCTTGGGTTCCTCCTTGGGAGGCTCCTGAGTAGCCCATGATGTGGGTCCCAGGGCAGGAGGGAGCCTTGAGTGATCATCTCCTTCACCCCCACTCTATGTCCCATCTAAGCACCCCAGAAGCTGAGGATCTCTGCCCTGACCTCATCCCTGCCTTCCACAGGGAAGGAGTTTCCAGAAACACGTTTCATACCCTGCTGGCAGGAAGTTTGTCTTTATAGCTAACCCAGTCTTTCTTGCTATGTATTACTATCCTTTCACATTTCAGCGTGCCTACAAATCCCCGAAGGTTTGTGTTATCAGACAGGCTCTGATTTCTCAGGGCAGGGCCTGAAATTTTGCATTTCTGACCTGACCAGCTCTCGGGTGATGCTGTCCTGCACAGCACACTTCAAGTAGCTTAGAAAACACAAAGAAGGTAAAGCAAACATAAAAGCAACACGCAAACAGCTCTGCTTATTGCAGCTTCTTTGTATGCGTCCCTTAAACGTTTCTGTCTAGAACCACTTTGTCTCTGTCTACAAATTCCTTAGCCTCTGTGAGTCTCGGTTTCCTCATCAGTAAAACTGGGGTGATGATGCCTCTGTCCTGCAGCTGTTGTGAGGTTACCTGCCGGAAACAGAAGCCCCTGGGAAGATGAGGGGAGGAGGATGGTGGTTGTGCTGCTTCCCTGGAGCTATGAGGCATGGAAGGGGTCTCTGTTGCTCCGAGACCTGCCTTTTGCATAGGGCTGGTGTCCTCAATGATAGCCAGTAGGCGAGAGCTGAAAGGGTTACTCACTTTCCATGGAGAGTATGGAGGTTGCCAGCAGGGCAGAGCCAATCCGTGCCCTGGTTAGGACGACCTTGGTTAAAAAGGGAAAAGAAGACTATTTGTGTAACTCGGGATAGCATTTAGCACTTAGTGGAAGCATTTTGAAGATGCTGGTGATTAGATTGTACATTCATTTAGGGCCTTCAGCCTCTTCGAAGTATCTTCCCACAGCCTCTCTTCATGGCCCTTTAAGGCAGGTAAGGTGGGCATGCATCATTCCCATCAGATACAAGGCACAGAGAGGCTGGGGGACCTGCCCAAGGTCACACAGCATGTCCTTGGTGGAGCCCAGCCCAAAATCCCATTCCCTGCCTCCTGGTCCTGTGTTCTTCCTGCCTCCCTTAAAGATAGGAGCTGCAAGTCTGTGTGGGGAGGAGGCGGGAATGGGTGGCTCTTCTCCCTGCCTGGATGATGTTGGGCTGAGGAGGTGAGAAGCAGGCTGCTTCTCTCCCCTATCCTTCCCAACTCTTGTCCTGCTGGGACTGAGACCATTGTCAGGAAATAGCAGGCCTGGCCTGGGCCCATCCCCGAGAACACAGCCCTCCCTCTCCCCACTGCTTGGAGATGGGAGGGCATTGGTGAGCTGCCAGGCCTGCCCAGGTGCCACCCTTGATGGTTCATGGGCACAGCCAGCCCTGTCCCTGCCTTCTCTGCCCCTCGGGGTTGGCACCTCTGTAGCAGTTTTACGCTCCAAATTTTCTAAGTCATTATCTTCCCAGACACCATTCTTTTTCCTGTATTGCTGCTGCTATTGAGAATTCCATTCTTCCCTCCCCTTCTGCCAGTACTGGCATTCTCTCCTCACCCATCATCTGAATGAGCGCTTCTTCCTCCCTCCTTCCTCCAACAGCTGTCGCCGACCACGGGGAATGGCTTGGCCATGCTTGTCCTGGGTCTGCAGGAGAAGCTGCCTGGGTTCCTCGCAGGACTCCCCATAGACATCCTTGTTACTTGGACCACGTGGCCCATCTGGCCATGAGGACAAATGTGGTCAGATCCAAGGTCCAGACCATCCAGCCCTCTTTCCCCTAAGCTCCCTGGGACCTTTGCATGGGAGTGCAGGACATGTGCCATCTATTAAGCTGCCCTTACCAGTTTTGTTAATTATTCAGAATCTTGATGTCTTCTCTTAAAGCCTAGAGAGACTACACTTCTAAGCTCTGATTTCCTCACTTTTCAAACAGAATGCTAATATTAACCTTCCAGGGTTTAGAGGAGTGTTCAGTGTGCCATACACTGTTGGGTACATAGTAGATGCTCAAAAAATAATTATTGAAACAAAACATTGCAAAGAATTAGAGGGTTTAAATGCAGATTAGGCCAGTCATGGTGGCTCACACCTGTAATCCCAGAACTTTCAGAGGCTGAGGCAGGAGAATTGCTTGAGCCCAGGAGTTTGAGACCAGCCTGGGCAAAATAGCGAGACCCCATCTCTAAAAAAAAAAAAAAAAAAAAAATAGCCAGGCATGGTGGAGCACACCTGTAGTCCTAATTACTTGCGAGGCTGAGGTAGGAGGATTACTTGAGCTCAGGAGTTCGAAGCTGCAGTCAGCCATGATTGCATCACTGCACTCCAGCCTGGGTTACAGAGCGAGATCTTGTCTCTAAAAAAATTAAAAAATAAAAAATAAACGCAGAGTGGCTCCAAATCCAAATAGCCCTTGACTTCTCCCTCCTCCTTGAACTTCTTTACCTGTGATCTCTTTGGCTTGCCTCCTCCCGCTCTGGCCTCTCCTCCTTTTCTTCCTGTCTCTCCTATAAATCCTCCCAGAGTCCTTGGCCTTCTGCCTGCCCCCATCCACATTCTGCATGTAGACATCTGGGGTACCCCTGTGTCTGCAGCTCTGCAGAGATGGGGTTAATAAGAGCCTACCCACAGCCAGCAAATTCTCACAGTCACAGACTCATAATCCTAAAGAGGAAAGACATTCAATGTGTCATAATCCACTTTCCCACTTAGTGCCTGAGTCACCGGTTCTTGGATCCAAAGTGTAAAGATCAAGCTAAATAAATGTGAGTTACCATCATCATCATCATCGTCATCATCAGGCTTGTAGATGGTATGGCAGATGAGCTTCACCTGGTGGCCTGGGTGGTCCTTGCCTCTGTGGTCAGATCTCTGAGGCCCTGAGGGTCCTGAGAACCCCTCTGCCTCTTTCTCCCGCTCCCAGGCATGTGCCTGCCTCTTCCTTAAAATTCTGGATTCCCTTTATATGCAGGTGCCCACCGGAAAGGACTCTTGAAGGTGCCGTAGTCATTTACACCTGAGTATGACCAAATTGGCCACAAGCAGGCCAAGAGAACTTTGCAAGGAGAGGAGGCTCCAGGTGCCGGGGGGCATGTGCCCAGGACTCTGCAGTGTAGGGCAGGGACCAGGGCTGGGGAGGCTGATGGAGCAATGGCAGCTGTGGACCCGCAGTGCGAAGGCTCCTGCTCTTGGCTCTGCCACTGGTGGGATCAGGCCCAGTGCCTGCTTCTTTCTGAGGCCCAGTTACCACTTGTGCAGAAGGAAGGGTCAGACCCAATCATGCATTGTGCTGTCCTCTGGGAACTAATCCCACCTGAGACTCAACAGAGGGCGGTATGAGCACTTGACCGCACCTCTGCCCATATGCTGAGAGCAGGTCAGTACTGGGACACCCTGGAGTTACTAAACTCTAAGCTAAGGGTGATCCACCCAGCCCTATCACTCCTTCCCAGCTCCATCTCTCCACATAGTTCAAGGTCAGGCTCAACCATGTCAGCCCATGGAGGTCTTTGGCAGGAGCTGGGGCTCCTGTAGTGGGGAGGGAACCTGGTACCTCAATTCTGGATCTCACCTTCTCTTCCCTGCAGCCTTGTCCCAACATTTACTGGCTTTGGGTCCAGTGGCACAGATGCAGCATCAGAACCCTCCCTCCCATCCTCAAGGCTGTAGATCATAGCAGTCTTCAGGGGCCCAAGCTCTTTCCAGGTCCTGCTTTCCAAAAATGAGCCTCAAATGCAGCAGGTGCTAAGTGTCTGTTCTCATGGCCCCCTAGACAGTCATCATACCACTGCTAGCAGTCATCCTCTCCCTTCACGAATGACAGGACTGTACAACTTCCCAGACATTTTTCAACCTGCAGCTTACCTAGCCACACCCCTGGGACCAGGCAGGGTAAGTATGCAGATAAGGAAAGGCTCAGAGAGTTTGAGCTACCACTGGAAGTCACCCAGAGGTACGCGTGCTTTCCGTCTCCTCCCGGGGAGCTCAGAGCTCACAACAGCTCCAGGGGTAGAAAGCAAACCTTTGAGTTCTTCTGGAATATTTGTAGGCACCCGTGCTGGAACCCCATCCCCTCTGAATCCCACCACAGACCCTCTTACCTAGGGGTGCTGGGACCCCAGGTCTGCCCCTGGGGGCATATGTGCCCCATCACTCTACCTGGGCCCAACTGTGCATGCCCTGCCCATGACCCTGCCTGGGCCTCCACCCTGACCCTGTTTTCTGCTAACCTGACTAGGGGAGGTAGGGAGAGGAGGTAAGGAATTAAGCGGAAGGGTGGAGACATGAAGATAGCCGCTTTCTGGGAATCAGGAGGCCTGGATTCCAGCTCTGACCGTTAATTTTCTGTGTGACCTTGGATAAATCACACAGCCTGTCTGAGCTTCATCTTAGGAAAGAGCCTGATGAAATGATCTTTGAGATTCCTTCCAGCTCTGAAATCCTGACTCCTACAGCTTCCCTCACAAGTCTATCGCCCACTGTGTGATCCAATGCCAGTGAATGTTGAGAGGCCTGAAGGAAGCCCTGGGGAGATCCCTAGGTGCCTCGATGTCACGGAAGGCCTTGGTTACTCTCCAGGCCTGGTCCAGCTCTGCCCTTGGGCCTCAGGCCTCCTGGGACAGGGGCCTCAACAGGAGACCTCCTCTATTGCCAAGTTTTCCCATGACAGGCTCAGAGCACCGGCTGGACCGGCCCTGGCATCTCCACTGGGGCCCACTTTGGCTACTTGAAGAAGGGACTTTGGAACCTTCCTCCCTCTGTGGAGCAATTAGTCAGGCAAACTCCAGTCTCTCCCTTTGGCTAAAGATCTGAGCACTGGGCAAAGCCCCAGCAATATATGAAGAAAGGGGTCAGACTCCACTCAACACCTCATGTTCTATTTGTTCTCAAGCACACACAAACACCTTTCAATTTTACATTCTTGGCTTAAAAGTGTTTAACATTCAGCAATACATTTTACATTAGACAGACACATCAGAACAGAAGAACTAGCACAAAGACAGGAGGGGCCACCTCCATCCATATCTGTCTTTTCTTTTTTTAATGAAACTCCGTCATCTCCTTCTCTCTCTCTCTCTCTGCTCTTTGCTAACTCTGCATCTCTGTATATAATTGAGTTAAATGGTTTTGATATCCTAGCGTCTTCACCCCACACACCCTCTTCCTCTTTTTTTCTTTTTTTTTTTTTTTTTTTTTTTTTAGTTAATGAAATGTGTGAACAGTTTGTTCCCAGCTAAAAACAAGCGCTGATGGGTTTCATACCTTTCTGTGTAGGAGGAAGAGGTAGGTTCTGAGCAAGGCACTGGCTGGCAGTGGGAGAGGCCACTGGTGGGAGGTGAGGTGGGGAGAAAGAAGGAGAAGGGAAAGATCCATACAAAACATCACGTGTGATCTGTCCCTCTTTTGCTCTCCCTGTGCACAAACCCTGCTGGGGTCCCTGTGATTGGCACATGGGCACAGGGACTTGGGAAGGCTCCACCCTTTGGGAAGTGAGTCAGTACATCCATGGGTCAGGAGAAAGGGACTGATGCTTGGAATGGCAGTAGTGGGAGGTAGAATCCTCCTAAGAGTTTATTCCTTGTTATCCATCTCCAGGGAGAAAGAAAGGCAAGGTATTGATAAGAAAATCACTACTTCCTGGCTTGAGGATGACAACAGCACACATATATCTGCCTGCATTTGTGCACATACGTGTCTATGTGTACCACCCTTCTGTGTCCTTGAAAGAAGGTATTGGGACCCTGGGTGGGGGTGATGACAGGAGACAGCCAGCTGTGTGATAAAATTATGACAGCTAACATTTATTCCATACTGCCTATGAGCCAGGAGTTTTAAGGACACTGCTCACTTATAAAAATGTGTACTGTATTTCTCCCACATTGTATATGAGGAAACTGAGGCTTAGAGAGGTTGAGTCACTTGCCCAAAGTCACACATCCTTCAAGTAGTAGTGAATCCATTATATGAGCCCAGGCATTTGGCCCGAGAGGCTACAAGCTCGACCCCTCTGCTCTACAGGAAAAAGCCTGGAAGCAGAAGGCCTCTTTTATCCACCAGCTGTGTGACCTTGGGTTGGTCACTCACCTCTCTGAGCTTCCATCTCCTACAGGGTTATAAGGAGACTCGAATATGGAGCTGCATGTCGTTGAGCTTTGCAAACTTTGAAGTGATGTCGAGAAACTCGCAGATGACTGAACTCGGCTCTCCTCTGCATGTTCCAGAGAGACTAGCAGATCACTTTACACGCAGTAGGTCTTGTGCTCTTAGCCTTTTCAACTTAGAGGCGTGCAGTCCAGTTTACCACTGACCTAGAGAAAAGATGCAGGCTGGGACGTCCTGGGACCAACCGTGCTCTGTCTTCTGTGCTATTTTCCTTATCGCTCAGTTGTTGGCACTCCCTCTTTTCAGACCTCATCCCTCATCCCATCACATTTTATGACACTGCAGGTGTCTTTATAAGCTGCCTCTAATTCCTATTGGAGCAGGGTAAGATACAAATTAGTCAAACAAATAAATAACAGTGGTTGTTCAATAAATACTTCCTGGTTGGTGGAATGAAGGTATAACTAAAGGTGAATGAATGAATGAATGGATGAATGAGTGAAACTGGCCAGGAAAGGGGCAAGTCCTCTGTGGAGGAGCAGAGGGACATTATGGTGTAAAGTGGGACAGATCTGGGTCTGATTTCTCTTTCAGCTGTTTAATAACAATGTGATCTTGGACAAGTCACCTGGTCTCTTCGGGCCTCAGTTTCCTCATCAGTAGAATGGGAGCCAGGAGACAGCAGGCTCAGGGCAGTTCTCTCCCTTCCTTCCTCCCTCCAGCCAGCCTCTGGCCTTCACAGTTTTTCCTGAGAGAGTCATGTACCTGTCTCTGTCACCTCCAGACTTGGGGACATGGAACATATTCTCTCCAGGCTTGGCTGGGAGCGAGGGGTAAGTTTCACCTACCAGCTGTCCCTCCCTTGGAAGAATCCTTTTCCAGCCTTTATGCATGGGCTGGAGGGGGTGTCAAGTCAGGGTGCAGGATGTCCAGGTGTAGCAGGAGCCAGCACCTCTCAGTAGAATGTAGGAGTTCTTTTCACCTATTGTCCTCAAGAATTTGGCTTCAACTGAAATTCAGAGACATACAGAAAAGCCTCATTTACCTCTCTCCTGGATGGGCCATGGGAGAGGTGGCATCTGGAAGAAGGATGGGCAGGAACTCTTCTAGGTGAGGTAGGGGAAGAAGCACAGAGGCACGGTCAGGCAGAGGGGAATGAGTGGCTCATGGGAGGGTGTCTTCAGGTTCAAGTTCATGGCTGGAGCAGGTGGGAAGGAGGGAAGGCAGCAGTGATGAAGAGGTTTCTGGACAGGGCTGGACAGGCAGCGGAGGCCAGACGGGTGGCCTCATTCACCTCCCCAAGGAAGATGAGCTGCATCTCACGTGTGGCTGAACAGAGCGCTGCTGCCATTGGAGGAGGACAATTCCTTGTCCTCCTGGGCCATCCTGTACACAGCAGGGTGCTGAGGAGGACCGCTGGCACCCAGGCATCTTTGTGACAACCATAAACAGCCCCCAACTTCCTAAAGGGGGTAGGGTCTTACTGTCATCGAGAACCACTCTGTAGGTGATAAGAGGACACTAAAGAATGAAGCGGGAGTGACAAGATCAAATGTGTGTTTTAGAAAGTTCACTGTGGTTCCCAAGCGGGGATGTGGAGAGAGAGACTGGGACAGGGCAACCAGTTAGGAGCTTAAATAATTCTATCAGTCTGTAGTGGTATTAACGGAAGAGACTCCCGGGGGCTGGAGGATTTGATGTGGGTGTTTGTGATTCTGCCCAGTGCCTTAGGAGGGACTTCCAAGGAGACAGTGAAGAAAAAAGTCCAAGGATTAATTTATTAAATTAATTAAAGAAGCAGTATCCACTAATGCCATTCCCATGTGGGTTTTCTGTTTCCTTTTTAAGTGGGGAGAGAGGAGGATGCTGGAACTGGGAAGAGAGGCAGGGTAGCCATGGAGGAGAACGCAGTCTCCAAGCAGCCATCTCTACTCTGCAAATTAAAAATGGAAATTCAATAAAGCCCTGGAGTGTCAAGAGACTGTTTTTCCAACTTGAAATCCTGCAGCTTGTCCAGAGGGGCCTGCCTTGGAATAGCCTGCAAAAGGGAAGCATTTCCCAGTTGCACAGGACTTCACTGCCCTGTGGTCAAGCCAGAGGGCCTTCAAGGAGGGGGCAGGCCATGTCCCCAAAGCACATAGGAATGCTTATGAATGCACGTAAGAATCACCCAGAGCGCTTGTTAAAATGCAGATTTTTTTGAGTTTGTGGGCCCAGGAGGGGCTGGAGATTCTGCATTTCTAAAGAGGGTTCAGGTGATGCCGATGCTGCTGGCTCAGGGACCACACTAGGTGAGTGGCAAGCCCCAAAAGCCTTGTTGGACCCTACCAGGTCCATGTGTTCACAAAGGGGTTTGCTGGGAGTCAACAGAGCTTGGAGGGCGTGGGTGGGAGAGAGAAGGGTGGGTTTGCAGATGCGTGTTTTGTGTCCCTGGGACCCAGACAGCTGGCGGATATTTAGCCTGGAAAATGCAAGATGAGAATCCAGGGTCCGAATGAGGGAGGATGAGGGAATGTGGGGAGCAGAGGCCCCTCTTCAGTGGTCAGCTCTGGGACAGTCCCCCTTCCCCATGCTCTTTGAGTAACTTGCCACCCTTGGGCTTCACCTCGTCAGGCTCTGTGCTTCAAGAGCTGGCCAGATCTTCTTCCCCTGGGTTGTCACCGCAGCTGTCACTGCTGTTCTCACTGCTGCAGGTCCAGCCCCTTTGTAGGGGAGGGGAACGGACCCTGCCTGGCAGGGGGCGTGAGCCTGCTTGACCCATCAGAGCCTCCCAAGGTACCCTGTTTGATCTTTCCTTGGCAAAGCGGAAGGATTTGGGAAGCCTGGCCCTGGAGAGGCTGTCCTTACAAGCCCTGGTGATCCCACTGAGGAATGGGAGCAGACAACCACCATGGCAGCCTGGCCAGCACAGGCCACAGCGATGATGGGAAGGCTGCTCTGCTGGCTGCCTTATCATGGACCCCAGCCTGAGTCAGTTCTCCCCCACAGAAGTCCCTCCCAGCCCTGGAGCTGCACCTCCATGCCTTCCTTTGGAGAGCTTTCCAGATCCCTGAGAAGCTCTCACAGCTGGCATGCCCCACTCTGGGAAGACCCCTACACTTTCTGCTCTGTGGCCTAGCCAGGATCTGAGGGGACCTTGTGCAGGGGAGTGGGACTCCCTGTGCCATGTCCCTCAGGGCTACAGGGGCTCTGCACCCACAGGAGGGTCAGGGGCCACAGCAGGACCACCAGGCTTGGGGGCTGGAAGGCATGGGTTCTGCTTCCTACTGCCAGTGTGGACTGGGACAAGTCACTTGGGTTTTCCTGGTTGGGGGTCCCATTTGCATGATGGAAAAAAATCTGCCACATTCTAGCTCAGGAGGACAGCAAGAGAAAGGAACCTGGATGGCAGAGCTAGGCTGGAACTCTAGAGATCTCATGGTCGGGCTGTCTCTTCAGCTTAGAGAAGGCATTATCTTCACTGATGGACAAGCAACTGAGGAAAGCCCAGAGAGGTGACAAAAGGTGCTGAGAGTGGAAGGAAATGGGAATCCAAACAGCTAGGACTCAGGCCAGGCAAAGACCCAGCAAAGTCCAGGGCATCACAGAACATGACCCAAGAGTCTTGCTGCTCCCTGGACATCTGTGTCATGGAGAGGAGGGTCTCATATCTGACATCTGAATTCTTTATAATCATTGTGGAGGGACTGCTCTTCCTGGTGGGCACATGATGTACATTCTAACGGGAAAAGTTTGCTAAGCTTAGTTTCCCCTCTTTGAAACAAATCGGCCTGCTGGGTTTGTAGGCTGCTGCTGTTGTTCTGGCCTCCCCAGGAATCCAAGGGAACTCAGGCAGGCTTTTTGTGGATTACATTAGAATAGACTTTGAGCCTAGACAGCAGGGAAGGTGAAGGTGAGGTAGGGCAGAGGCCCAGGGCCCCCAGGAGGAGAGCTAGAAACCACCTGAGAAAGGGTGGAGCAGCTGGCAGCTTTAGGAATATGAGCAGGCTATGCTGGGGTACCGGGTATGGCCAAGGTTGTCAGAGAAATTACTGCTCACCAAGGGCTGGAAAAAGCACCCATCACCCAGCAATCACAGCCAAGTTTCAAAATAGCCCTTGGTGGAGCCTCCTTTGAATGCAACCCAGTCTGTCAGGCCTTCTGAGTGCCTCTCCTCCTGGAAGTTCCCCTGACCCTCTCTGGGGAGGAAGGGCTGCTGACTGCACAGCCGCAGCTCCGACCGCCGCACCAGCTGCCTGGTTCATGAATCCTGGTGTCTGCTAGGTCTCTGCCTGGGCCTCTAGGGCAGAGAGGCTCTATGGTTAAGCCACAAGCCTGCTGGGCCCAGGGGATCTAAGACCACTTTCAGCTCTCCCTCTGCTCCGTGCCTAACACGCATCGTCCCACAGTGGCCAGACCCAAAGTCAGCCTCTGGAGTGGCAGTGAGCCCTGGCCTCTGCTCTGGCCCAGGCCGACCTGAAGTGGCCTTCCATTCAGCGGAAGGCAATGAGGCCGCTGAGCCTGGGAGGAGCCCCTCCCCCATATGTGTGCCATCACTTTGGCTGCAGATGTTCTCCGCTTGAACCTGCCTCTGGCACTCATTTGCAGACAATCCAGTAGCATTTCTGCTCTCTCACTCTGTAGTATTGAAAACTCTTTACAATCCTATTCAAAACCCTCTCTTGGCTGTTGCCCCATTCCGAGTAGAAGCCAAAGTCCTCGCCTACAAGGCCCTGCTCAGCCTGGCCCTACGCCCTGCTCCTCTTTGTCCTCATCTCCTGCCACTTCTCCCCATCCGCCTTCTGGCGCATGCCATTGTCCTGAAAGACGCCAACCTGTGCTGGCCCCTGGCCTTGGAACTTGCTATCCCCCGTTCTGCTTCCTGGAGTGTTCTTCCACTAGGTACCCATGTGGCACACTCACTCACTACCTTCAGGACTCTCAGGAATGTCACCTTTTCGGAAATGCTTTCCCTGACCCTCTCTCAAATACAGCTGCCCCCCAACCTTCCCTGCTCAACGCCCCTTCCATGGTACCTAACTACTTAACACCATTTGACCTACAAGGTATTTTCTTGTTTGTTTAGTTTACCCCTCCACTGTAAACTCCAAGAGGGCAAAGATTTTGTCCATTTTATTCTTTGCCATATCCTCATGTCCTAAAACAGTTTCTGCACATAGTAGACACTCAGTAAATACTTGTTCACAAATCTAAATCAAAACTGCAAACCCTCATCTATCAAGGCTTCTCCTCCCGCCCGCCACCCCACCCTGTAGCCTGGGGCTCACTTAGGCTGGGTAACCCACCAGGAGAAAAATGGGGGCTATCTCTCCTGGCTTCACCATTCCCCAGCTGACTCCAGGCTGGGAGGAGGGATGAGAGGAAGAGGGTGAAAGGGTCATTGTACTTAGCGGCTGCAGCTGGTAGAGCGAGCTTGTCAGCCGCCCTCTCTCTCATGGAAGATATTGTGAGTTATTTGGAGGAAGCTCTCTGGGCCTTTAACACTGCACTGCTCCCCATGCAGGCAATGACCTTTTTGGTTGGTCTCCGGAGTCCCCCTTAGCTCTGTTCTAGGACACACCGCACAGCCTCTTTCTTCGGCAGGCAGTCCTCGTGAGTGGAGTCCTTTGAGACAGCTCTGTCAGAGGCGCGGTGCAGCACAGGGGTGAAGATCAGGGCTCTGGAGCAAGGCTGCCTGGGGTTGTGTCCCTCCTCTAATGCTCAGTAGCTCGGCAGCCTTGGGCAAGTCCCTTCACCTGTCTGTGCCTCAGTTACCTTAGCTGTAAAATGGGGTTAATAAATGTGTTTTGTTAGCATATCTGTCCTTCAAACAGAGCCTGGTGCGTAGAAAGTGCTCAGTAGAAGTTAGCCATGGTTATTGTCCCTTCTGCCCTGCATGATGTCTACTTGCCCCTTGGTAAGCAGAAGCTCCCCATGGTCCTGCAGCCCTCCAGAACCTTCTCTGCTCCCTCTGCCCACAAGCCAGGGTCCTCACCAGCCCCTGCCCCGCAGCCACAGAACCCATGCCTCATTCTCCCGCCCCAGGACTTCCTCAGCACCCTCCCCTCTCCCTGCCCCCTGCTCCCTCCCTGGCTTTCCTGGGCTCACAGGACCACAGATGGGACCCATTCTTCTGACACACACAGGGAACCCACAGAATGCCCTACTCTGTTCAAAAAGAGCCTCATTCCACCATCTCATTCGATGCCCATTCTATTTATTTTACCCAGACTGGAGCTGTGATGGGCTCAGGGGCTCAGAACCAGCCCCCGACCCCAGCCCTTGGCAAGCCCTTCTTAGAAGTCTAGCACCTCTTCTTAGAATCTAGAGGTCCTTGTCGCCTATGATTCTCAGCTTTAGGCTCCTGAAGAAATTCTGAGACCATGAGAAATGTCCTCTTTTACATGCCATCATCACAAATTGAGGATATCAGAGCCAAAAGGAGACTTGGAGATTCAAACCTAAGACTTGGACTTACTCAAACCTTTGTGGGAGATGTGAAGAAACCACCACCCAGCAAGATGAAATGATTGAGCCAAGTCCATCACTGATCAGGGGTCTCCGGGCCTCCTGGCTCCCCTCCCAGTGCTCTCTACCCGGCCTCCCCTGTCCCGGTGGGACCCTCCTTCACTTAGCCTTCTCGTGGCTCGGCCACACCCCTTTGAGATGGACATCTGGTGGGGATATTGACAGCAGCTTGGGTGGCACTCCTAGCCCACCTACAAGCCCGTTTCCCAAAGGCATAACACTGGGCCCTCTGGGAGCCCGCAGCTCCCAGTGCCGTCCCATCGGGTAGCAGAGTGCGGCCCTGCCACCTGGCCCTGTAAAGTGAAGCTCCCACCCACACTGCTTGCTGGGGGAGACATCTGCTGAGCAGCTGCTGGTCCATCCAGACAGCTCTAGGCCCTCCCTGGCCACCTGTGATGGAGGCTGATTGGGCTGGAGGTGCGACAGCTTCTGAGGGGTTAGGAAGGACTGGTCCCAGGAGCACCCCGTCTGTGCAGTTGTGGCAATGGAACCCCCCTGGACCCTTTGGGAAAAAGAGGGCTGGAGAGGCAGGTTTGGGACCTGCTATGGTAACAAGGGAAAGGCGACTGGAGGAGAAACCAGATATCTCCCAGACCTCACTCGCATGCCCCACAGGTGTCCAGAGCCACTTGCATTGAAGTACAGTTGAGATGTTGAATGGCAGAAGAATCTCCCTAGCCCTGGTCCAAACGCTTTCCTTACCCCTTTTGTAAAGATAAAGGAGAGGTCTGGAACATGTCAGAACCATGTCTAATATCTCTGCCTCATTCCCTGCCTTCGAATTGTAAAAACTCTGCTATCTGATGCTGTGGCTTTCTTCTTCCTTCCTCTCTTATGATTGCTTTTTTTTTTTGTAATCAAAACTAGCAATGATTTTTTTTCTGCCAATTTGTGATAATATTGCCAGTCCTTTCATTGGCTCTCTGCTCTATTTTACTGTTTCAATCATGATAAACTTTTTATGAGAGAATCTGGTGGGTTTGGAACCCATTAGCAGAACTGCAGCTCGAAAGTGCTATTTCCTCCTCTACTTCCCAGTTCCCCTTCACATCCCCAGCCCCCAACTCATAAAAAGCCAGCCCTGGAGTGGGGACCACTCAGTATGGAGAGAGAATCCTAATCAGGAGTGGGAGCCATTCGATGCAGTTTGCATTTCACCAGGAGGAATTATTGATAAGACCGAGGCTGAAGTGGCCAGCTGAGAGTCTGTGGGTTACTTTCAGAGCCGCTGGTGGATGAGGGATGAGAGCAGGTGTCAATAGCCGGCCTTTACGCCAACAAGAAACGATGCCCGAGGTGCTCCAGTTTTGGCCTTTGCTGGGGGGAAAGGGGGGACCTGCACTTAGAAAACCAACCACGCAGCCGGGCCTGTCTTTACAGTGATTTCAGGTTTCTTCTCACATGCCTAATTGTAGACTGGGACCCAGGTCTGGAGGAAAGGAAGCCCCCAGGTCCCCAGAGGTGGGAGTATTGCTTGAGGCCAGAAGTTTAAGATCAACCTGGGAAACATGGTGAGACCCTGTCTCTAAAAAAAAAAAAAAAAAAAAAAAAAAAAATTTCAATCAGCCAGGCATAGGGGCACACGCCTGTTGTCCCAGCTACTTGGGAAGCTGAGGCGGGAAGATCGCTTGAGCCCAGGAGTTTGAGGCTGCAGTGAGCCATGATCACACCACAGCATTCCAGCCTGAGCAACAGAGCGAGATCCTGGCTGGCAGGCTTGGAAGCATAACCCTGATATTTTGTGGTATGTTTGAAAATGTTCCGAGCCATGGTATTGTCTGTGTGTGTGTGTTTAAAACAACACATTAATGAAATAGACTATCCCTGAGTAGAATTATAAACGCTAACACACAGTGTTCTAAGTTCTTCACATATGTTAACTCATACATCTTCATCACATGCTTGTGGAGGAGTTGCTATTACTATCTTCTTTTTACAAATGGGAAACAGAATGGGCGATAACTTGCCCAAGGTCACACAGCTAGGCAGCAGCACAGCCAGGATTTGAGCCCAGGCAGCGGGTTCTGGCATCTGCTCTCTTAAGCACGCCACTCTCTGCCTGATAAGATATTTTACCTTGCACAAATCTATACCCCACCCAGATCATTCCATGTGGTTCTTAGGATCCCTATAGGACAAGCATCCAGGGAGGATTTGCCCCATTCTACAAATGCAGAAATACAGACTCAGAGAGGTCATCTGATTTGCCCAAAGTCACCCAGCTGGTAGCAGCAGAGAGACTCTGAACACACAAGCAGAGATTTAAAGGGCCATCTCTCTGAGGGCTTTGTGAGGATATTCTTCCGCTTGGACCACTCGGCCCTCCCACGATGGAATTGCCTCTCTGCAAGTCCATACAGAAGAAAGGGGTGCTTAGTCGGGTGCCTCATGGAAGATTGGGATCCTGAATCTGCAGCGGGATATCTGGGTGGGGTACCTTGCGGGGATACTACCTTGACAAATATCCCATCAATATCCAGTGAGAGGGCTTGGCACCTGGTATGCATGGCCCCAATCATGAGGACGTGGTACCCATGCCATTTGGGATGACCCCATCCACTGAGAGGATCATGGCAGTTCCTTCTGGCCCTTCAGAAATGCCTCTACCTAGAACTCCCTTACCTTGCTGTAGAACGTGGGTACTGCTTCAGCTTCCCCCGTCCAAAGAACCCAAAACTTCCTACCTTCAGTAGTGACTCCACCCCAGTGTCCACCTAGGATCCCCCAGTCTGGAGACAGGCCTGGCTGGAAAGCCAGAAAGGAGCACCAGCTATGTCCCAGGTGCTATCCACAGCACCTGCCAGGCACACACCAGGGCTCAGGTCATGAGAAAATAGGACAGAACCAGCATTCTTATGAAAATATGCTAAATACAGCCGAGAGGATCTAAACTAGTACCGGCAACGTAAGTTGCTTTGGATATAAGTGCTGCACTTGCTTCCTCCAGTGGAGAATCTACCGAAGGCATGCAAGGTGCGGGGATCGAGGGAAACCCACCACAGGAATGAGCCTCGAGAAAAGGTGGACGTCTGAGGAAAGAATGTGGGACATGCGCTTCTAATTGAATCCATTTCTTAGCACCATCTTCCCAGGCCAGCTCCAGCCTGCACGTGTGCACAGAAATAAGGAGATAAATAAATGGAAACGCTGAGTTCCAGGGCAGCCTAAAAGGTTGGGGAATGAATCAATGTTCTCCCCAGGCAGCTGTCCGGAATGAAGTGTAATAGTTAATAAAGGCTGATTGTGCACACGCACAGCTGGGGCCAACCAACAGCGTGAGCCCAGGCCTGGGAGCCTCATCCTCTTCCTGAGCCACCCCCACCTCCTCAACCCAGTGGTGATCACAGGCTGATTAAATCGGACTTCCAGGCAGCAGGTCCAATTAGACAGGGAGCAGGAGGTTTGGGCATTACCTGTGACTGCACAGGACATGTCAAGTAAACCTTCATCTCTCTGATTTGCTTCCCTGGGCATGGGGAGTTTGGTGGGGGGCAGAGGATGGGAAAATGGGGATGGGGCCAGACTCTTGAGGAAAGCAGAGCATCAGACCATCTGCACTTGGGATAAACCCCCATGAAAAGCACTCTCTCAAGCATGATGGGAAGAAATGGGCAGGAGACAGGATTCCCTGCTTGGGGAGCTGACTGTCTTCTGGTTGGAGAAGTCCACCCAGGAGCTGGCTCAGGAAGATGCTTAACGTAAACAGAAACACCAGCACAGATCTTAGAAAAGCAGAGGATAATTCAGAAATCATTGATATTCGGCTTTGGAATGTATTGATTTTCCTCCCAGAAGATTTACCTACCTAATTCCACTTGGCTTAAGCAAGTAATAAAAACGTGTTTGCCTTTCTTGATCACAGTTAGACTGGCAGCAAGGGCCAAGGGCGTCATGCTGACCGGCTGGAAGAAGGTACTCTGGGTTTACAGCTTGTCCACAGAGAGCCACAAAAACAGGCGATGAAAACCGATTGCCCGAGGAGATGAGCAAGCACAGGGGAGCACAGACGTCTTAGAGCCCAGATCCAGGCAGGTGGTCTGGGGAGGCTTCCTGGAGGAGTTTCCACTTGACTTTGGGAACAAGTGCAGAAATGTATTAGTACAGCACACCCAAATGTTTTACTTCCTCCACTTCCTACTTCCAGACATAGGTAAATCAATTGGCATTTGTCTCCTTACTTGGCATAAAAGGCACTCATCCTGCATGAACTGTTGTTAAGTGTGTTGTATGATACCCCGAGTCTTTGAATCAGTTTAACAAGTATGCTGGGCTCATGGTGATACCCAGTTTAAGCACTAGAGGAGACGAATCAAACAGAACCCAGAATGATAGTGATGTGTATTGAATAAAAAAATGGGACACCTTGGACAAACAGCGGAACACGTATGCCATGTGTGTTGCCCACTCATAGGCTCGCCCTGGATGCCCATGGGCTTATTCTGAAGTTGCTGTGATTGCGTCGCTGGGAACTGTTTCGTGTACAGGTGCTCTTGTTGAATTCCCTGAGTGATGGCAAATCCTTATCCTTGGAGCACTTTTCGACTTTGCCAGAAGAAGGGCACTGATCTATAAAGCCATCAGCATTTTTGTGAATCTTTGCTAATAGGAAAGCCATGTGTTTGGGGAGTGGGGGGAAAATGGCCAGTTAGAGATCTAGAGGGTGCCCCTAAAGAAAAAGCCACTAGCAAAGCACCGATGATGTCAAATACCAACCCCAAATTATACAACAGGGACTGCCTGCCCCTCTGTTCAAGGGCACTGGGCTGGGAGGCAGGAGGCCTGAGTGTAATCCTTGCTTCCACAGTAACCTGCTGGCTCCATTGGAAGAATCCAACCTCCCGAGCTCTGGTTTCCTCATCTCCAAAATGAGGGGGTCAGCCTGGATGAGGCCCAAGGTTTCTTCTTTTTTTTTTTTTTTTTTTTTCTGAGCTGGAGTCTCGCTCTGTCGCCCAGGCTGGAGTGCAGTGGCGCGATCTCGGCTCACTGTAAGCTCCGCCTCCCGGGTTCACGCCATTCTCCTGCCTCACCCTCCCGAGTAGCTGGGACTACAGGCACCTGCCACCGCGCCCGGCTAATTTTTTGTATTTTTAGTAGAGATGGGGTTTCACTGTGGTCTTGATCTCCTGACCTCAGGTAATCCGCCCGCCTCGGCCTCCCAAAGTGCTGGGATTACAGGCGTGAGCCACCGCGCCGGCCCCAAGGTTTCTTTTACCCTAAACACCTGCAATGCTATGAGATAAAGTCTCCTTCTCCCCCGCCCACTCTGCCTTTCTAATACTGTGGCCATGCGGTTTCTATTTTTATTTGCTTCCATGTCCCAGGATCTGAGCATTGCTTTTGACTGACTGTAGGTGTGATAGAATTTGTACCTTCTCAGAATTTAATTACTAGCAGTAAATGATCAATCAATCCATTGATTAACTACTTATTGATACCCCCTGATGTGACTCTGAGACAGTTAGGCTGCATTTGGAACACAATCCTTTGGTAATTGGCTTATCCTGCCGGGCACACAGCCTCTGTTAAGAGGCATTGGGGTCTTGGTAAATGGCTTTTTATCTAAGTATTTCTCAGATCCCAGACTGCTGTTGGGAGACATTTTATGTGTGTGCTGGGTTTAGCAGGTAAGCCCCGAGATGTAAACATGGACTCCACGTGGCCACTGAAATCCATGGAAGAGACTGAGGCCCTTTAACTGAGGGTACCAGAATAAGTTATTTCACCTGAGTGTGGCCTCTGGAAGCTGCTCTATGAAGCGAGGGTTTGGGGCTCCATGATTTCTAAAAGCTCAAATTCCTTAATTCTGATTCTAACTCTCCATTTCACAAACAGTCTAGCTTAAACAGGCAGGACATTTGCATATCAAACACTGCTGCAGGCGCAGGTTGCCCAGGCTGTGTCCCTCTCGGGGAGCTGTGGACTGGGCTGGTGCTTTGAAATGTTAACGTCAAGTGCATTCCTTATGCTAGGCACAGGCCAGAGGGAATTGGCCTCTTGGTTTCCAAATGTGCACCTCTTTCAACGGGCAGCCAGCTCTCAGTTATCCACGTGAATAGGTAGGTGCATGGAGAAAGGAATTCCGGTCCAACTTCCTCTGTCACCCAGGCCCTCTGGGTGCCTTCCCTTCTGTCAAGTTATTGCGTGCCCAGGAAGACAAATTCATTTCACTGTCAACATCAGCAAAATGACCCTCGGGGACAGGTTTGCTCCTGCCTTCCCCATGCCTTTGCCCAAAGTCTTAATGGATTCTCCAGTCAAGGGTGTATAGAAACCGGACTACAATAGAAGTAAGGATGAAACGTTACCCAAGCACAGAGGCACAGCCCTTTCATTCTGTCCTGGGGAGTGGCCAGATGCCTCCAGGAGGAGTTATGCTGCTTAGTGAACAATCACAGTGGCCTCTGACAATAGCCTCAGCTGACCCCTCCCGTCAGCCTTCACGCAGCAGCTGGAACCTCCTTGGGCAGTTTGAATCTGAGTCTGTCATTCCCTTGTTTCAAAACCTTCCAAGGGTCTCCATTCTCCCAAATCAAGTCTGACCTCCCCATTATGTCACACCTGGCCCACCCTGGTCCAGCCTAACTTGCTGCTCGCCTCCTGCCTGCTTGCCTGTCTGCCTTGCACATAATAAGTATTCGATATTTACTGGAGTGAATCAATGAATGAGTGGATTTCGTTCTGAATGATAACTCATTTGGCAGGGAGCTTGGAGTCGGTCTGGGGGGCGGCAGTGGTGGGGGAAACAGGTCTTCTGCGCAGACTGGTAAGCCTGGCAATTGGATTTGTTTTCTCCCTCCCTTTCCAGCCACCGCTCCTCTCCAGATCCCACTCCTATGCATATATTTGTTTGTTTATTCCTATTGATTTCCAAAGGCCTAGGTGCCCCCACAGTATACTGTGAGGTATACACAGTGTACTTAAAATTAGGAGGAAGAGCCAAGCATCACAGCGCTTAACCTCTTTCCTTTCCTTACTTAAAGGCAGACAAAGGTCGCTGAAAACTTAGGAGCCAGAAAGTTTCCTTCCTTTAAAAAGGATCTAGAATCACAGGCTTGGCCAGGCCATCAGCTCTTGCTTGACATTTTCATGGGCCGCTGAGGCCCCTGTGGTCTTGTCCTTGCCACTCTTTGAGCCCATCTCATGCCACAGGCCCCGTTGCTCATTGAGCTATAGCCACAAGGATCTCAGTTTCTCAGACGAACCAGGATGTTCCATCCGCCCCTGCCCCAGGGCCTTTGCACATGTTCCTTCAGCTGGAAAGCCCTTCCCCCATGCTTCACATTTGGCTCCATCTCATCCTTCAGGTCTCAGTGTAAATGTCATGTTTCTCAGGAAATGTCTGTTTCCTGACCTACCTAAAGCACCCCTTGTCCATCTCACTTTCTTCCTGGTTTCTACCTGAACACTCCCATCTTTGTTGTTTTTAATCTGGTCTTCCTAACTACATTGTCAGCCCCATCAGCACTAGGGCCATGTCTGTCTTGTTCACTTGTATATGCCCAGGGCCCAGCACAGAGCTTGGCTCTAAGAAGGTCCACTAGATAGCTGTTGAATGGTTGAAGGATCCAGCATGGGAGGCTTGGGCTGGAGAAGAGTTGCCATCTCTCACCACTCACCCAGCTCAGGCAGATGGGGACCTTGAAGGTCTCCCAAGGCAAGGTGCCACCACTGGCAACGTGAGGCAGAGCTTTCTCAGAGCCAGCCCGAGGGCCCGTCCCCCAGACCATCTGCCCACCCTGGTGCCTGCCTGTGCCAGTGCTGCCAGGCCCATTGAAGCTGCCCTTCAATGGAGGACTTGTCTTTGAGGGCTGCACTCCCCAGCAGGAAGCCCTTTGGCTTTCTCCTTTTATGGGGAATTTTTGCTGCTGGATTGACTGTAATTGTCGGATTTGCATTTGGTACACCTGCAGCAAGAGGCCCTGGGGGCACCTAGGCCTTAGAAATCAATAGGAATAAACAAACAAATATATTCATAGGAGTGGGATCTGGAGAGGAGAGGTGGCTGGAAAGGGAGGGAGAAAACAAATCCAATTGCCAGGCTTACCAGTCTGCGCAGAAGACCTGTTTCCCCCACTACTGCCACCCCCCAGACCGACTCCAAGCTCCCTGCCAAAGTACCCGCCTTCTATCACTACAGTGAAACTGAGACTGTAATTTGGGTGCTAGCCTGAATGGGTTCATTTCTTTTTATTAACTCCAGCATCAGAGTTTTAGGCAAGTTGGCTATTGTTCGCACCTCGCTTCTCTTCTCTCTACTCCCCACTCTTTGAAGCAGCAGGAACAGCCGGAAGGAGATGGCATTGAGCAGCAGAAGTGGCTGGTGTGAGACCAGGTTGCTTTGCAGTCAGATGGAAGCTAGAGCTGGAGCATTGGTAGGAGAGTCAGGGAGGGCAAGCTCTCTCTGCCTGGAACCCAGTGCCGTTCAGGGACTGGCACAGGTGCCTGCCTGGGCTCACTTGCCAGCATCCTGCAATTAGAGAGGGACCTGGCCAGCCTCCCAGGTACCCGCTGGGCTATAGCATAATGAGGCACAAAAACAACCAATGGGCACACTGTGCTTTGCAGATTACAAGGTGCCTTTACATATCCTCATGCCGAAGCCAGTTTTTGCTGAGAGCTTGCACCAGACTCCCGAGACACTCAGCAGCTGGCTGGGGGCCGCTCTGGAATGAACTGATCCTGTGGGATCTGTAGACTGCAAAGCACCCTGCAGAGAGATAGGAGGCATGACATCACTATCTAGGGCAGATATTCTGTGGCCTTAGCCAACCTTTCTGAGTCTCAGTTTCCTCATCTGGATCGTAAGCTCCTATGAGGACAGAGACCACATCTGTCTCATTCCTCACTGTATTCCTGCTGCCTTACTTGGCATATAGTAGACATTTCAGAATATTTTTAAAAGAGTGAATCAATGAAAAATGAAAGAAAATGGGAATAATAGTACCCACCTCCCAGGGTTGTTGTAGGAATAAAGGGGACCATGTGTATAAAACCCTCAGTGCATAATAATGCGAATGGTGTTTGGCTGTTATATTGTTCTCAGAGTCAGGTCAACTTGCTTTCTCTGACATCGGGCACCTAATGAGCAGTAGTAGATCATCTGGCACTAGATTCCATATCCCTCCCTTCTTCTCCACTGCAAGAATTACAAACACAAATCTGCCTTCGATGTGTTCGGATACAGGGTGGCTCATGGGACAGGAAAAAGTACTGGATACTGAATGGGAAGCAGCATTTCCTCTTGGGAGTAAGGATGCTGCCAAGCCTCCAACCACCTTTTTCTGGGTGCTATAATCAACGATCAACTCTGAAGGTTGGATTCTGTTTCAGGTCAGGAGGTGGCTTTTGAGGCACTTAAAACAGAGGAGGAAGTCAGGCTGAGGGGCTAGTGGGAAACTGAGTCCTGGATGCAAAGAGGAAGGAAGAGTTGGGAAGAAGCAGAAAGGAGTTAACTATCTGGAACCAGTCTCAGTGTCTGGGCTGGCTCTTCAGTGCCCAAGGAGATGAGCACCGCCCCCAGCCCCGGCCACCCTGGCAAGCTGGCCCATTAGAGAGTGAGGGGCTAGTCAGACCCCGGGCAGAACCATTACCAATGTTGACTTATTTATTTACTTTTTATGAGACGGAGTCTCTGTCACCCAGGCTGGAGTGCAGTGGTGCCATCTTGGCTCACTACAACCTCTGCCTCCCGGGTTCAAGCAATTATCGTGCCTCAACCTCCCGAGTAGCTAGGATTATAGGCATGCACCACCACGCCCAGCTGATTTTTGTATTTTTAGTAGAGACAGGGTTTCACCATGTTGGCCAGGCTGGTCTCGAACTCCTGACCTCAAGTGATCCACCCACCTTGGCCTCCCGAAGTGCTGGGATTACAGGCGTGAGCCATCGTGCCCAACCACCAACATTGACTTTGTCAGGAGAGCAGGCTCCTTGTCCCACCTGAGCCTGCCAGCCATCTCGGGAAAGCTGGGTGTTGCTCCTTGGACCCCCCAGCTGCTGTCCAGACTCCTGGATGAACCAACCACCCAGACCAGGCCACTAACACCTGCTGACTGCCCACCTGACAGCCCTACCCCCAAAACTGCATGATGGTGAATACATGGATTCGGACAGTAATTACCTGCATTATGGAGAGCTTACCACGTGCCACGCATCTGCTAGGCACTCCAGATCCATCACTGCATTTCATCCTTCCAGCCACCCTGAGAGAGGCAGAGGCATTGAAATCACCACTTTACAGAAGAAGAGATCAAGGCTTATAGCCCTCTGAGGTAGCCACATCTAAAACCAAGCCTGAATTTGCGACCTTCCTTTAGACAATGCACTCCTGCCGGGGCCAGCCCTTCAGAGGGGTCTTTTGCCCGTAGCTCAGGCCTCATACTCCCCACCACCTGAGGCTGAGGCTGTTCTGCAGAACTGGGGGTGGGACACAGGCTCAGTGAGGGAGAGAGAGGAGTGGGAAGTTGGGATAGTACCCAGAGAGAGAGGCCCGGCAGCAGCTTTGTCCTCAGGGGCATTTGGCAGCAGCTGAGAGGCCAGATCAGGAAACAGGCAGAAAGTCAAACCAGGGATAAGACAAGAACAAAGGCCTGAAGTCCTAGGGGTACTCTGTTATAATGTAGGCGTCTGACTATTAGACAGAGGCAGGGGCACTAACATTGATTACACAACTTCTAAAATCCACTATGGAAAATGCTAGCTACTGGGTGGGTTCTTTGCATGTGTGATCTTGTTTGATCCCCAGCACGCTTACAGCAGGTATTAACACTCCCAATTTACAGATGTGGAAATTGATGCTGAAGAGGCTGGCTCGAGGGTCCACTGGTAGGAAGCACCGGAGGCTGGATGTGACCTCAGGGCCTTCTGAGATCCATGCCCCTCTCACCATACTATTCTGCTTCCTGGGGCCCAAGGAGGCCAACAAACAGCCCCTCGGAGCATTACAGGGTTCTCAGCAGCAGCCCTGAGCTCTGACCGCAGTGATGGAGGAGAACCAGCCACTGACCAACTGCCCAAAAGTCCTTCCTCAATCCTCACGCAGGCAATAGAGAGAGAGGGTCCTGGACTGTGTTTGGTGTTGTGTGTGCCTTTGCAAAAGTCTCTGACTTCCCAGAGCAATGGATTCCTCATCTGGGAAATGAGGAGGTTGGGCTGACTATAGATCCCTGTTTCTTTCCTTTTTTGACTCTTTGCCAACCTATACGTTGGCAGTGTCTTAGGGCTGTGTGGCATTGCCTCACACCTTACTAGCCCCGTGTCCTGGGCAGGGACTGAGGCCGTTGGGATTATGGGCTCAGGTACCATGCTGCCTGGTGTGAATCCCAGTTCCACGCATGCTGCCTGTGTGATGGTGGGCGAGTTACTATCTCTGGGCCCAGTCTCCTCATCTGTAAAATAGGGACAATGACAATACCTGGCTGCAGAGATAGATTTTCCAGGAAGCCATTGCAGCTTAAGCTTCAGAGCCCCTTATTTGCACAGACCCAATCTGAGGCCCTATTTTATAAGTAGACTGCCAAAATCATATGCACTTCACATCCAAAAACCCGGAGCCACTCCTGCCTGAGTGTTCCTGAGTACGCACTCGGCTCTTAGACCACAGCTCGCGTACTCTGTGCCCACAGGAAGGGTTAGCTGTGCTTGTGGCTGTCATTGCTGTTATTCCATTGAGGTAGCCTCATTTTACAGAAAAGAAACCAAATCTTAGATATGTCCTTTGACTTGTTTATAACTGCCCAGCTCGTACGAGCCGACTTCCAGTCCCCTTGGGGACACCAGAGAAGAAAATGAGCTAGTCCTGGACTTCAAGGGGCCGATTGTGTGGTCAGGGAGACTGGGCCCACATGAACAAGGCATCACAACTGTGAAAAGCCATAGGTCAGAGGCCAGCCTGGGAGCAGCTCGAGGGCTCAGGGAGGGTCATAAGGGCAGGAGTTGTCAGCACAGACTTCGGCAGGAAATAGGACTTCCACTGAGATGGGCGGGGCTTGGCCTGGCTACCAACAAGCATGGCAAAGTGAGAGAAACAAGAAGGAAAGGCAGAAAGGGTGCTGGGTCTGGGGGTGCCCAGATCAGCAGGCAGACCACAGTGTTTGTTGATAGACGTGGTTCTGAAGGTGCCCAGCAGACACGCGGCCGTGAAAGGGACAAGGTAGCTGCTTGTTCAGCTAAGGCAAAGCCAGGAGGAGTAGGGGTGTGGAACTCCACCATCATGGGTCTGTGGGTGTATTCTTTTAAAGACAGCTAGAGGCTCTGAGAATGCTAGGCCTCCCCATGTATTGTCATTAGTTTGTAAACCAGGCCATCAGGAAACAGTTCCGCAAAAATCCATGAATACTCATAACACTCGTCAACCAAAAATGCGAGGAGCTCCCTTTGTGGAGTGTCCATTACGGGGTAGACATTGTGCTAAGTGCCCCCTACCCTTTTTTAAATTGAGGTGAAATTCACATACAGCGCTAGGTACTTTTCATATACAAGCGTAACACCTCAAAACAGCAATGTAAGGTAGGAGCTGTCATCCCTATTTTTGCAGAAAGGGGAACTGAGCCTCCTTGAGATGATGTGACTTGATCTCTGTCACATGGCAGGGAGGTGTCAGAGGGGCCCTGGGAAGTAGATCTGAGTGGATTCAAAGTCCCCACCCTCTCTATCCCACTGCAATTCATAAATGTACTTATTCATATAAATTGTTGAATAAATAAAAATACCTGCTCAGAAAGCCTGTCAGCAGCCACCGCTCCTTAGAGTGTCATTGTTGTAGATTTGGCTAATTGCCTACCACGGCCCCTCGCCGGTCTAGGCCTCGGGTTCTCTGCAAGTCTGGCTGAATGTGGGCCCCTGAGCTGTTTGTCTGAAACGCTGCCACCATTCCTCTCTGGACTGAGAGTCCTGATCCCCTCCCCTGGCCTCCTCTCCCAGCATCCTGGAACTACGCCCTCTCTCTTCCCAGGCCCGGCCCCTCCTCCCGGCTGCTGGGAGCCACGGCATTTTCTGGGGTGCACTGTTGTGTCTCCAATGTTTGGTGATGGCGCTGAGCAATACAGCCTTGCAGCCGGCCTTGCTGTACTTGTTACAGCTCAGCGGAAACACTGGTGCTCTTTGGAAGAGCAGGGGAGGAATAAATGTTTCAGTCACGCTATAAATAATGTAGCGGGGAAAGATGTTGTGTAAGTGGTGCTCTGGGTTTTGCCAGGAGGTATGTTTTCCTTCCTTCTTTCTTTTTTCTCTTTTACCTTCCTCCCCCAGCCCCCCTGTACTCAGTCCGATACAGAATGCCTCCCACCAGGGATCAGAGGGAAACAGCTCTGCTCCAAGGGAAGGAGAAGATTAAACTGTTGAAACTAAACAAATCAATCCCTGTAGGGAAAGGGCAGGGGGAGGGGAAGTTCTGGCCTGGCCGGGCACTTGGCGGCGATGTGGGCACAGTGAGAGAGAGCCTCCTGGAAGAGACTGGGTTCACTCCTTCCAGTGGCAGTGGGAGAGGGGCAGGAAGTACCATGGAGAGCCTCCTGTATCTCCATGGTACTTCCTGCCATGGATTCTAGCCCTTCCACTTTCTCAGTCCAGCACGTGGAAGAGCTCCCAGAGGGATGCTGGCTGGCTTCTGCTTACAGGACTGACACCACTGGTGGGGGATGGCCTCAGAGTCCTGGGCGCCAGGCTGGGAAACCAAAGGTAGAGGAAGCAGAAGCAGAGCCCAGTTTGGGGGAAAGGTGGGAGCAAAGACTGAACCCAGGTAGGAGGGCCAGGTGGAGCCATGACAGCAAGGTAAGCCGTGAGATCAGAAGCACTGTGGGAGGTGGGCAGGCTGTCAGGGCTGACTCTGCGATATAGCAAGGATATCGAAGGCTGGCTTTTCGGTAGCGTGCAATGCCATGGGTCTGAGAGTGGGTCTCATGCTGAAAGATGCCTTTGCCTTCTTCCTGCTGCTCTGGGCCTCAGCGTTGCCTGGGGTTCAGCCAGCATCGGATGGAGTCCTTCCCCATCTCCGGGGGGCAAGTGGATGTGGTAAGGCAAAGGCAATGACAACTCCGGTAGGGCTTATATCCGGGAACCAGAAGAACCCGTGATGTTTTTCTGAGTCTACATTTATTTAAATGCCGCCTGGCAATCACATGCTTGGGAATCATCTGGGGAGCTTGTTAAAAATTGCAGATTTCTTGTCCCCATTCCAGGCCTACTGAATTCAAATTTTGAGTGGGGCCCAAGAATCTGCATTTTAAGTAAGCACGCTGGGTGACTCTAATTTGCAAGAATTTTGTTAACCCCTATTTAAGAGCTGCATTCCACATCTTCGGTTTGAAAGGATTTGCTGGAGAAAGCCTCTACACCTACCTGAAAACCAATGTCCCTGTGTAATTGAATACTGTCCATTTCACAATCTAGAAACATTGACTAAGCACCTACTATGTGCAGGGTGTTGTGCTAGGCTGTTGCCTGGAGCCAAAGACACAGTCTTAGGATGGAAGGGATCTCAGAGAGCATCTGCCACCCATGAGAGAGCCTTTTCTCTGGCATTCTCGACGAGTGGTCATCCGTGAACTCACGACTCTGTGAGACAGCCAAGTCTGCAGTTGGCTGGATTGCAGGTCCTGATTCTGCCTCCGGGCATTTGGGCCAATTGTGCTCCCTCTCATACATGACAGCCCTTCACATTTCGAAGCCGTCTGTCATGCTACCTTGAAATCTCTTTTCCAGACTGAAAACTACTGGTTCCATGAAAGGGAGCGTTTGCCTAGACTTCTCAGTTTCCTCCTCACCTGCTTCAGCCTTCTCTTCTCTGAATACTTGGGTTAGTGACCATCCTTTTTTAAAAAAACATGGCACTTGCCCCTGGGGTGTGACCAACAGAAGTGAAGGACTGAGACAAACCCTCTCTTCCCTTTTTCTGGATACAGACCAGCCTTTGTCCTGGGATGCTGCCTTTAGAGGAGAGAGGCTGCTCCTCCAGGACAGCATTTAGTGGCAGAAGCACTTCTGAGAAAGGCAAGAAACAAGTTGCATCCAGGCCACTCCAAGCCCTCATGGTCCTTAGTGCTGAAGTCTCGCTGACCCAGAGTTTGGGTACTGGTGTCTGGCCTTCAAGGAACTGTTTGGTGGGCAACAGCCAGCAGGCAGGCCTCAACCCTAGACTATGCTAGAAGGTGCCAACTCTGCCTTCCATCCAGCCACTCTTTTTCATAGGCCCAGTCCCTATGACTCTATTAGTCACCATCTGACATCCTCAGCTCTTCCCCTCCATCCAGGCAGTGCCAGGAAAAAGCTGCTCATTAGCAAGGAAAGAAAATGAGAGAGAGGTGCCCTTTGATGGGGACAGGCCACCAAGGGGACTGTGCCCTGAGTCATGCTTTGTCACACTGGCCTTAGGGAGGGATGCAGGAGAGGAGACCTAGGAGGACCAGGTGGCAGACAAGGAAGACGATTTAAGCAGTGGCATTTGGGACTGATTGGAGGGGAGAGAATCTGGGGCTGGGGAGGCTTCATTATAATAATTGTATCCTTCCCCTCTAGTTACGACCTTGCAAATGTAACTTGATGTTTGTAATGAGCCATAATTAGACAATCACCAAAAGTTACAGTGAGTAGAGTGAATGCAAAACCCAGCCAGTAACGGTACACTGTGTATTCACTATTCGGTGCACCTGTTATATTCCCATTTTCCTCCTCCCTTGCGGCAGAAGCCCCAGGGAAGGCCTTGCATTGCCATGGCTACCTCTTTGGCTGCTCTGTTGTTTCTTGGCCGAGGTCTGTAGTCCTCTGAGGTGCCTCTGTCTGGTTACCAGGCCTTGAGTTTCTTCCTGCTGTTTGGGGGAATCATCCTCCAAATTTGAGTCCCTGGATCATCAACCCGGAGAAGGCTGAGCCCAACCCTAGGATTCTGGGTTTTCCAAGAAAAGAGTCCTTGGACCAGGCAGGACCCCTCACCTTGGGAACAGTGGCCTAGGCATTTTTGTCACTATTTCTAAGAAAGCAAAGGACTGGTGCTCAAGATTGCATAGCTAGGAAGTGACCAATAATGAAACAAAATTACCTCTTCTGCACTATTTGTCTACCAATAGAAGCACAATCCCCAACTCAAAGGAACCCTTAATGATGGGATTTTAGGCATCAGCAGTGTATATAATGTGATAGGAAGATATTGAGGGGCAGAGGATCTTTCTCAAATTCAGAACACAAAATCACCTGTAGATGCAGCTCACTCTGTGCCTGAGCTAAGCTAGAGGACACCCATTCCTGCATCGATGTTCCATGTGAATGAGCTCCCCTAGTAGAATTTTGCATTGGTAACATATACAGGGCACCTGTTAATGCTAATAATGGTGAATGGTGCCCTGACCCCTCTCGGCAGCTGGGTCCCGGCTCCCAGGATGGAGGGACTTACGTTGTTTACAACATTTACATTTTAATTAAAATCCTTTTTGGACTCTCCAGAGTTTCCATGGATCTATTAGCCCCGGCTACAGCCTCCCCTCTTATGGCAAAGTCATTTTGGAGGATGAGATCTACACGAAGACTTTGCCCTTGCTGCCTACCAAATGAGTCCTCATGGAGAACCGGAGAGCAGGGAAGGAACTCAGAGATTACAGAATCCAGCCTGTCATTTTTCGGCTGAGGAACCTGGGGCCCAGATGGGGAAAGCCATTTGCCCAAAGACATATGGACTATGGCAGAACCAAGCCCTCAATTTAGGTCTGGCTCCTCAACGGTGCTTTCAACCTTAGACACAATACCAGCACCTTCCCAAAAGGGAGGAACTGGGAAGGGGCGGGCCTTTGGTGGTTTTCTTCTCCCCACCTGGAGCTCGGCATTCTGAGCTTGTTCTATGGGACTCAGGCCCTAGGAGGGGACTGGGAAGCAGGAGCCCCTGCTTATGTATTGGGGCTGTTTCCTATGGCCTGTGTTGGGGAGAAGAGACAGGAGAGAGAGGAAGAAATGGAAAGGATGATATGAAAAGAGAGAACTGGCCCTAGGTAAGCTTAGGGATAAAAGTGTGAGGCAGAGGCCGGGTGTAGTGGCTCATGCCTGTAATCCCGGCACTTTGGGAGGCTAAGGCGGGCCAATCACTTGAGGTCAGGAGTTCAAGACCAGCCTGGCCAACATGGTAAAACCCAGTCTCTACTAAAAATACAAAAAAAAATTTAGCTAGGCCTGGTAGCGCATACCTGTAATCCCAGCTACTCGGGAGGCTGAGGTGGGAGAATCGCTTGAACCCAGGAGATGGAGGTTGCAGTGAGCTGAGACTGCACCACTGCACTCCAGCCTGGGCGACAGAGCGAGACTCCATCTCAAAAGAAAAAAAAAAAATGTGTGAGGCAGAAGACATGTGCCGGGCAAGTCAGGGAGCTTAGATGCTGATACTGGCCCAGAGCAGTCAGTCCTGAATCGTACCACAGAGCCAAGCCCAGTGGCTTCCTCCACCTCCCCTAGGGGTGCTAACTCATTGCACAAACTCTTGCCCTTTGGACCTCAATAAGACCCGTGCTTAAACAATAAAAATGTCTTGGCAAGGTCTAGATCAGCCAAGCTGTTTTGAAAGATAGTCTCACTTCACTAAAGAGGCAGAGAATACAATTGCTGTCCTGACTTTACTGTTAACTATACGCCCTTGATCAGGGCACTTAACCTCTTTTGGCCCCAGTTTCCAGTTGTTAAACAAGAACATTGTTAGTGGCTTCATAGTCTGTGGTTAGATTTATATTAGCTATATGTGAAAATATTCCATCAACTAAAACCCCTGTAATAATATCCAAGCTCTAAGCGTGATTGTCACAGCCAGGGAGCTTCTTCTGTTCCATTGACCACTGGGTGCAAGGGGAAAATAAATTAAGCACAAAAGAAACACCGTCTTCCAAAAACTAGCCCCTTCTTACTACAGAACCATGCTGAACTTGGCTTACCTTAAATCCCATTCTTGCTCCCAGGAACTCTGAAATAGCAGCAGTGCTCACCCAGAGCTGGAAGGCAGACTACCTAGGAACCAGGAAGGAATCGTGGGTCAGAGGAGAGGGAGGTGTCTCTGTTACAAGTCCAATAATAATAGGCTGGTGCACCTGAAAGTCAGAACTACACCCAGGCTGAGGGTAGGCACAGGCAGGCTGACTAGAAGCTAAGGTCCAGTCTTCACCACATGACCTGGGGGCACCCAGTTAACCAACATTTGCTCAAGCAACGTAAGTAAGGAGTATCTGGATGTTGGGATGCTGGGGAAAGGTGTGGTTTGTTTCATTGACACTTTTGTTTGTAGGGTTAGTTCATGGCTAAGTTTTTACCTAAGGAGAATCTTCGCCACTCAAAAATGTGCTTATCCTAATTCCCAGCTGTTAATTGCCTCTTCCTAATGCTTATATTACACTCTTCTGAGATGTTAACCTTTTGTTGGTCCAGGTCAGCTGTTGACTTGGGCCTTTGGATGGAGTCCAGCCTCTCCTGACCCATGGATCCACATACTGTGGCGTAAACTATGCCTTCTTCTTAAATATAATGCCCTGACGTGTCAGATCTCAGCCAATCTCAGGTCTCTCTCTCTGAAGACACTGGTTTTAGTTCTTGCTCTGCTGGTAACTGGACTCTGACTTTGGGCAAGCCACAGCTTTCCGGGGCTTCAGTTTCCCAATCTATAAATTATGAAGGAGTTGAACTCCATCGTCCCAAAGAAGTGGATCAGGAAAGTCTCCTCACATCAGACTGTGAGCTAGAAGGGGCAACCCACAACTTGGGCATAGCGCTGGCAAACTGTTCAAGCTCAGATAATCTGATACTGTGCCTCTGATGAATGTGTAGCATGAGCTCCAGAGACTCTAGGGCTGCAGAAGGGACCTCACGGTGGCTCCTGTTTATGCTTAAAAATGGGTCCTAAAAGAGGCTTGCATTCCGTCCTGTGCTTGTAAAGACAGCCTTGTGACTCCAGTCACCACGAAGCCTTTGTTGTCAATTAGCAGGCAGTTGCACGGTGGAAAAGCCATTGTTCTCAAGTAGTCATCTCATTGTGCCTTGGTGCCAGCTGGCATCCAGTGACCAAGCCCCGCTCCAGTGCCGTAAGGTGATGCTGGCAAGAAGCAGCAAGCAGTCTGTGCTCATTGTGCTGGGCCAGCGTATGCACCAGAGTCAATCCCTCCTTGACATTCCAGGAGCAGAACATCCTTTTCCCTCGGGCCATGGAGAGGCTCTGCTTCATTGTGGAAGAAGAGCATAGCAGACTATTCACTGATCACAGTTCAGAATCTCAGGGCTAAAAGGGGGCCTTCAAAGGTCACTAATCCAAGTCTCTCTTAATGCTATAATAAAATCTCCCTCTGTAATCCAGCATCCATCTCTAATGTGTGTCCTACCAGCTTCCAAAAGGGAGAATTTGGGCTGTTGATCATTTTAAATAAAGTCAGAAAAGCAGATCCCCATGTAGATGAAAGCATGGGGGTGAGGAGGAGATGGTTTGGCCAGGGACCTAGGATTAGATAGTCACTGACACGGAGCATTAAATTCAACTCTGAGCTTTTTGACAGCAAAAGCAAAAATGGAAATATGATTGTTACATGAGTGTCTGACAAAAGGACTTGTGGCAGGAGAGACACGCTTTTTCCTGATTCTGAATTTTGAAGCAAGCCACATTCATTTACTGGCCAGGGAAGGTGGCTCTGGAGGCTGTGGATTTGTTTCTGTTTCCCTGTTCTTACTCTGATGCTCTTCTGTTCCAAGAGTCTGTCTTGTGGACTCAAGGCTCTCTCTGGCTGGCTCATTTTTCTTTGTTTCTTTCTCAGGAGCCCATTGGGTTATGGTTTTGGCCTCAAGTCCTAGGGAGATGGGGCCCTTTTGCAAATTTCAAGGGCTTTGCGAATCTGGAAGGAAGTTACCTGATGGGATGTGGATGTTGATGGACAGGGCAGAGGTGTCACCTTCCAGGACTAGCTGCTGTTGGCCTGGGAGTGTGCCATCTCTGTCACCTGTGGAGCGCCCTGCAGCCCACATAGACCACCTTAGAGCCGATGGGTTTTACTAGCCTTCAGTAACCAGTGTGAAGACCCCTTATATAACTCAACATGTAAGCTCCTTATTTTTATTTCTCTTAGAGCAATAGGTCCATTTCTAGTTTTCCATTTAAGCAGTCAATGACATAGCCAGATGACATAGCACTGCCACCTCTTAGTAAGCTTCCAGTTCCTCAGGGGTGCCTGGGCATTTGAGGGCTACAGCTACCAAGTATGTGTCCCTACCTTCCACAGGCCCTGGCCTGGGCATGGACTGGACACTGTTGCTAAACCCTTCATGTGTGTTCTTCAGGGGCTGCACAGTGTGTTGATTAAGACCAAAGGTCTGGAGTCTATCTTCAAATCCCAGCACCCCTACTAACTCAGTTTTGTGTCCTGGAGCCAATTTCTTAACCCTACTAAGCCTCAATTTTTTTCATCTGTAAAAGAAAATTGTAGTAATGTCTACCTTACTAGGCAGTTGAGAATACTAAATTTGGATGGGTGGATGGATGGATAGATAGATAGATAGATAGATAGATAGATAGATAGATAGATAGATAGATGATTTAGGTAAATGTTTAGAACAGTCATCCTTAGTGCATAGTAAATGTTCTACAAGTCTTTCCATCATCACCCTTATCCTGAGAACCTTCCCGTGGTGTAGGTATTATTATCTCTATTTTGCAGCTGATGAAACTGAGGCTCAGAGGAGCTCAGTTCCTAGTCGAACGTGACAGCAGGGTTACCTGGTGGAGCCAGGATTTGGAGCTGGCTTGTCTGACTCCAGATCCGGTGCTCTCCTCTGCCCCGCTGCCCCCACCCAAGACGGAGTCTTGCTCTGTCGCCCAGGCTGGAGTGCAGTGGCGTGATCTTGGCTCATTGCAAACTCTGCCTTCTGGGTTAAAGTAATTCTCCTGCCTCAGCTTCCCGAGTGGCTGAGATTACAGGCGTACGCCACCACGCCCAGCTAATTTTTGTATTTTTAGTAGATGGGATTTCACCATGTTGGCCAGGCTAGTCTTGAATTCCTGACCTCGTGATCTGCCCGCCTCGGCCTCCCAAAGTGCCAGTGCTCTCTTTACAACATCTTGCTGCCTTAAACACCAGTTCTGAAGAATATGAGCCTTCACCTCCCCTCGTCCCTCACGCTGCACACTCCCAGCTCAGCACTAGCGGTGCTTTCTGTGGCTTTCTGTAGGTGGGGAAAAGGCAAGCCAGTTTTGGCAGCTGTGGCCAGGCTTCTCCAGCAACCAGGCTTGCCTTCGAGTCCAAGTCCTCAAATATGCCTTTTCTCCCCAGCATCTCCATCCTGAGATTAAACAAAATCCTCATGGCACCTGACATAAACGTGGCTTGGAGCTGGCCCCAACTTCCACGGACACTAGGGCAGTTGCCCTAGATTGCCCTTCCACAAAGCAATGGTTTTCAGGATGGCCAGGTGTCCCTGGGATTTCTGGCACTGGGGAGCTCCTGATGGAAGGCCTGAAGGGGCTGAAATATGGATTGCACTTTTGCACTGACTTTACACCAGACAGGCCTCATTTTAAATCCTGTCTCTACCGTTTACTAGCTGTGTGATCTTGGGCAAGATACTTAACCTCTCTGAGTTTCTGTTTCCTCATCTATCAATGAAGATGATACTATGAACCCAATAAGGCTGTTGTAAGTACCTGTAAAGTCTATGTCTGATGCAAAGGAAGGTGGAAGTTATTTATTATTGTTGCTTTTATTGTGATGACCATTGTCATTATTATAGCCTGCTGCCTCAGAATTCAAAGGCCCAAATAGCCAGCCCTCTTCTGCCTGCACATTGAGCCCTCCCCTGTCCTGAACTGGGGCACACCCAGACCCCTCTGCCTGCTGGTGTGGTTCCCCCTGCAGAAAGCCCCCAATATCAGGGCATGGAGATGGCAGCTGGGGCTGCAGACCTGCGTGTGAGCTGGCCCCATGCCCAGGGGCGGCTGCAAGGCTCACGCCATGGCTCAGCTTTGGGCTGTGCACTTAGGGTTTGGAGAGAGGGGATGTGCTGGCAGCTGCCACAACATCTGGACATCTGGCATCAGGGCTGGGAGACAAGCGTGGGCAGAGGGTTTTCTGTTTCGGGAGACTGTTGTGTCTGATTCTATATTTTACATCCTGGGGTAGAGATGAAGAGAAAGGCCATTGCAGGTGGCCCCACCAGGGTACCCGGAATAAAGCATTGCCGTTCCTACCCGCCGTTTCCTCCACCCGCTCAGTGCCCTCCACGCCGCAGATAAATGGTTCTCGATGGGGAGGACAGGGGTGGGTGTGCATGTGCCTGGGTGAGAACAAGGCCGTCCTAGCTGTGTTCTGGATTGATCTCTTAGGTCTCTTCCAATTTAACATTCTGCAGGACTCTGAGCCCATAACTCAAGTAAGCCGCAGCTTCCCAGAGCAGTGACATCTCGGCAGTAAATCTTGCCCATTTAAATAATGCCTCTGTTCCGATTCCATGTGCTCATGTACCTTCTGGCTCCTGGTTTCTTGCAGCGCTCCTCTGAGCCAGGAATTATTTGTGCCCTATCTCATGGATGGGCCAACAGGGGCCCAGAGAAGTAAGTGACTTTTCCAGGGTCATAGAGCAGACCGATAGTGTGCCCAGAATGTGAGTGCATAGCTCCCAATTCCAGGAATAGTCAGATGTTCTCTCTCTTCACTTTTTCCGACAGTTTAATTGAGATAGAATTCTTATACCATACAATACACCCATTTAAAAGGCACAGTTCGGTGATCTTTAGTATACTCACAGATATGTGCAACCATCACTACAGTCAATGTTAGAAAACTTTTATCACCTCAGAAATAAACCTCCCACCCTCTGGCCAACATCCCCCTATTTCCCCACCCCACCTCTGTCCCTAAGCAACCACCAATCTGTCTCTATAGATTTGCCTATTTTGGATATTTCATATCTGCATAGAAGAATAGATTAGAAATGTGGTCTTCCACGTCTGACTTCTTTCACTTAGCATAATGTTTTGAAGGCTTATCTATATCAGTACTTTTTTTTAAGAAACAAAGGTCTCATTCTCTCACCCAGGCTGGAGTGCAGTGGCATAATCGTAGCTCACTGCAGCCTCAAACTCGTGGGCTCAAGTGATCCTCCCACCTCAGCCTCCTGAGTAGCCAGGACTATAGGCTCAAGCCACCGCACCTGGCTTTCTCAGTACTTTATTCCTTCTTATGGCCAAATAATATTCCAGCTGCACCACATTCACCAGTTGATGGACATTTTGGTTGTTTCTCCCTTTTGCCTATTGTGAGTAATGCTGCTATAAACATTCTTGTGCACGCTTTTTCTTGGATGTATGTTTTCATTTCTCTTGGATATATGCCTAGGAGTAGAATGGCTGGGTCGTATGGTGATTCCACGTTGAACCTTTCGAGGAGCTGCCAGACAGTTTTCCAAAGCGGCTGCACCGTTTTACACTCCCACCAGCAGGGTGTGAGGGGTCCAGATTCTCGATGTCCTCTCCCACATTGGTCCTCTCTTAAATCCTCACCTAGCTCATGGGCTAGCCCGGGGGTCTACAAGCAGGGGAGGATGAAGACAGACAGGGCTTAATGGAGGCCAAGTGATGAATGAGCTGGGGGAAGGGGGAATCCTTCTGGGACCACTGTCCCCAGGCTTCTGGGATGCCCCAGGATTCCCCTCCAGGATGCTCATCCTGGTACCAAACTTGACTAAAGACCAGTGCTGGCCTCCACGGGAGATCATCTGAAGTGTTGGAACCAGAATACTGGATCCACTTCATGGCTGGGGAAAATCATGAGAAAGGGGACTGTGGCTCATGGCGACCAGGATTATAAACCTTGTTTGTGTGCTGGCCATTTCCCCTACACACACACCCCACCCCGAGACAAGCCTGGCTGAGGACTCTCCTTGTTGTTTTGGGTAACTCAAAACTACTCGGCAAAGCCAGGGAATGTGCTGCTTGTCCTAAGTTGGGGAGGGGCCTGTAGCAACAATTCCATTCACAGCTTCTTCTGTCACCATTTGGATGCCAGGATCGTAGTTCATCTCCCAAAGTTAAGTAAGACTGGATCTTAGACCCTAAGAAAACCTAGGAATAGCATTGGAGAGAGAAGGCAAAGCTAACATTGGAGAGAAGAAGGCAAAACCATCCCCTATTGAGAAAATTGAGAAAGAAGGAGAAGTCCCATGGAGGGAGAAGCTGACCCCAAGCTTTCTGTGCCTGTGAAAGACCATGCCAAGCCAGGGAATGCCTTTTATGGGGCTGAGGGGGTGGCAATGGGGAGACACCTTGCCTCCCACAGCCCTTACCAATGCACGCACGGTTATCATCGTGACTGGGCACTTTATGACCAGTCCCAGCATTCCTTCTGCTCATCCAGTTGCTTCGGGGGCCCAGGCAAGAATCTTGAGGCATTTTGAAGCTAAGTGTCTCTAGGGTTTAGATTTCCATGGATCACCATCTCTCCTCTACCTCTTCTTCCCAGCCTGGGTAAGACTAGAGCTGTGGCTGCCTCAGGTGTGAGTATGTCACCTTTTAAATGGTGGTGTATTGGAGGTGGAGCAGGTCTTGCATCCATCTCTGCAGTCCCAGATGGGGAGGTGACTGGGAACGGTAAGTGACTTCCCCAATTCAAGGGCATGGCGTGGTGGGACAGGGGCTACGCCGCCCTCTAGTCTTGGAGGTCTGGGCAGTGTCATCTGCTCCATCTCCTGGTTCTTTCCCATGGGGATAATATGCATGGCAGCATCACATGCGTAGCCCAGGTGACCTCTCTCGTCATGGAGACTAAGAGCTGGGGACTAGAGCAGGCAACACGCTGGAGACTAATTCTACCAACGCCTTGTCTCCAGAAAAGAAAAGATATTGGGAGTCTGAGAAGCAATTTTGAAGTTGGGGCTTCCCCTACTAGAAGGCATCCAGGACAGCTGGATCTCGATAAGTCCAGTGTGGCCCAAGGGTTTGCTGTCAGCCTTGCGATCTCCGAACCCTGAGAAGGAAGATGGTGCAAGGAGGAGGCAAGGCCAAGAGCACCAGGCCTTGCTGGCTTAGAGGAAACAGTGGCTCAGAAGCCAGAGGTGAGCCTGGGCTGCCCTAGGAGGCTGGACCAATACCCGTAATCAGAGAGAATAGTTGACAGATGACCACTTGCAGAGTAGGCATTGTCATCCCCGCTGTTTCCCTGAACCTATTTCTGCAGAGGCTCGGGGAGACATCGGGGATGACATCTGTCTTGAAGGGCTGCAGTGACTATAAAACCAGATAATGTCAAGAAAGTACTTTGAAACTCTGAAGGACAACAAATTTTTAGGGATGCAATCATTCTTTTTTTTTTTTTTTTTTTTTTTTTTTGAGACAGAGTCTTGCTCTGTCGCCCAGGCTGGAGTACGCTGGCAAGATCTCGGCTCACTGCAAGCTCCACCTCCTGGGTTCACGCCATCCTCCTGCCTCAGCCTCCCGAGTAGCTGGGACTACAGGTGCCCGCCACCACGGCCGGCTAATTTTTTTTTTTTTGTATTTTTAGTAGAGACAGGATTTCACCGTGTTAGCCAGGATGGTCTCGATCTCCTGACCTCGTGATCTGCCCGCCTCGGCCTCCCAAAGTGCTGGGATTACAGGCGTGAGCCACCGCACCCGGCCTAGGGGTGCAATCATTCTTATATTTGCTGGAGATGTAGCCAGGGCTCAGGAGCTGAGCAGAGCCCATCAGTGCACTGTGGAGCACAGCCTGTTGGAGTCCTTGGGCTGGGGCCACTGGACAAAGTGCTGCCACTGCAGCCCCTGCCAGGGTGGCATTTCTGTGGCCTTATCATCTGTTTCTGTTTCTTGTCCCATCCCTGAGCTGAGGCTGGAGCTGCAGACCCTGGTCCAGTAGCCATGGACAGAGGCAGCAGCTGTTTCAGGCTGTAAGAGCAAAGCGCCCTGGATTGAGGCTTCGGTCAAAATGTGGGCCTTAGTCTGTGCCCACAAATCAGGCCATGTCCATGTCCCCCATGGTCACAGGCATGACCTCCAAGGTCCCACCCAGGGTTGCTTTCCAGGCTACAAAGGCACGGAAGACAAATTAGGCACACAGGAGACATCCCTGTCCTCTCCCTGGAGGTTGCCCTGGAAACTCTTACTACCTGTACTCTCCCAGGTTGATCAACTGGCAGAGGCCTGGGGCCTGTTTGGGTGATTCTGAACCAACTCAGGCCCAGGCACCACAGGGTTCCCTTTGGGCTCAGCACCAGATCTCACCACAGTGGAAAGCTGGGCAATTAGCTGCCGAGTCCTGAGCAGCCCTCAACCACCCCTGACCATCTGAATCATCCTAGCAAGCCACCCACTGGGAACCCCAATCCCCACCACACACACACACGCACACACACACACACACACACACACACACACACAGATAGACACACACACTTTAAACAGAATGACTCAGATGGACTCCAAGGGCAGCCTCAGATCACCAGCTCGGTACTGTGACCTTCCACCAAGTGTGTGTTCAGACTGGCAGAGGCTCTGACAGCCTCTTTGCACGAGGCTGCGTGTGATCTCTTCTGACTTTCTACCTAATTGTCCTGGAAAAGAGCTGGAGAGGACAGTTTCTCAGAGAACCGCAGCTGCATCTCTTCAGGGCATTCATTCATTCATTCATTCATTTCTTCAACTAACATCTGTGGAGTATCTTCTGAATCCCATAACTGGATCCTGGCAACATGCAGAAGAAACCCGGGCCCTATCCTCTTCAGCCTGAGGGCCTGCAAAGCCTTTGACACGAGGCAGTCCATACGTGAAGCATCTCTAGCTGAGGTCCTGCCAAACCTGGCAGCACCTCAGAATCATGTGGGGAGTGGGCAGACACAAATTCCTGGGCCGCACCCTGGAGATCCAGACTGAGAAGGCACAGGGCGGGGCCTGGGAACCCGTGTTTTTTGGAAGTTCACAGATAATGCCAGTGAGGAGCCGTATCTGGGGACCACAGCTCTAGTCCCTTGCCTGGTTCCTAAAAAGAGGAAACTGAAACCCAGTTAGTGGCCTAGCCTGTGCCAACCGCTGCTCAGTGCCCCAGAATGCCCTGCCAGCCAAAGGGAGGACAGGTTGAGCCAAGCAAGGGGTTCCAATGAGGAAGGGTCAAGGCAGCACATCAAGAGGCAACTCCTGGGGAGGCCATGGTTCCGATGAGCAGAGGAAGGAGGAAGCACTTGGCAGGCTGGGGCGGAGGCACGGAAGGAGCACAAATCTCCCTGTGAGAACTGCCTGGACCTGTTCAGGGAGAGGGAACCTACGGATAGGTCCAGAAAGGTAGGTTGAGAACAGGTTTAGGACCAAGGAATTCCTGCATTATTCAATAGCCATTGTGGAAATTTTCTCAACCCGTGCTATTTTAAGACAATAACTCTTACAATAAAGTGGGCCATTAGTTCACAGGGGTTTGGTAGGGACGAGCCCAGAGCAGGGAGATCAATGAAGAAGAGTGGTGGGGTCACAGTGGGGCCCAGAAGGAGAGGAGAGATGCAGAGCCAAGCCCTGGTGACCACGGGAAGCTGCCAGGGAGATGGGAGAGTCAAAGATATTAACATTTTGAACTTTGGCACCTGCAAGAACAGGCATATGGCTAGTGGAGACGGGGAACTTATCAGGGCTGGAGAGACCAATTTTAAGGGAAAGGCTTTCTCTTTGGGCCTGCAAAAATAGTGATAAGTTGGCGGGGCATGGTGGCTTATGCCAGCACTTTGGGAGGCCAAGGCGGGCAGATCACCTGAGGTCAGGAGTTCGAGACCAGCCTGGCCAATGTGGTGAAACCTCGTCTCTACTAAAAATACAAAAATTAGCCTGGTGTGGGGGTGCACGCCTGTAATCCTAGCTGCTGGGGTGGCTGAGGCAGGAGGCTTGCTTTAACCCTGGGAGGCGGAGGTTGCAGTGAGCCGAGATCATGCCATTGCACTCAAGCCTGGGTGACAAGAGCGAAATTCTGTCTAAAAATACACACACACACACACACACACACACACACACACACACACACACACATATATATGGAGAGAGAGAGAGCGAGAGGGAGAGAGAGATAAGTAAAGCATTCAGAACAATCCTGGCCAGAGTAGATGCTTAAGATTTAGTTGTTATTTGCTGTTCTACATTAGGCCTGAGCTGGTGGGAATGTCACATTCCTCATCTTTGGTCTGATTCTCTGTGGCAGGCACTTGCCTTCCCAGGAAGCACTAAGCATTTGGCTTTGCAGAGATTTTACCTCCTATCTCTGGAGAAGGCGCCGCCTTGGATTCTGGGCCACCTGGATTGCTAAAGCCTGGGGTTAGGTGCTGGAGAGGAGAATAAACATTTATGGAGCAGCTACCAGGAGGCAGAGTGTGCACCAGGTGTCTGGCTGTGTGTTCTTTCCAACTCTGCACAACCAAGGGGTGAGGTATTACCGCTGTTCCCATCTTGCAGAGGAAGTGAATTGCTCTGTGACCCATGATGAAAGGGCTGAGACAGCCACACACACAGGTCAGTCTGACCCCAAAGCCTGTGCTCTTCCCCTTATAGGGCCCACTGCTTCCACGTTCTAGAATCCTTTCTCCTTTTCTTTGATCACGTTTTATTTCTTCTGACACACAAGGAATTGAACTTGGCTGCTGCGTGATCCAAGGGGGGCAGAGGTGAACTGCGTGGAAGCGGGTCCTGCGTTGCTTTCATTCACCTTCATAAAGGGCTTTGGCGCTCAGGAAATTGTTACAACTCAACCTTGAGCCGGCCCCTGCTGGGGAGACCCAGGAGCACCCTGGACACCACCCTCACCCCTTCCCCTGGGTTTCCAGAGTGGAAGTAATTCACCCCATGGACACACAGCTGGGCAGAAAAACCAGGTCTGCTTTCCAGGTCACTGAGGCCCCCCTCTGAGATGGGGGAATGAGTGCGTAAAGACGGGCACAGATGGTGCTGGTGGAGAAAGGGAGATCAAGGGGATTTGGGAGAGGGCGGTGCTGGTCACTTGTGGGTGTGGCTGGGCAGAGCCCCCATGCAGGGCTGACTGGCACGACCACCCACCAGGGCTGCTTCTGAGCTGGGTGTCTGTTGTGGGACACTGCTCTGAGTTTGCTTCTTTACTGATGGACCAGAAGCCCCATCGTGCCGGCGGGACGTGACATGGCCACAAGGGCACAGGGTCACTTGTGCTGCTGGGGGTTGGTGGGGCACAAAGGGGAGGAGGTCTGAGAAAAGGCCAAGGCAAGAAGGGTTCCCTGGGGACAAGTCTCCTTGCTCCCCATCCTTCTCTTTCCTGAACTCCCTCTTGGTCTTTCTTGCTCTCTCTCCCTCCACTGTATCTTCTCTTTGTGTTGTTCCCTTTAGATATCCTGCTTCCCTTTTGCTTTCTGCTAATCAGAGTGAGTCTCCCTCCTCATCCCCCTTCCCTTTCTCCATTTGTCTCCTGCCTTCTTTCATCCCTACTCCCCAAGTCCTCTCTCCCCAGCCCTTTGCTTTCCTGTAAGTTTCTTCCTCACTATCAGGCCTCAGCCTGGAGTGGCACCAGTTTGCTTGTTCTTTATGCCCGTTGACCTGTGGCTCACACCTAGGTCTTGGAGCCTTGGCTGCCCTCTGACTCTGAGAAATACGCTCCTGGGAAGGGCTGGCTAAGTGACAACCTGAGCAGCTGGCTGTCCCTGTGGCCCAGCCCTCTGTTTGCCATCACTCATGCTTGCTGGGAGTGGACTCCTGCACAGACCACCCCAACACTGCCCACCTGGCTCATTAGCCTGACTCAATTCAAGGCTTTGCTAAGCACCTGCTAGATGCCCAGCCTTTCCTGGGGGAGCAGCGTAAGGGCAAGGGAATGGGAAGGGCTCCATGCACCTTCTTTCCCATGTCTATGTCTTTGCTGAGAGGTCACTTGGACTCTTGCCTCATGTGAGCCCCTCTCCACCTCCAGCTCTGGTGAGCAGGCTCAGGAGTAGGCGTAGGAAAGGAAGATGGGAGTTATAAACCCACCTGTGTCCTTAACAAGCTGTGTCATCTTTCTGGACATCATTTTGCTTTCAAACATGAGAGGATTGGACAAGATCCCTTCTAGGAACCTATGCAGCCACAGAAATGCTAAGTAGTGGCTGCTTACTGAGATCAAACTCACGTCACGATCAGTCTGGGACCTGAAATTTGATAATTTGTGATGAATTCCTTTGGTTCCTCCATGTTGGTTTCTGGATTTGTTTTTTTTTTTTTCCTCTCTCTCTCTAGGAGACCTCTTTTGAACTCATATATTCTTGGGACGTTAATACCCGTGGCCTGCTGGTGAAGGTTTAACAGCTAGCTCTTGGGGAGTTGGGGAAAGCCCTGATTGACTGGTAGTGTTTGCGGACTGATTTCCGTGGTGTAATTACTTCTACCATGGCCAATTGCAAGCTACCAACACGATGTCACTAACCATGGGATTGGGAAGAAATGCACAGTTGGCTGTCTGAGCTGGTCTGAGGGACTCCCACACACTCATTAATCTGTTAACACTTTGGCAGGTGCACATAGTAGATGCTAAATAAAGCTAAGAGGTAAGAAACAGCTGACAGTATCAGGAGACAGAAATGTTCTGGGAGGTGAGGTTGGTAAGGGGAAGGAAGCGAGGGACTCTGAGTAGGACTTGGGGGGGATCCCAGCAGAGACCCCTTCCAAGATCAGACTTCCCACCCATGCCTCCCTTCCCATCAGGCACTTCTGGCCTCATCAAACATTCTGGGTGAGGGCTCCATCTCGAGAGCTTGACAGAAAACCTTTCCCTGGGATTCCACACCTCTCCAGGGAGTCCCGGGACTCTGCAGCCACCTCCCTCCCTTCCCATCTGGCCAGGCCACGGCTGCAGACTATATTTTTGCAATAAAAAAAAAAATCAGGACTTGTGGTCTGACAGAGGACTTTTTTTCTGACTTTGAATGTATTTAAATGGAGTCTTCCAAGGTCTAAAAATTAAATCCTGGTTATACATTTAATGAAATGCCTTTATTGAAAAGAATAAAATTATTTTACATTTGAAAAGAGCTGTAAAAATTCAGCTAACCATATCGCAGCTAATACCACATTTGAAAATAGAAATCACTCAAGTTATTAGGATTTGTTAATACTGTATATTGGGTACACAGATGTTGGGTATATAATTCTTTTTTTTCTTTTATTTATTTATTTATTATTATACTTTAAGTTTTAGGGTACATGTGCACAATGTACAGGTTAGTTACATATGTATACATGTGCCATGCTGGTGCACTGCACCCACTAACTCGTCATCTAGCATTAGGTATATCTCCCAATGCTATCCCTCCCCCCTCCCCCCACCCCACCACAGTCCCCAGAGTGTGATGTTCCCCTTCCTGTGTCCATGTGTTCTCATTGTTCAATTCCCACCTATGAGTGAGAATATGCGGTGTTTGGTTTTTTGTTCTTGCGATAGTTTGCTGAGAATGATGATTTCCAATTTCATCCATGTCCCTACAAAAGACATGAACTCGTCATTTTTTATGGCTGCATAGTATTCCATGGTGTATATGTGCCACATTTTCTTAATCCAGAACCCCATCAAAAAGTGGGCAAAGGGTATATAATTCTTTATGCTGGTCCGCAGATTTGAAATATTTCATAATAAAGAAAAAATGTCTCACAAAATCAGGAAGTTGGGCTCTCATGGTTCCAGTCCCAACCTTCCCTGGAATTTCTCTCCTCACCCCTTTTAATTCCAGGGAGGAGAGAAAATCAGCCTCAGTTGTCCTAGATCCTCAGATAAAGGGATGCTGAGGAGAAGCTGGGGTGGGAGACCCCAAGAAACCCCCTTTCTCTCTCTGGAACTCGTTCTTATCCATCAAACTGGGAGGGAGTTTCTAGGGCCCCTGAGATCCTTTGGGGCTGTGACCATCTACAGATATCCTTGCCTGGGCCAGGGAAGCCCTGCAGGTCTCATGGAAAGCATTTTCCTTCCATGCTGAGACATGAACCACCACTGTGGGGGCTCTCTCAAGCCGTGTTCCTGCAGGTGAAGCCGAGGCTTTACTGAGCCTGGTCATCCCACCTCGGGGAGCGTGGGCCCCACACCGGGGGTTCCCAGGCCCTGTCTGTGACTCTGAGGCGGCCTGCGGGGTCTGGGACAGAGCGTGAGTGTGCTTTTTCTTTCCTGAGCTGTTTGAGGTGAGGTCAGCGTGGGTGAGGTGCAGAGGACGCTGCCCCGGCGGGTTCAGTCCTTGGCCAGCCAGCCCTGCTGAGATCCCTTGACCACACCAACCATAGTCCCTGGTAGCTATTTGAGAGTGGAGTCTACCGCACAGGGGCTGGGGGTGCCCCTTCAGCTCCACCTGGTGCAGAGGAACATTGCCAGAGGGGGGGTCCCCTGCCCTAGAGGTTGAGAGGGAGGCTGCACGGCTGAGCGGACTCCGCGGCTCCCCCTCGGCTTCTCCCTGACAGCTACAAATAGGCTCTTGAACGTATTTAATAAACCCTAGGAAGGCGTTGTGGCCGCCTCGCCTCTGCTGGGGAAAGTGATGGATGTCGTCTGTGGGAGGGAGGAAGGAAAGAAAACTTTCTAATTGGGCTCAATTTAGGGCAAGAGAGCAGTGTGGAGGGCGTGCTTGGGGTGCCAGCTCACATGCGTGGATGTGCATGGGCACACTAGCATCTTTTGGGGCCTGGGAGCAGGTCGGATACATTGCCCACCTCGGCTCTCAGGAAAAGTGAGCACAGCTCGGAAAACCAGGTGCCGTGCGCAGAAATCCCCTTTGCACTCCCGCCTTTAAAATGAGGGCTGGAGTCGGGGACTTCTTGCACTTTGGGATTCTAAAATATCCGCTTGTTTCCTCGGAGGAGGCTTTGGATCTTGTTCCTGGAGCCTTTCGAGACTTGGTGGGGGTGGCTGTGAAGTGGGTTTTTCTGGAGAGAGAGGAAGCGCCCGAGTCAAGGGGCAGGCCGACCGGGCGGCCCTGAGCCCAGGACTTCATCACGGGCCCCTTCCTGCAAGGAGTCTGCCCCAGAAAGAAGGCGGGCTCTTGGGATAGGAACTGGGGAAGGCAGGCAGGAGACCTGCCAGCCTCTTCCCCGACAGTAGTTTTATGGACTGAGGGGGCCTCTCCATGCCCCCTACCTCAAATGGGCTTGGGCTGAACGTTCCAGCTCTGCCACCTGCCACCTTCTGTCTGAGAATGGGGCATGGTCTTTTTTCAACTCTCCTTCTTCCCCTGTGGAATGCAAGTAATGCTTGGCCAGCTCACCCCAGAGGGTGACAGGGGTCATGTGAGAGGATGTGTGAGGACACTGGAGCCTGATGGTGATGACGGCGGTATAAGTGCTGGTGGCGAGAGGGATGGTGCCTGGGTGATCACCCGAGCATTGTTTCTGGGGAGTGAGGGCACCCCCCACTCCTCCCCTGCAGGAGATGAGGGTCTGGGCTGGTGCGTGAGGCTCAGAGTGGACCGCCCCACTCACCCAAGACGGCACAGCCTTAAATTGGGTAGGATCTGTCTTTTAAAAACGATGTGGCAGCTCACCTTCGATGAGCTGGGGAAATGAATGAAAGGCATTCAGAAAAAATCTCTCACCCTCCAGAAAAATTAAAATAAAAGGTACATTTGCAGAATTCTTTGAAGGGTCAGCCTCACAGGGAGGGGTTGTGTTTTCCTCCTCCATGCTAACCTCCAAGGGGAGGGAGATGGTACAAAAGACAGGAATGTTTACAGGGGGATAGTACGTCCTCCCCACATACACACACAAACACACAATCAGACATGCACACACAGTCACTTTGGTTTTCTTCAGTTCTCCATCCCAGTCCTGACACCCATGAATTGAGTCGAACCCTTTCAGAAGCTATTTATATTTTCTGCTTGTCCCACCTCTTGAGGTTAGATGGTCCATAAGTTTACAAGCTTCTGTGTGAAGTTGCACTTCTTTCTCTGGATCTTAAACTAGCCCCATAAAAGCTTCAAAGAGAACTACATGGAAACAAGGAGACATAAAGAGAACACAAGGTAGATAAATTCAGACTCAGAACTAGGTAACAAGTACACCAGAGGCAAAGTCTGAAATCCCTGCAGGCGGAGGGTTAAAGGTTTCAGTGAAGATTGCAATACAGGCAAATCAAAGGAGTTTTGCGTTTCTGGTGAGGAAGGTTGGGGAAAACTGTCCTGGCGTCTCTTCCTTTTACTCCCTGAGGGCTTCCTGGGGTAAGCAATATCTCCCAAGCTGCCTGAACACAAGACAGCTTTGGCAGTGTGGGCCAGGAAGGGTGCTCTGGACAAAGGGTTGGAGGTGGAAAGGGGATGAAGGAATCCAAGAGTGAGATGGGAATCACCAGGGGTGTTTCTCAGCCCCGCCAGTCTGACGTCTTCATCTGAGCCAGGATCGTGACAATCCACTGGCCCAAGAAGCAGCCAGGAGCCACAGATCCCACTCTGGGCCACTGCAACTATGGGCAGGGATGGAAGGGCTCCCTCAGGCACTGCTGTCCATCCACAGGGATACAGCCCCACTGTGTCTCACCATTGCTCCTTCCAGCCCCTCGCCAGGCACCTGGTGCCCCTGCTCTCCCAGCAGCCACCTTTGTGGCTTTGCTGGTCTAGTGTCCTACTGAGCATGTTGGCAGTGGGGCCTGACAGTTCCCCTTATTTGTCTTCCAGACTGTGCCTCCAGACTGTGACCTGTGGGTGTCAGACTTATACACAGACCCACCTAGAAGGGCAAATTTTTGCACATAGGACCAGAGCTCAAGCAAGAAAAAAAAAGAGGATGGCAGGTGTGAGATAGGAAGAAGAGTGGTTCAGAGCCTCAGAGGGGCACTGTGGGGATGAAAGCACTCCTTGCAGTGGCTAGCACTATGGTGTCCAAAAGTGGGCTAGAGACTCAGATACCGCAGGAGCCTAAGTCATGCCGTCTGCTCTTTAGGCTTTATGATCCAGTGTGGTTGGGGTTGGGGATTACAAACCAGAAATAATTCGAGGGCAATGGTAAGGGCAGGTGAGGTAGAGATGACTGCCATCGATGTTCAGAAAAGGGAGCTGTCACCAGGGGCTGTTGGAGTGGGGAGAGGCAGGGTGGGGTAGCAGGAGACTGCTAGCTTGGTGGCAGAAGACATAGCTTGGGATCCCAGCCCAACCACTTACCAGGTGTGTACCATGAGGTCCCTGAGTCTCAGTTTCCCTCGTGGGTAAGACGGACTCAATAGTACCTCTTCTCAGCACCATGAAGGGCCTGGCTGGGTACGATATGCAGTAGGTGCACCATAGATGCGTGTTTCCTCCCTTCATTCCATGAGGGAGGCAAGCCCTGAGATGGGACCTAGAATGGGGCATAGAGCCGGTCGCAGGCCTCAGTTCCTCTGCATCATGGGGCAGGAATTGGAGTTGGTGGGGGTGCAGTTGTGAGTGCTCCCCAGCCCGAGTCTGTCTCCCTCTTCTGAGTCGGGGCCCTCTAGTATTGGAGGTTAAGAAGGTTCTGATCTATCACTCCACAGCCCATGCTGCCCGAGTCCCTCCATTCCCTTCCCAGACAATTACAAAGCCTCCACAGTCAGTACCCACTGGCCAGGTCACATGGGAGGGCTGCTACAGTCACATGGCAGCTCTGTGTGCAGGCAGTGTGCGCATCTGTTCGGTGGGGCTGGGTGTGAGACACAGGGGAAGTCATTATATCCTCATCTTGGATGCAGGCAACTAACCATAAGAGACATCCTTGCACTAATGTGATCGCAGAGGATGCTGAAATCAGACTTGAAAGATAAAGAGCTAAGACTGGGGTTGCCCCCTCCCCAGCAATGCCTGCAGCCTTGTGAGTGATGAGGCTCCATCATTAAGGGTGGGGAGAAGGTGGCACCCAGCGATCTGTGTCATGAGTGATCTTTCTCCAGGACCCTGGGGTCAACTAGTCCCCAGTCCTGGCATCTGATCAGACCCAGCGTACTTGGCTGGATGGCTGGGGAATTGAGATGTGGCCTACCCCTATTGGAAACAGGCAAACTTGCCCTGCCAGATGGAGTGGTTCTCAACCTGATTTGCTGCAAAATGCAATGTGTGTATTCCCCTCTATCAAAATAAAATAGTACAGACCAAATAAGCTTTTTTCAAGAGTTACGGCTATGTGTCTGGCCTTTGTATTATTTTGGTTGAGCACAGACATATGTGCTCATGGACATATATGTACACACATGCACACAAACACACACACAGCAGGGAACAAATCTCATCTCAGTTCTGTGACATGACACATCTCAGTGAGTTGCAAGTCTGTGCCCCACGCTGTGCCAGGGGAAACTGAGGATGGAGAAAGAACCTCAGGCACAACAAAGGAAACGCCTGGAGAGTGACCTGTGTGTGGAGGTCAGTGAGGGGCTGGGATTGACATGGGGAAGAGGCGTTTGCAAGCACCACGTGAAAGAAAATGGTGATTTGGACCATGGTGGCGGGGACAAGAAGGCGTGAGGTTAAAGGCATGTTTTGAAGAAAGAATCAATGGGATTTTCTGACAGTTTACTTGGGGCTGTGAGAGAGAGGAGTCAGGGATGATGTTCAAGTTTTTGGCCTGAGCACCTGGATAGTGGATGACTGGACCAGAACCCAGAGGCTGGCTTTCAGTCCTGACTATGACACTTGCCTCTGTATGACGTAGCACAAGTCATCCGAATAAACTTTACCCCATCTCTAAAGTAAGAGCAACAATCTCCCCACTCCTACCTTCCTTAGATTTTCCTAAGGATGAAAGCAGGTCACATAGGTCAGGGTGTCAGGGTTCTCCCAGCACGTCATGAGGATTACCACAGAGGGCTGGCTCAGCGATGGAACGGGCTGCCTTGGCAGACACAGAGCCCTTGGTCCATGAGAGGGCTGTGGGGCGGGTTTGCCAGGTGGGAGTGGCAAGTGGGATGAGGAAGAACGGAGGAAGGAGGAAGGAGAGTGCTGCTTCCACAGCCCAAGCACTGAGACCTGAGCTGGGGCTTTGCTGTGTATTTGGGAACTGTCACTGCAGAACAAGACGGGGCTGCTGCATCTGAGGAAGCTTCAGTTGCAGCTCCCAAGCTCCAGAGGACCATTCCACGAGCCCACCCACCCAAGTCACAGCACCCACACAAGTCTGCTCACTTCTCCTCCATGAGAGAACATTCCTGGGGAGTTGAAAAGTCCCTCCTGTGGGGCTTGGATGGCAAGACAGAAACATAAAGGCCAGGCATTGGCGTCATGGGGAGGAAGAACAGATGGGCGGTGAGCCTTGCAGGAAGGGAGCGGGAGGCATGGGGTGGGCAGGGCAGGGAGGCCACCAGAGTTCCCGGGGCCTCTGCAGCCACTACCAGTTCTCTCATACTGGGCAGCAGCGTGGGCCCAGCCAAAGCACCTGAGTCCACTCTGCTGCCCACACAAGCCCGTGGCAGAATGGCAACGAAGACAAGCCTACCGTCTGCATCCTCCTTCCCTCCTCCCCTCAGTTCCTCTTCACTCCAAGGATGGGGGACCTCTTCAGGATGTCCCCCCACCCTCAAGCCTTCCCCCAATCCACCCAGCCCCAAGATTAGGAAGGCAGAGCCAAAGACTTTTAGATCTCTTTTCATCCAGCCTCCTACCCATCCAGCCTCCCACCCATCCAGCTTCCCATCCATTCAGCCTCCCACCCATCCAGCCTCCCACCCATCCAGCTTCCCATCCATTCAGCCTCCTACCCATCCAGCCTCCCATCCATCCAGCCTCCTACCCATCCGGCCTCCCATCCATCCAACCTCCCACCCACCCAGCCTCCCATCCATCCAGCCTCCTACCCATCCAGCCTCCCATCCATCCAGCCTCCCACCCATCCAGCTCCCAGCCAGCCTCCCACCCAGCCTCCCATCCATCCAGCCTCCCACCCATGCAGCTTCCCAGCCAGGGGCCCCTAGGTAGCCTTTCTCCAAGTGTATCCAGCTTTGTTTGCACACTTGGGATGACAAGAGTCTTATCATTATGCAAACATCTCTTTTCATTTCCTCTGGACCCTAGTTGTTAAAACACACCTACCACACCCACTAGGATGGCTATCATTAAAAAGACAGATAATGAATAGTGCTGTCCAGGATGTAGAAATCGACTCTCATTCATTGCTGCTGGGAAAATATAAAATGGGGCAGCCACTTTGGAAAACAGCATATAGCAGTTCCTCAAAAGGTTAAACAGAGAATTACCAGCAATTTCATGCCTGGGTATCTACTCAAGAAAAAGGAAAACATACATCCACGCAAAAACTTATGCATGGATGTTCACAGCAGCATTATTTTTAATAGCCAAAAAGCAGAAACAACACAAATGTCCATTAATGAACAAAACGAATGGATAAATAATGTGATATTTCCAGACAATGGAATATTATTTGGCCATGAAAAGGGATGAAGTACAGATTCATGTTGTGACGTGGATGTGCCTTGAAAATATTACTAAGTGAAGGAAGCCAGTCAAAAAAACTACATATTGTATGATTCCCTTTATATAAAGTATCCAGAATTGGTAAATCCATTGAGACAGAAAATAGATTAGTGCCGGGGGAATGGGGTAGGCTGTTGGAGTGATAGCTAAAGGGTGTGGGATTTCTTTTGGGGATGATGAAAACTGTTTTAAAATCAACTGTGGTGATGGCTGCACAACTTTGTGAATATACTAAAAACCACTGAACTGTACATTTTGTATGGGTGAATTGTATGCTCTGTGAATGATATCTCAACAGAGCGGTTGCAAACACACACACACACACACACACACACACACACACACACACACACACACACTTGCTATCTTGTGTGGAACTAGGATGACCAGCTGTCCTAGTTTGCTAAGACTAAGGGGTTTCCCAGGGCATGGGACTTTCAGTGCTAAAACAGAGACAGTCCTGAGAAACTGGGATGGTTGGTCACACTCTGTGGAACCCAAATCTGCCTCTTCATAATGTTTACTGACTGGTTTGAGGTCTCCCCCTGGAGCCACCCAGAACACATCCAGGCCCTACCCCTGCCCCAGGAGAGCCCAGCTTGAAGAAAGCCACAGGGAAAAGCCTAAACCACCTCCACAGAGCTAATGTCCTCTGCCCCTCACCATGTCTGCATATGTGAGGAGTGGGGTCCCCTCACCATTCTGGGGGCCTCTACAGAATGGGCTGTGCTTTGTAGATAGGTGTTTGAAGGAGGGAACCTGAAACAGAATCCAGCACCCAGCGGTGTTTACCCATGCAAGGGGAGCAGAGTCATTACCCTTTGAATGGAGATTATTTCTCCGCTAATGTAATCACAGTGCATTGGCTTTTGGGGGGAAGCCATATCTTGACATGTAGTCCTAGTAAGACCTCTAAATTGTTTGTATGTGGACTTCTCATTTCCTTTGCCACTTTTCCCTACTGATTTTGATCTGATTCTATTTCATTTTCTCTCTGATTCATTCATTTCTTTTTAATCTACTTATTGAGGGCGGGGAGCAGTGGCTCATGCCTGTAATCCCACCACTTTGGGAGGCCGAGATGGGCGGATCACCAGGTCAGGAGTTTGAGACCAGACTGACCAACATGGTGAAACCCCGTCTCTACTAAAATACAAAACAATTAGCTGGGCATGGTGGTGGGTGCCTGTAATCCCAGCTACTCGGGAGGCTGAGGCAGGAGAATCACTTGAACCCAGGAGGCTGAGGTTGCAGTGAGCCGAGATTGCACCACTGCACTCCAGCCTGGGTGACAGAGCAAGACTCCGTCTCAAAAAAAAAAAAAAAAAAATTATTGAGCACCTACTATGCACAATAACACTGGGATACCACCATGGACAGGGCCTGGTCTCTGCTGTTAAGAAACTCATAGTCTCACTGAGGATTCTAGACCCTTACACAGGTAATTAGGATGCTCTGAGAGAGATGTTGGGATTGCAGTGAGCATAGGGAATAGCCTTCAACCCCAGTCTTGGGTGTCGGGAAGGCTCCTTGGAGGCAAGGGCCCAAGGACTGATGGATGAGCAGGCAAAGTGGGGAGGGATGTAGGGCTGGAAAGGGGGCTCCTGCTCAGGGAACAGCATGTGCAAAGGCCAGGAGCAAGAGAAAGCATGACCCCACCAGCTGTGACACGGCTAATGGAAAAACCAGCATAGAGTAAGGTGTTCATGAACAGGGTGTATTTTATCTGGAGCTTCTGGAAGTAGTTCCTCTATCTTGTCTACTAAATAATAATATTAATAATAACAATAATAGCTCCCATTTATTTACTGACTACTACTTAGGCACTGTACCAGGCTCTTTTCATGTATAAGTTTTAAACCTTACAACGACCCTACAAAGTAGATGTAAAATTCACAGTTTACAAAGTAGGAAATGGAAGCTCAGAAAAATCAAGAATTGCCTAGGGTTACACAGTTAGTAATTGGTGAAACTGAGTTTTAAGCCCAGGACCTGATTCTAAAGCCAGGTTTCTTGCCAGCAGTGCTTTGAGTTAAGGGGTTGGGGGTTTCAGTGAGGCAGGGGGAAGTGTGGCTCCCTGCTCCGTCCCTCCCTTCCCCCTCTCCTTCGTGGAGTGAGGCAGGTGGTGTCTGTGGGGCATGGGCCTCCTATTCTGGCCTGCCTAGGATAGAGCCCATAGGAAGCCATTTACTTAGCTGGAGTGGAGGGGCAGGTGTAGGGATAATTTCTAAGGAATATACGTCTTGTTCATGTGTTCATACGTGCTGAGTTACTGGGTCCCAGGTGTTGGGTTTTGCTAATCCCAATACATTGGGAATTGTTTAATAGGATTTTTTCCTTTTAATTAAAATATGATAATGAAACTTGCCGCTCCACTCTTAAAAAGGAATGCTTGAAATACTCACCTATTCCCCAAATGTTCTGGCCAGGAGACATATGGATGTAATTCGATGCAATGTAGCCATCATGCAGATGAAAGGCTCGGTTTTTCCTCATTCAGATAAGAACTCCCATCATTTATCTTACGAACCTTCCCTATTTCTAACCCCCGCCTCACCAGCCAGGGCAAGGTCCCTGGCTTCAAGGAGCACAGCAGGATGGTCGGGGGACCAGTTGTGATCCGCACATATGCAGAAGGGAAATTACTAAAACCTCTGCCTCTGAACACAGCTCAGTTGCATGTTCTTTGTAGGAATGGGGTAGGGATGAAAGAAATGAAGGGCTGAGGGGTGTGGGAATGGGACTCACCCCTGGACAAGTCCTTTATATGACCTGGACCTCAGAGACTCCCCCTGAACCCCAGCTGTAGATATCCACGATTGTAACCTGATTTTGACTAAAGCAGCGTTTCCCACCCAGCGTTATGACTTCACTACATCACCACCTCCTCCTTTGCATGCCATCAAGGGTGATGTCCTCTTTTCCCTCATTTCTTCTCCTTTCTCATAAACTCTGCCCTTTTTTTGCCTTCTCCCTCTTCAACTTTGATCGATCTCCTTTGCCCTTTCTCTTTTCCTTCCCATCTCTTCTGTTTTGATCCCTCTGATCTCCCTTTTTCCTTTCTCTTTCTTCATTTCCTTTTTCTTCTCTCCCCTCCTCAACGAATATTATTCTGAGCCTCGTCCCCTCCTTCCCCTGACCCCTGCTGCACCCTGGGAAATGGAGAATTCACCAGTGAGTCACAGAATTAAACACACACGCACACACACACACACACACACACACACCACACACACTAGGACGTTCTGCACTTAAAGCCATAAAACTCAACCACTGGCACCACATCCCTTGGATATCCGGGACTCTGGCGCTGTGAAAAGACAACCCACAGCTCACTAAATTCCTGACCAGCCAGGGATGAAATGGTAAAACTGAATTTGCCTGGAAAGAATGGGCGAGTAGAGCTGGGGCTTTCTGTCTCCCTCCCCATCCGCTCCTCCTCCCACTTCTGTGCATCAAACTGAATTTGATTGTGTGCCGCTGCAGAACATCAAAGAGCAAGAGAATTGCTTAAGAAGAAAATATTGGGGTTATGCATTTGAGAGCAGCCTGTGCTTCCAGCCACCTCAGGGGCTGCGCATCCATCTTTAATCAGCCCCCGAAAGGGCGATTTGCTGACTGTTGTGCGACCTATCATGGGTTTGGTGGGCAGCAGACATGATGGTGCCAGCTGAGGGAGGAGAGGACTTATGGCGTGGCCACACTCGTGCCCTGTGCCTTGCCACAGCACTGCGCCAGAGACAAGATCTGATGTCAAGGCCCATTTACTGCCAGAGGCTTTGGCTCTTGAAAGCCACCAGACTTCAACTCCTTCTGGGACCAGGAAAAGAAAGACAAGTCCTGAAACGAGATGAAGCTCAGGATGTCCAAGCTCCAACCTGCGACCCACCACCACGACCGCAGCCTCGAGGAGTAGGGGACCACCTTGCAGCTGGGGACCTAGAGGGACAGTTGTGTTGGCACCGCTGAAGGGGATGGGAGGAGTTGGCAGGAGGGAAGAGGATTTGCAAGTGGATGTGGCTTTGGGAGCCTGTGGATCAGCTACTGTCACCAGAGTATTAAGGCAAAATCACTAATGCAAATTCCAGGCAGCACAGACTCAGGCTTACTCCAGGGCCCTGAGCAACTGGAATTAAATCCCCAGGCCCGCCACATCTTGCAGCATGTGTTACCTTTGCCTGGCCCCCTAAAGCTTCATCTAGGAGCTGGACGGGCCTTCGGCAGGGCTGTCTTGCCAAGCCAGACAGAAGGGGGAACACAGTCACAGTTTAATGCCACCATATGAAGCGGAGGCTGGAAAGGGTATATCATTGTGACTAGAGGTCACACAGCCAGTGACAGTGACAGCCAGGCCAGAACTCGAGTCTTCCTGATGCCCACTGGCCCTCTTTCTGCTCAGAGCAGGATAACCTTTAAGGTATCCAAGATTCCAGCCCACAAGAAGCACAGCTCCCGTCCACACTCTCCTACACCTCCAGGAAGCTGCATGAGGGAACTGAATCATCCCTCTCCCTGTCCTTGATGCTCCGTGACAGTCCGGTCCCCCTCTGCCCTGGGTCGGGAGCCTCTGGATACTTGCCGCTTGCCTGCTAGACTGTGATTTCCTCAAGGCAAGTGTAAAACTGGATTCATCATTGTGTCCTCCACAATCTCCAGCACGGTGCAGGGCATGTGATAGGTTATTAATACACAGTTGTTGAAATTGAACTTGAATCTGGCCCCTCAGGCATGCACATGGTACCATTCAGAGAACAGGGTCCCATTCAGTGACCACACATGCCAAAGCGCCTGCCCTGCCCTCCCCTCGCAGACCCCACTTAGCAGGCATCAAAGTCTGGAGGACACGAAGGGCCACTAATCAACCAGGTGGGCCTGCACCTCTGCCTCGCCCTCCAAAAGGATGACATTCTGCCTGCCGTGCTGCGTTTCGAACAGACAAGTGTCTTCCCCCTACCCTTCAATCCCAAGGAGGGATTTGCACTTTGATTATTTTTGAAAACAGGTTTGTGAAAAATTTGATTTGAGAAAACATTCTTCTCCCACATGCTGAAGGATTGAGGGTCTGTAATCCCTTTCAAATCGCCCAGACGAGGTTGGTATTGCAATGTCAGTATCAGAGCTAACAAAGGGGATTAGCAAGGAAAATTCTGCGTGAAAACCTGCCACGCGCTGAAGGCTTTCAGTGTAAAGCAGATAAGATAGGTACAGCCAAGCCATTTTTAACCCAGTTTTCAGAGCACTCAGAGCCCTCTTTCTGTGTTGACAGGGAGCAAAGGCTGGATTTAGCCGTGTCTGTCCCCTCCCTACCCCTCCAGCTCTTGCAGTTGGGAGGAGGAATCTCTTTCACTGAAGGGTGGCCAGACCCAGGCTGGCCAAGGTGTGGCGAGGCAGGAAGGCCTGACTTCTCAGGCAAAGGTTGCCCAGGTTCCCACAGAGAGACAGGCCACAGAGAGACACACACTGTCCCCAGACAACCACCCTTCTCAGGCCACAGAGAGACACACACTGTCCCCAGACAACCACCCTTCTCAGTGGAGTTGTCACCCCCAAATTCCAGATGACAGAGAAAGAGACCTGGCTTTGTGCTATCTTTCCTGACCAGAAGGCTGAAGGGCAGGTGACAGTGTCCCAGGGTTGAAAGGATACTTACAGCCTGCCAGGCCCGTCCTTTCCCAAGCAGCTGTATGACCTAATGGTTGGGAACTCCAGCTTTGAACTTACTACTCACTATTTGTGTAAACTTAGGCTTAAGGTAACTCCTGGAAGCCTCAGTTTCCTTTTCTTAAATAATGTCCTCCTCTTAGTTTTATTGAGAGAATTAAATGATACATATAGGGCCCTTTTCATGATGCCTGGCACATAATAAATGGTAGTTACTATTATTATGAATTAATTAGTATTACTGTTAGATACGGAGAAATCAAAGCCCTTCCAGGGCAACTGACCCACGCAAACCTGAACTTTTTGAATGGGGAAAATTCTTGCATTCATTCCCCTCAACAAAACCCCATTTCAGACCTGACCAAATATCAGGGCCATGCCATAAAACTCAAAGCAAGTCTACTACGGCTCCTACTTACAAGCACTTGTGTTTTTGACCACATTGGCTGGTGGCATATCGGCTCCCAGGAGCAATCCCTTTTATGGCCTGCTGCACCCTAGGATGAGCGGGGGGCCAGGCTGGTGGGAGGGGCAGGAAACTCATCATATGAGCAAAGTTTAAACAAGAAGGCTTCAAGAAAGCCTCATAGTTCCTGTCTTCAGGTGCCTACAGGCTTAGGGGAAAGCTGAGCTAGTGTCAAGGTAAGGGTCAGAGGGAGCTGATTCTTGCTCACCAAAACCAGCAGCAAGAGCAGCCTGAAAATGAACTGGCCTCTCTCGAGAAGTGGTGAGCTTCCTGGCCCCAGGAGCATCCAAGACCGCATGTGGCTATCCTCTGATAAGGAGGCTTTAGGAGACATTTCCTTATGAGGAAAAGGCTACAACAAGTTTACTGCTGATGTCTCTCCTAACTCTAATAGTCCGTGATGACCTGGGGCCAGTGACTGAGAAAAGCCTCCGGTCGTGTCTGCTGAGCAGGGATAGGACTGTCGACATCGGGCAGAGTTCCTAACCATTAGGCTATATGGCCACTGGGGAGAGGGCTGGGCCAGGTGAGCTGTACGTGTCCTTCCAAACCTGGGCTGCAACATTCTTATCTGCAAGAGAGAGGCTTTGCCGCTCCTCTAAGACCTCCTCCTTCTCTGGCCTGCTAGGGGCCTGTGACTCAGCCAGGGACCTCCTGTCTATAGACCTTCTCTCCTTAGCTTAGGGGCCTTCTCCTCAAGGACAGGCACCAGGTCACCAGCCTCTGTCGCTCCAGAGCATAGCTCAGGGCCTGGCCCAGGAAGAAGCCTCGAAAGTAGGAGTGGCTGGATGGTTAGATGAGTGGATGATTGATTGAAGGAGTAATGGGACATGCATACACACACACACACACACACAGGCACAATCACATGTGTGTGCACATGCACAAGCTCACAGAAATATCTGCCTGCTCCCTATGTCTGATATTCTAATGTATTCTGTTGTTCTCTCCCTTTGGGCTTCTTTCAAAATGTAACTGTCCCTGAAGACACTGGCCTTTAGGTGGAGCTGAACTAATTCTTCTGATCTCCCCGGAGAGCTAGGCCCCAGAAAGTTCTAGGATCCCATGGAGGGGGACACTAAGAAGACTGTTTGGGGTGTGCCAGGTGAACATTGGCTGGAGCCTGCAGCCCGCAGCTCTCCTCTTGGGCTTCCTGGGGAATAGTGGATGTAGCCAGGAACCCTGGTGGGCCTCCCTCTCTCCCTCTGCCCGGGTCCAACAGGCCCTGTGTCTGTGGGAGAGCCTGTCTGGAGTGCTAGAAAAACTCTCATCGTATCTGCTGAGCAGGGACAGTACCACCAGCAGTAAGCAGCAGCAGGAGGCCCCCAGGTAGCTCAGATTTGGGGCTCCCCCAGACTCTTGTGTCCTCAGGCTATAGGGCTATGAGTCCAGCAGAGCTATTTCTCCAGAGGCCCCTTTCTATTTCCTGAGGGTGACTTTCTTCCCTTTCACCCAGCCCTCCCCCGACCTTTGTCACTGCCATTCTCCCTCCTATAAAATATTAGAATTTCATGTTTATGTTTATTGAGTGCCCACTATGTGCCAGGCAACATTCTGAGCACTTATGTGTCCAATTCATTTTGTCTTCATAACCCTTTGACCTAAATGCTGTGATCCCAGTTTTACAGATGAGGAAACGAAGGCACAGAGAGTTCATGCGACCTGCTGAGGTCACACATTTAGGAAGGGTATCGGAGCCGGGCTTTGAACCCAGGCACTCTTCCTCCTGCTGGGCTCTTGCCACCATCTAAAATGGTCCAATGGGGATGCTTTTCAGGAAAGGCTCATTCTCACTCCTGGATCTGGAGTCACTTGGCTTCCTGTTTTCAGACACCGGCCCTGCCTTCTACCACCCTATGCCTCTTTTTTTTTTTTTTTTTTTTTTTTTTGGCCACTTTATGCCTCAGTTTCCAAATCTGTAAGACGGGACTACACCTGTTCTGACTTCACAGGGCCATCATGATCCTCAAGGCTGTGGGGCCACAGAGCTCCGGCAAGACCTGGTGGAGCAAGTGCTTGGTACAAGGCAGGGGCAATAGAGAGACAGGCCCGCCAGGTCCTCCCTCAGCAGGGTGGGCTGTCTCCCTCTGCTGCCTCTCTCCCATGCCTTTCCCTGGAATGGCAGAACTCACTGCCAGGTTTGGGAGTGGAGATCTGTGTGTCTGCAAGGCCACTGAGCTGAGCAGATGTGTGTTGTGTGTGTTGGGCCCACTAGCAGCAAGCAGGCATGTGACGTGCATTCGACGCCTGTTCAGGCAGTGCAGTCGGGCTCACTTGTGTCTGTCTTCCTGCCTCTTCCCCTCTCCCCACTCCTCCCTCCAGCAGGTGAGGGAACTGTACGAAAGAAGAAGAAGGGGCACTGGAATGGGAGATGTCATTCCTGTGCCCTGTGGGGGACAGAAGGGCAGGAGGGGTGACATCTCGCGCTTTCTCCATGGGGACACTGCAGGTCTGTCTGCAGTCTGCTGCTCCCTTGCCTCACTGTGCTGTCTCTCAGTTCCTGTCGGGCTTAAAGAGGCAATCTTCTCCCCATCTCTCTCTTTTTTGGAGACAGTGTCACCCAGGCTAGAGTGCAGTGGTGCAATCCTAGTTCACAGTAACCCTGAACTCCAGGGCTCAAGCAGTCTCAACCCTGAACTCCTGCCTCAGTCTCCTGAATAGCTGGGGCTACAGGCATATGCCACCATGCCCGGCTAATTTTATTTTTATTTTTTGTAGCGATGGGGTCTTGATCTATTGCCCAGCCTGGTCTCAAACCCCTGGCCTTACACACTCCTTCCACCTTGGCCTCTTAAAGCTCTGGGATTACAGGAGCGAGCCACCATGGCTTCTCCCTGCTCTCTTTTTTCAGTGTCTTTCTCTCTCACTTCCTCCCTCCCACCTTTTCCAAGCCTTGCCTGAGTCTCCCTGACTGTCTCTGAGTCTCCCTGTCTCTGTCCATCTCTCCCGTTGTGTGGGTCTGCCACTTGCAGTTTCTGTTGCTCTCTCTGCCCGGTTGTCTTAGTAATTTCTCATCACCCCTGCCCAGTCTGTCCAGGCCCCCTTGTCTGCTGCTTCTTGGGGTGGGAGAGCACTGTCCTTTGTCCCCAGGGCTCCCCATGTGCACCCATCCCCCAGTACTCTGAGCCCTACAGCACTCAGCGTGGGCAGCCATCAGCTTCCGTGGCCTCCCAGCTTGGGGAGCAGCAACTTGGAGCTTTCCTGTCCCCGGGAGGTAATGGCGGACACTCAGGTCTCAGCACCAGGGATGCCACCTTGCCAAAGCCAAATCTCACACCCCACATGTACCTCCCCGCTTCAGCCTCCAGACAGTGACATATCATAGAGAGCGTAACCAGGTCTCCTTTCTGTTGAGCAGATTTATGCTTGAAGTAGAGCTTCTTCATCTTTTTTTTTAATCCCTGGATGTTTTAAGCTCATTAGCACTGATCAATATGCCATTTCTAACTTCCACCCGAGTTTAGGAAGTTCATGTTCCACTTGGGTTAGCCGTGCTCAGGGCCTGCTGGCTCTGATGCCCATCCTGACCACTGCATCCCTGACTTCCCACCAGAGAGTCTGGGCCAGGTTGGGTGGATTCTGTCTAGCCAGCAGCTGGCTGGGGTGGGATGAGCCCTGAACTAGGAGCCAGGCAGCCTAGAGTCTAGGTCTGGCTCTGTGACCTTGGACAAGATGCTTTATCTCTCTGGGACCTCACTGCCTTCACCTGTAAAATGGGCAGATTGAGCCATCTGGTTTCTAAAAGAAACAACTCCTGCTTCTGGATAGATGGTTCTAGATGAGAGTGTAGGAGGATATAAGTCCACGTATAACTTCCCCTTCCCATGGAAGTGTCCATCCCAGAAGACTGTGCCCCGGGTATACCCTTCACCACAATGCAAGTCAGAGTGACTCCCATTTAAGAATAAACAAGTGCTATGGGACCAGATAGTGCAAGTCCAAGGAGGAGATGCTTCACAGAGGAGCCGGTATGGAGATGGGTCTCAGAGGATGAACAGGAATTCTATACAAGGGGCCAGAATATCGGAATTGACTGGGCTGGAAGTCACTTTTGAGATTCTAGATTTGGGGTTTAGTAAAGGATTTTACATTTTGCACGTGACTGAAACTGGTGCTTCTCCCTGCACGAGGAGGTCGGGCAGGGAAGGTAGAGTGGCCTGTGGCCTCAGGTTCCTGCTATTCCCTCCTCAGCTCAGAGGTCATGAGGATCAGCCGCTCCCCACCCTGGGAAGCGCTTCCTGAACAGAGGCTGCCTTGGTTGTGTTGGAGGGAGCAAGTGGGAGGATTCACTCCATCCTTGCCTAAGTTCCATAAGCTGGTGTGCTGGCAGGGAAACTCTTGGATGGGGGCAACAGATTTGATTCTAGTTCCCTCTTCACATCGACCCAGCAGTATCACCTTGAGCACCTCGGTCTCTCATCTTTGAAGTTGGAATAATGACATGCTGATGTGTCCCTTACAGAAATACTATAAGGTTGAAATGCAATGTGTGATGAAAGGGCTTTATGCAACATAAACCCTTTAAAACATACAGGTATTACTGAGAAGTGCTCAGGACCATGATGGGCTCTGTGGGAAATACAGGGAAATGGAGGGTGCATAGGGGCCCATGGTCCCCATGGGGAAGAAGAGTCATCTTGATTAGAGCTCCAGGGATCTGGAAAATGCAACACTCATGAAGTCTGAGGGGAACATGAGGAGCCTAATGGCTGATAAAAATAGAGGCATGTGGGCAGCGGGGCCTGAGGGGTCCTGCTTTGAGCTAGATGCCCATCCCAGCTCAGCCGCATTCAGCCTCAGTCTCCCCAACTCCAAAATGAAGGTGTTGGAACCGCCTTCAAAACTTCTGTGAGATCATATATACAAAGTGCCTGGCGCAGGAGTTCCCGAAGCTCCCTCCTGGACACTGTGAGGATGAGCTCAGTTACGGAGGAGCTGAACCAAGCCACGGGCAGCAGACGGGCTTTACATAGAGAGCAGGGGCCCAGGCACTGGGCCGTAGGGAATGGTGGGTGCAGCGGCTCAGGGGAAGGCACGAGTGTGGTGATGTGGGGCTGCGAGCAGTGCGACTGGGCACCTCTCCCGGCATTGTACTCAGGCTGGGGACGACATAGAGGCCTTCAGTCAAAGCCCTGGAAATCAGCACCAGCCCCTGTGCCCAAGACCCATGGGAAACAGGGCAGGGCGAATGAAAACCCACCTCAGATGGTGGTGAGGAAGGAGCTTTTGAAGGAGAATAACGTCTAGGAGGGAGAAGAAGAGGCGGGGTTACTTGTAACCTCTAACAGTGTCTTAGCAGACCGGGGGCGGAAGGGAAAACTCCCGCCATCTCCGTTCTGATGGGCAGGACAACGGGATAAGCACGGTCACATCCGCAAGAGAAGAAAAAGAATAAATTATATTTCTCTTGTAATATGTGGCCAGCTTAAAAAAGAGTTAGAAAATTAATTATCTGCTGTTATTAGTCTAATGACCTATACCATTCGAGGTTATTTACCACAGAAATAAAACTTCCCGCCATAAATGTCAGCTAAGCTTCCTGAATGTAAAGTCTCGCAGGCACCACTGCCTGGAGAACTCAGGCCTGGCTGATTTCTTTTGCGGGTTTCCACCCTCTCTCTTCCTTCCTGGAGGATCAGGGTGCTGGTGGTCAGCAAGTGGCAGGCACCGTGGAGCATAGGATGAGATTTTGCCCCTACTCTGCACCTGCCGCTCATGGCCAGGCCCTCTGAGTCTTGTCCCAGGTGGTCACAATGTCAGGGCGGTCCCTGGGGCCAGTAGTCCAGGGATGTGGGGTGGTCCAAGGTGTGGGGCTCTGGAGACATAGGGACAGTGGGTGCCTGCAATGATGATGGGAAAATAAGCGCCTCCTGCATAGAGAGCGCTTGTTTGGGTACAGCTCGAGAATCCGCCACATGCTTTGATGTGCTATGCCCGTTCCATGAGAAGGCAGGCAGCATGACCAGCACCCTTTATGAATAAGGAAACAGAGGCCCAGAGAGGAGACATGACTGCCCCAGTGAAGCGAACAGCCTGGACTCTTTAACTACCTGATAATGGCCCACTCATCTAACTTTGCCCCACTATCAAATCAAGAAAGTATAAATCTTTGGATTAAGAGGAGTGGAGCACCCCTGAAAGCAATCAGGCAGCAGCATGAAATGCCTACATTTGCTACTCAGGGCCCTGGCAACATGGCACAGGGTCCTTTCTGCTTAAGGAGTAGCTTTCTAGGCAAGCCCTTTACTTTGTGTAGCATCCCCAGGGGACCAAGGTTGAGCAGGGGCAGGTGATAACTTGGGCTGATTCTTTGACCAGGTCTCATGCCAGAAGAAGGAGGGGGGGGGGTCTCAGCAAGAGTGGGCTGTGCTAAACACCGCCCACTAGGCATTTTTAATCTCTGGCCTGGAGCTCTGGTATGAGGGTATTCAGCATCCCTGTACCCAGAGCTCAGCTCCAGATAATGGGGCAATGTCCCAGAGGCCTGTGGGAAACCCAGCTGCACAGGCACTAGCCTCAAAGTGTCCATAGAACCTACCTGGAGACAAATGCCTCCTCCACCGATGTCCAGACCATGCCCACAGGCATGGGACCAGCGCTTCTGTCATGGGTTTTAGGGGAAGATGCGCCTCATAGACTGCCACAGCCCCAGGATTAATAGTGTTTCTGATAGGGGACATTGATGGCATTTGGATCTGCACCGTACTTCCTTGGGCAGGATTGCCCCACACATTACAGGCTATTTTGTGTCCCTGGACCCTGCCCACTAAATGCCAGTAGCACCCACAGGCATTGTTAGTAAGAAAATGCCTGACACATTTTCCAACAGCATTTTGGGGCAATGCAAAGTCTGATACAGAGATCTACCATGGAGACGCCTGCAGGAGGCATCTTCATTTTCGACAGTCAAGGCCAGCCCTACCTCAAGCTGTGCCAAGTATGAAGAGCATCCTCTCTGCCCTGGACGCTAGGGCTGACCTGCTGAACAGATGGCCTTGACCATGTTGGGTCACACCACTGGGACCCAGTTTCCTCCTTTCTAAAATGAGGGGGCCCCTCTAGCTTGAATATGTTCACACTTCTCCCCTGCGTCAGGCTGTCAACATGGCTCAGTGTTCTCTCCCCTGCTCATCAGTCATTTATAGCTTAGCATGAATGTGAGTCACTCTCCTTCTTCTCCCAAGGGCATTGCTGTTTTAAGCCTTATCTCTCATTGTGGAATAAAGAGCTTTGTCCCTGCGAAGGAGCTGCAGGTGTTAGGAAGTAGGTGGGAGAGGTGTTTTGAAAGCCAGAGGGTACTTTCCCCGGGCCTGAAATCCCTTTACTCGGTGGTTGTGCTCAACTGGACTCCTCACTCCAGCAACCCATGAGGCCCCCACAGAGAATACATGTGTCTGGGGTGGGAGAGGTAGAGACTAGGGGTGAAGCAGAACTCCCTCTCTGTAGGAGTCCCAGACCAGTGATTCCCAGACCTGACCACACGTTGGAATCACCTGGGGGTCTCTTAAACCATCCAAAGCCCCGGCCACACTCCAGACCAATTAAATTACAGTATGTTGCGGGAGACCAGGCATGGGTGGGTTTTGAAGCTCCTTGGGTGATTCCAATGTGCACACAAGTTCAAACATCACCAATCTAGACCCAAAATCCAACCCTGCCTCCCCAACTCTTGTTCTGTCTCTCCTCTGCCAAGCCACAAATTAATCTGTGCCCCTGCCAGAGAAATCTTTGCTAGATGTCTTCTCTTCCCAATGGGCTGGCTCCTGAAGCAATGATTCTAGCTGGGGGTTGCATTTGACCCCAGGGCTTACCAGGTCTCTCCGTGGGAGTGAGGAAGGAGCTTTTGAAGGAGAATAACATCTAGGAGGGAGAAGAGTGCTCCTGGGGCCAGGCTTAGGAGTGAACAAGTTAAAGGGCCAGGTGATGACTTCCAGGCTCTCATCTGGGGCCACGAGTGCGCATGTGAGTGCCTATCATAATAAAGGACTATCTCACCCATACTCAAGCCATAAAAAAAGGCCAAAACACAAAACCCAAAAGGGCCAAATCCAAGTGCACCTGATGCTTTAAACTTGTAATGCACTGACTTTCCAACCTTCGCCCCCTCAAAGCTTATTTACAGACAGGTTTTGAGCTCCCAAGTCCCCTTCTATTTGCAGATTAATAGTGCCTTTCCATTCACTACTCTATCAAGAGCCACAAGGTCAGGAATGACTCCAGTCATTCTTAGGGGCCTAAAGAATAAACACCTCCTGTTGCAGGCCTCGCTGAGGTGGCCCCTCCTGGCTCTGCTCCCCATCCTTCCCCCTGATCTCTGTGAACGCCTGTGATGCTGTCATTCCGATTCAGCTGATTTCAATCAAGTTGAAGCTGGTGGGTGGCTTTGCAAGTTGGCTAGACTTATTTTAATTTGAAACCAACAAATGGTAAAAAGAAAGTTAATCATTTAGTGAAGGTAACCTGTTCTATTTTTTCACTGCTCCTCCTGCACAGAGAGCTCTCCCTCCCACCTGTCCTTTATGGTACCTGGGTGCCCATTATTATTCTCTTTGCACTAAAGGCTTGACAGCTCCTGTGAAATTGTAACTATGTTTTTATGCAGGGGAACAGCAAGCCATTATCCTCCAATAGTGTCTTAACACATGTTATTCAGATGAGTCAGCATTCTGTGATGGAAGTACCTAACTGGTCTCAGTGTCAGAAGACTTGGGTTCAAGTCTCAGGTGTGTGATCTTGGGCTACCTCGTCTATTGGGAGATGAGGTTAACAATAATAACCAAAAATTATTGAACATTTGCTATATAGCAGGGGCCAGGCTAAGTCTTTTAGAGGCATTGATTAATTTAATCTTTATAACCATATGATGAGGTGTAGGTGTTACTATTATCCCCACTTTAGAGCTTTAGAGGCAAGGAAACTGGCTCTGTTTATTTCACTTTCCCAAGGTTCCACAACGGGTGAGTGACAGAGCTAAGACTATCTAACCCTAGATCCCATGCTAAGGGGCCTTCCACTGCAAGTTTAGCATGTTAGGCCAGGAGCAGTGGCTCACACCTGTATTCCCAGCAATTTGGGCAGCCGAGGCGGATGGATCACTTAAGGTCAGGAGTTCGAGACCTGCCTGGCCAACATGGCAAAACCCTGTCTCTACTAAAAATACAAAAATTAGCTGGTGTCATGGCGCACTCCTGTAATCCCAGCTACTCAGGAGGCTGAGACAGGAGAATCACTTGAACCTGAGATGTGGAGGTTGCAGTGAACTGAGATCACGCCACTGCACTCCCAGCCTGAGTGACAGAGCAAAACTCTGTCTCAAAAAAAAAAAAAAAAAGAAAAGAAAAGAAAAAAGAAAAAAAAGAGTTTAGCATGTTAGACACAGATGCCCTTAAACATGGCAGGAGATTTCAGTTGATGCTAGTTGACGAGAAGCCAGGGTTCTCATGTCTCATAGGAGAGAGAAGGCATAGGCATAGGACTTTGAGATATTAAATAACCTGCCTGAGACCGTAGAGCTAATAAGTGCTAGAAGCAGGATTTGGGCTGAGACCTGCCTAGTGTAAGGTCAGCACTCATAATGGCTACCCTAGCCTGCCCAGTAGAAGAGCATTTATATGTGTACACCTTGCAGCATTTAATACATAGTATGGACTCAGTAAACATAATTATTTATATATAATCTGTATTACTTATTGAATCTGTTACCCGTAGGATCCTTTAGAAGTGCAGCATGGGAAATGTCCGCATGCCAGGTGCCTTGAGGGTGGGGGAGAACGAGGAGCACCAAAATGTAGGTAGTTGAGATGAACTTGAACTTGACCTGCTTCAGTTTTGCTAAAGAGTCTGGGTCTTTGGCTCCCGTCATCCCCAGTGGATCAGGGCTCTGGTCCTTCAGAACTGAATATGCCAGGAGAAACCAGACATAAACTAGAAACAACAGCCCCCTTCCTCCAGGACTCTGGAGTGGAGTGAGAGCCCCAGAATGCACGTGTGAAGGATGGTCCATGTGAGCCTGCGGAGAACAGTCAGGCTCATCGGTGAGGTCAATGTTTTCAGAGGCCCATGTGCAGGATCTGCACATGAGCTGTTAGCTTTATAGGCTCACCACCATTGCCAGCCAGCTCCAGCCTAACTCTGTGCCATCAATCACAGGGGGAAGCAAGGGAGGGCAACTTGGTACAACCTGCCCCTGCTCCTGGAAGACAAATAAAAATTTACATCTTACAGATGGCGGCTTCTCAGCTTCTTCATCTTACACCACAGCAGGTGTGTGTCTCCATGGTGAAGCAGGGTACAGCACAAAGCCGCCTCATTCATGTCTGCAGAGCTTCCAGGCCACCAGCCCTTTGGGATGGACAAAGCTAAATATGGATCTGCTGGGAAAAAAAATCTGGTATTAATATCATCAGTCCTCTTCTCCTTTTAAAGGGGTCCTCATTTTGGCAAACATCCAAGCCTGGACTAGGCAAATGGTCTCTCATTCCACCATTTATTCATCCAGCAAACATGGACTGAGGGTCATCTAAGTTTCAGACCTTGTAGTGTGCTTGCTATAGTAATAAGTAAATATTAAAATAATATTTCAATGTATAGAAAACTTTTTATGAAACACGTCCTTTCATTGATCCTCATGGTAACCTCTTGACAATCCCACTTTTCAATCAGAAAACTGAGGCCCAAGGAGGCTACATACCTTACCCACAACACCTAGCTAATACATGGCAGATTCTTCCACACGTTGTCTTGTTTCACCTTTAAAATAGTCCTGTGAGGTAAATATTGCCTCCTGCATATAGATAAGATCATGAGGTTTTGTGATGTTGTACAACTTGCATAAAACAGCACAGCCAATTCATGAGAGAACCCAGCTTCTAATTCCATAGCTAAGTTCTTTTCCCCAAAAAAATATATATAGCCATATTCTTGGAATGTTAGAGTCCAGTTGAATAACAAGATGCAAGTACATTAACATTTTTTAAAGAAAATGGACCTGCTTTTCCTTTTCCTGAGACTCAGAATCCCCTGGCTTCACTCTTAAAGCACCACTTATCCTCCCTGCCTTCCCCTTTGGTTAAAATGTTCCATGTCTGATAGAGCTGATCTGCTGCACCAGACTTCACAGATAGGTGTCACCACTGAGCCACCTGAAAATTACTTAACTCTAGGGTTTCAAACATTAGCAAATAAATTTATTTCTAGCAGTATATAAATTAAGCATCCACCTGTCATATTTACTTAGAATTGAGCTTTCTGTATGGTCTCAAATGTGTTCATAAGTGCTAAAGGACAACCAATAAAAAGAGTAATAAAACTTGTTAAAATATTTTAAGTAACATGCCTGACAATGCACAGCTAGTAAGTGGTAGAAGCCTTCTTTCAGCAAAGACTTCTAAATGGAGGCAAATTTGGAGCTGGGCTTTGAATGGAGCACAGGTATTTCCCATCTTCAGCTTAATCATCCCAGATGCCATGTCCATAGACAGTAAACCATTTAGCTGAAATGAAGACATTTCTTGCAACCTGGGAGATTTTTGTATCTCTGCTCAAAGCTGAAGTTTGGACTTTAAGTGAACTGTCGTGTATTAAGTATCTACTATGTATGCCTGGTACTACATGAAGCACTTTTACATGCATTACCTTCCTTAATTCTCACAATTTTTCTACACAGTAGTTATTATTGTACCCATTTTGCACCTGTGGAAACTGAGACCCAGAGAGGTTTAGTAACTTGCCCAAGGTCACACAGCTAATAAGTGATGAAAAGGGAATTGGAATTCATCTGTCTGACTCCAAGTCCACTCTTTCTAGTATTTCACACAGACTCTTCATCCTGTGTTTGATCTCCACTTGCCCCCATGGGGAGGGCATCCCATGCTGCCTGTTCAGGCCTAAAACAGGTTTATAGGAGCAAGGATATTTTCTCTGTGACATGCGGGAGGAGAGGACAGCCGCAGGAGAAGGTGCAGCAAAGTAGGGGGCCCCAGTCCAAACGGGTGGCAAACAGACAAGCCTGTCTGAGCAATGGCTTGGAAATCTCCCCTCTGGAGTTAATTTCAGTCACAGTGTCGTTCCTATTAAGTGGAGCAGTTGGTTGGCTGTAGGTGTCAGAATGGCCTTATAAAACTGGAATCCAATCTAATCTTAGGGGAGGTGTGGAGGACAGAGAAAGAGAGGAGAGGGGAGGAGGAGGAGGGAGAGAGAGCTGGCAGTGTTTACAGGTACTGGTAGGGTAAAGAGAACAATTTGTTAGCTCTCCACTGTCGGTGGCTGATGAAATTCAGACCTGGTTCTCTTTTGTATGGGGAAGCTGGATCATGGCCGGCTGGAGCTGCTTCCTCATCTACTTTAAGAGTTTTAGCCAGGGCTTTATCTGCCATTCTGGAAAGGGTGGCACAGTTTAGGAATCGTTCACATATGGGACCTCAAAGTCACTGGGCTGTAATCCACCAGGCTGTTTTTACTCAGCAATGTTTATTGTCTCCAGTGTACCAAGCACCGTACTAAAGATGTTTCACGAAATTTGCTAATTTTTCTTAAATTAGCTAATTTTTCTCACCAATTTATGGAATTGAAATTATTATTCCCACGTAGGCTCAATAAAGCTCCCTGGGGTCTCAAAGCTAATACATAGAAGAGTCAGAATTTGAACTTAGGTATTTTGCTCCGAAGTCCACATGATTGCCCCTGCATCATGCCTCTTAGTGACCTGCCACAAGAATTTGTTGTAGAAAGGGGCCATAAACAAGGTGCCCTGTGACCTGCTATAAATGTGTGAAAGCATAGAAAGATGTATCTATAATCTACTACTCCATCAACTAAAAAGGATGAGATAAAACAAGAAAAACCTTACTTTCCCAAAATGTAACCATTTTTTTTTCAAATCTTCATTTATACCCCTTTAAGTGTACCAACATGAACATTTTGGAATCAAAATATGTTATCCATAATTCACTTTTAAGTTCTTTAGCTGAAAAGGGAACTACAGATTTGCAAAGAGTACAAAAAGAGATTAAACATATTTTCCATTTTCCTCCAAATCTTAATTTTTCTGAAATATTTCTCCACTCTGTGGTCTATAGGGTTACCAAGTATAGACCCTCCAGCCTGGGAGGGTCTTATTCACCAGCACCTTTCCAGGGATGTGGGCCCTGAGGGCAAACCTCCTGAGGCCAGGCCCTCCTGACCCAGGGGCACTCCCTGAGGAAGGTTGGTCTTGGGTGCCCATCGGGTGCCCCAGGCCAATAGCCACGCCTCTGCTGTACCATGACAGCATCCAGGTCTGGCCTTGATGCAGTAGCAAGGCTGTTTCCTAGCGACCAGGTTGGATAGAGAAAGCCTGAGACCAGCCACCAGGGGCTGGAGTAGAGTCACTGAGCACTGGGCCGACTTGGCAGCCCTTACGGGAAGCATATGGGACTGAACAGATGGGCTGGGCACAGGCGCCCCGAGCTAGAACCATAAAGGCAAAAGTGGAGCTGGGGAGGGAACAGAGAGAAAGGCAAAGAAGCCAGGTCAGGAATTGGCTCACTGAGCTGGGCTGGGGCTGGGTGCGTTGGGGAAGGCTTGATCCTGGGATTGTGCAGACAAAGGAGCTCGCCTTCTGCAGTATTCAGCAACCCTATCTGGAAGGTCCCTGTCTCCTGAGAACACCCCCAGTGAGCGGTAGTGGCACTTAAGGCTGTCCTAAGGGGCATTGAGTGACAAGCCCACAAGTGCTGGTCTTGGGCCGCTTAACACAGCCTCCGTAGCAAGAGATCCCATTCCTCAACCCTGTGCTCTCCTTGGCCCACTGAAATGCATCCCCCTCCCTCCCTGCTCCTTGTTTCCCCAGCTCAAATAGAAGCATCTATTTTCCTGCAAAGACAGATTTTTTTTTTTTAAACCAAACCTAAAGGCACTATAAAGAGATGATGAAAGTCACATGGACACTTTAGGGATATTTTATTGTAGGGCTAGAATTTTTTTGCAGCACTATTCTGATGGATGGGTTTCTGAAGCTGGCTTGGAATGGTAGAAAAGGTTATAGGAAGTGGGCATTGTCAGCCTGCGGAAGAGAAGACTCAGGGTGGCTGGGGAGAGTGTGAGTCATAGACAGGTGTTGAAAACTGAAGAGCTGTTATATGAAAGAAGGAATTCACTTATTCTCCAAAGGGTAGAACCAGCAGGTGGAAGTTCCAGGGAAATAAATTTAAGCTCTATTATATGGAAGACTTTTCTTATAATTAAAGCTATCTTAAAATGGAATGGATGCCTTTAGATGGTAGCGAGCTCCCCATCAATGGAGGTGTTCCAGCAAAGACTCAACAACCATCTGGCAGAATGTTGGAGAAGCCATTCAACCATTGAATGAGGTTAGGCCCTTTCCAACCCTGCATGTCTATAACTTTATGAAAGGAGCTGTATTGAATAGCTTAAAAATTTCATTCAAGTAACTCTGAATTTCATGTCCCTAGGCAATTGTCCTTTTTGAATGAGAAGTCATCCTGAAATAGGTATTGTTGAGATCAAAGGTAGCATAGATGAGAGAGAGGGAGAGGGAGAGAGAGACATTATTATAGATCTAGTTTATTACGAGTCTTTGCCAAGTGCTCAGGTGGTGTTGTCCTGCATGGTTACCTGGGCATGGACAGACAGTGTGTCCTTCAACAAGTAGTGGCAGGACCTGGCCCTGCCGACCCCTCCTCCTACCTGGTAGGGGGTAGCGAGGGGAGGCACAGAGTGTAGTGAAGTGTGACACGAGGCATTTCTTTTCTAGCTCCACCATCCTGTGGCCTGGAAACAAAGACTCATTCTGGGTCACGGTGCTTCAGGGAGCTCTGCAGTGAGAGTGTGTGTGTGTGTGTGTGTGTGTGTGTGTGTGTGTGTGTGTGCGTGTACCTGTGTGTTGTCTTGTGGCAGTGTGTTGTGGGTTGTTGTTTTTTTCCTAAATGGCTTAATGCGCCAATGTTTGTGGAGCATCCTTGGAATCAAAGTGTCTTTGGCGTAATTATTGTTAATTGCGCAGACTATTCTATAAACTCATCCAATTAAGAGAAAGTTATTAACTTTATAAAATATCGCAGGCATCCCACAGTGCCGTGTGTAGATGGAATAACAGTTTGAGAGACCGAGTCAGCGTGAAATATCATGCAAATGAGGAGACTTATTTACCTCTTTTTAAAAATACCACAACATGCATACTGAGCGGGGCTGGGTTTTCTCTCAGTTGGCCAGAAACTCCTGGGCCAGTGGCCGAGCCTGGAGGGCTTCCCAGCCCGGCCCAGCTTCCCTCAGAATGGGCCCAGAGGTGCCTCTAGTTGAGTCATCCCAGGAGCTCAGAAGGTGTCCCCAGTTCCTTAGGACAGTCTGAAACACCAGCTCCCCAACCCCTTACCAGCTGTGTGACTTTTCAGTGCCTACCTAACCTCTCTGGGCCCCCATCTTCTTCTCTGCAAACATCAAAATACTGACCTCCTACTGTTGTGAGAATTCAATGAATTGATACACAGAAAACACTGGGAACAGTGTCTGATGTGTAGTGATAGTCAACAAATTTAGTTGAATGATCTTTATTATTGCAAGACTTTTGACTGTAACTCCATGAAAATGTCAGTATATCCCCTGAAGTTTCCTCTTATCTGTTACACGTCTGTAAGAAATTAGAAAGTTCCATAACATAAGTCATTGACAGTATTACTATTTTAAAGTCAATCACGGTTGGGCCATAATTTCTTAAGTAAACATTTTTAATGTTTATTTTAATAAATGTTTTAATATACATGTCAAAGGACACAGATCTTATACAGCTTATTGACTTTTCATAAAGTAAACACATCTGCATAATTGTCACTTAGCTCAAGAAATAGAATATCACCAGCACCCCAGGAGTCCCCTTGTGTTACCCTTCCAGTCACTAACTCCCTCCTCCCCAACCAAAAAAAGCATAAAATCTAATTATGCAAAGTATACTTTTTTGGGAGTCTGGCTTCTTTTGCTCAACCTTATGTTCATGAGATTCATTCATGGGAGATTCATTCATTCAAAACTGGAACAAACTCAAGTGTCCACCAGCAGTAGAAAAACACACTGTGCTATATTCATGTGATGAAATACTATACAACAATGGAAAGGAACAACCTGTATACATCAGTAGCAGTACAGTCTTCCCATTGAGAGCTTAAGGACTGTTTTTCAGGTCTTAGACCAGAGATTACTATAATTCTTGAACCACACACTATGGCTACCCTCCTAATCCCCTGTGTCAGCTCCAGCAGTGGGATCATTTTCTCCAGCTCTGACTCTCCCATAAGTGGTCCACAGCCCAATCCATCCAAATAGTGCCTTTGAGTGAAAACCTTGGGAGGTGGTGAGAACCCCATCACTGGAGGCATCACTAGAAGACACTGGAATCCTGCCTAGAAAGAAGACTCAGGCATCAAATGGCCAATCGGACTGATGATGACCCCAAGATCTCCTTCTTTGTGACTCTGTCAATTACAGGATTACTGTGTCTGATACCCTGAGTGGCTGCAACCACAAAGCCTGGCAGTGGGACAGTCTCAGGGCTGCCTACATTAGAAAAACAATGGTGGTTGTGAGCTGGCTGCCAATCCCAGCTCTGTCCAAGCAAGCAAAAGTTTTCTAGCAAGAAGCCTCATGTCCCTGTTCTGCTGGGGCTCCCTGTGCTACTCCCATCCCTAGTCATAGAAGTGACACTCAACAACTGAACACTCTTCAAAGACCCAAGGGCCACTGATGGGAACCCTAGCCAACAGCTACTTGCTAACCTGGCCCCATCACATGTGGGAAAGTGCATTTGTGAGGATTTCCTTCCCAGGGTAAGGGTGATTTTTTTTTCCCCACCCAAAATACCTGCTTGGGCTTAATTAGCTCCACTCTCCAGACACACTTCCTTCTACAATCTGGTACAACCGGCCATGTTGTTTCACTGGGAATGAGGAACAGCTGGCGACCACCAACACCTGGGGGGTGAGAGACCTGCCTGTACCTCTCCCTAAAACTGCCCCTGAAGACCAACAGGCTAAGAGGCTAGGGTCAGTGGGACTCCCTCCCTGCACTTGCTTCTTATAGTCATGTCTGCTTCCATGAAATCTTCCCCAACTTCAAGAAAATAAACTGGTTCTGGTCAGAAGTTCATGCAGTGAGGGTCACAAGTAGGATTTGCAGCCAAAAGCTACTTCCTCTAGCAGGCCCAGCATCCAGGACCTCAGGATGTGATAGAGGCTCAGGAGTGCAAAAGAAGACAGCTCAGGCCAACCCCTCTTCCTCAGGTAGGAGGGCACACAAAGAGTGTTTTCTTTTATTTTCAACATTATTGTCACCTCCGTTTTCTCATTTCACCTTCGCAGCAGCCAGCGAGTAGGGTACTATTATCTTCATTCTCCAGATGGGAAAACTGAGCCACCAGGGACTCAACTGGCCCTCCCAGGGTCAACAGCTCTTCAATTCCAAGTCTATTGTTTTTAGAAGGACATGTGGTCCAGAGGCAGCCTAAGATGGACTATTCCACTGTTAGATTCTTTACCGGCTTTTTTTCTGTGCAAAATTATCTGGTGCCAAACTGTGCCCTCTGATTATCTATTGGCATCAGAGGTCCCCGCCCTGCCCTGGGCTTGTCTGCAGCCTAACTCAGCCTCAGGTCAGGCTGCCTGCAGGGGCAGTGTTGGCCACACTGTGAGGGGGCAGATGCTGGATCTTGCATAGTGACCATTACTTCTCCTCCCTCCATTCAAGAAATGAGCTGCATTGTTGCAGGTCAACTTCCCTACATGTCAAGACCCTGCTCCAGGCTTCCCACTGAAGCAGGGAAGTCAGACTGCGTTGGGCACTGTGAGGACTGGACCGTTCCAATTTAACTGCTGATTGGCTGCATGACCTTGGGCAAGTCGTTTAACCACATTAAGCCTTGGTTTCTTAAGTCCCACAGGGGACCACAGGGGATAATGACCCCTGCCATACTTTTCTCATAAGGTTGTTTTAAAGAATCAACAACAGGGGATTCAAGGAGGAAGAACAGGAGGAGGTAGAGGAAGAGAAAAGAGAATCAATGGAGACAACTGAAAGCTTTTTGATTAGATAATGTGGCTTTACGTTAGAATCACCACCTGGGAGCTCTTAAAAATCCAAATGGCCACACTGCGCCCCAGTACAATGAAATCAGAATCCAGGCGGTCAGAGGGTTCCACTGGGCAGCCAAGTTAAGAACCAGTGGTGTATATAGCACTCTACCTACATAGGGCTGTTGCACGATTGTCATTTCATTCACTCCCGAGGACACTGGGCTGGTGGACACTGGGGATAGCGATGTGAGCAGATGCAAAGCCCATGTTCTCAAGGAGCTTAGTTGATGGGGAAGACAGGCGTGAGTGCAGAACTGTAAACTGAGAGCCTGCACTGAAGGAAAGAAATGCAGAGAGAGAGAGATAAGGGAGATGCATATATATCTCTCTCCAGGGCAGCTTAGTGGCTTTTCTTCCCTGTAGCCCCTTTCCTCCCACCTTTCCAGGAAAGGAAAAGTAACTATAAATATTTAAAAGTAGCCCCTCCTTCACCCAGAGAGCCCCCAAATTTCCCCACACCCCTGCCCCACCCCAGCAGCCAGATCAGGATACAGCCGCTAGGCTTCAGTGGCCCTCCTTCCAGACCCCTACATTTAGGCAAGGGGAGGGGTGGCTGGGAGGCTGCTTGCAGCCAAGACCTCTGAGCTCTGCAGGGGTCTGCTCCCACACCCCCAACCCTGCATACCCTCCCTGGGCTCTGGCAGGAGGTAGCTGGGAAGAGCAGCCTCAGTCTCCGACCCCCTGGGGCCAGTTATATTTGGATGTTAAAAGTAATGACACATCTCCTCAAAGTCCTGCCTCCCCGCCTGCCTAACGCGGTAAAGTCTCCTGGCAGGGAGGGGGCTGGCTTATATTTAGGTCTGGCATTCCCTGGTAGGCATCCTGTTCTGAAATGGAAATTCTTTTAATAGCTAGCCAGCCCCGAGTATTTAATGAGCTGGTGTTGACTTTTTGATTTCTTGTTCTCGGTAGAGGACTGTGAGCAGCTTCAGCTAGTTAGGGGGTCTCCTCTCACAAAGTGTATTGTTTTTTGAGCATGGAGAAGAGGAGAGCGCACCCTATTATTCCTCAAGGCCCCCCTTCACCTTTCCCCTTTAAGCTTCTGCCTCACCTTTGTTGTCATAATTCACCTCTTCCAGGGAGTCTTCCCAGATTTATCCCACCTGCTTCCTACCATGTCTTTACTATTACTCCAAGAGCACCCTTGTGTCTTTTTCTGGGGTGCCTGGTGTGCGTCCCCAGCAACATCAGCAGTCCTGCAAGAACACTTGTCTCCTGTTTGTTTGGAGTCACAGAATGCTCGGTCTGAGTTGACCATGGTGGGGGATGGACATCAAGGGTCCCTTTAAGAATCTGATATTAAGAAGGTGGGGTGGGGGGAGCATGGACCCTCTACCCCAGAAAAAAATATACATATACACAAAATTGGAAGAAATTTCAGAGGTACATGGACACTCATAAGCCCATCCATGGACCCTAGGTTATCCAGTCTAACCTCCGTGGCTTTCAGGTGCAGAATCAGTGGCCCAATCAGGGATGGAAAGTGACTTGCCCAAGGTCACAAAGCCAGTGAGTGGCAGGACTGGAACTCAAACCCTGGCCTGCTCTCTGCCTCCCTCAACCCACCCAGGTGTCTTCCATCAGCACCATCTGTTCATAGGCTCCTCAGCTACCATCTGGGCCACCAAGCCACAGGATCCAGAGCAGGGTGCTCTGCACCCAAAGGATGCTCACCCCTTGACGATGCCCATCCCACCAGGAGAGATAGGCTGGTTTGGCCCTGGGCACACCAGGCTTCTGCAGGTGCAAGGGTGTGGAAGGAAGGGGACAGGGCTCACTGGCTGGGGAGGGCTGCTCAGCATGGCGCTGGCAGTGGGATTCAGGGATATCACCATCCCACCTGCTCCTGAGCACTTCCGTATAACCAGTATTGATCTCTTTATTGCCTCCTGGAAGGGCAGCTTCATTTGTCAAGCAAAACTACCTTTGTATCTGCAACACAGGAATTGATCCACAGCAGGGACTAGTGGTGTGTTAGGGGCGGGGGTAGGGGGAGGCAGGAGAAGGAAGCAGGCTGGGGAATAGATTGATAGCATAACGCTGATGTGGAAAATGAAAATGGAAACCTTCCAGACTGATGGGAAACATCTGACTTGTCTGATGATGTTGCCTGGGTTCCGGCGTGGGAATAATGCAGTCTGAAGGTTGGCAGGCTACAGGGAGGCGGTGGGGAAGAAAGAGGCTCTCTCAACTTTGCCTGCCCAGTGGAGCTCTTTCTGGAAAGCGTCTCTAAAAGTCTAATAAGCCAAGTGGGCCTTTTTAACTTGAGCATCATTTGGTTTGATCTTATTCAGAGTTTATTGAACACTTACTGTATACAGAGCACTGTTCTCAGGGCTGAGGGGCATGCAGAGATGAACAAGGTAGGCTTCCTGCTCTCCAACACGTCACACCCTGTGTGTGTGTGTGTGTGTCTCTGTGTGTGTCTGTGTCTGTTTGTGTGTTGGGGGGATGGTAGGACAGAAAACTCCATAGACAACTCCGATATTCAGCCAAGGAAAGGGCTCTCTGGAGATACAGCCTATGGGACAGTGAACAAGGTTAAATTCGACTTAGAGAGCTGGATAGTTTCTTAGAAAAGATACAGTGTATCTTAAAGGAAGAATAGACATCATCAGGCAAGGTAAGGAGGGAAAGGGCACTGAAGGTAAGGGAATGACTTAAAGACCTAGAGAGGGCAGAGGAATTTCTCCTGTAGTGTAAAGTGATTTGACAACCCCGCTGGATGTGCAGAGAGAAGAGAAAGGAGTTTAAGAGAAGAGCTGGGTTTCCTGCTAAGATACTGGAAGGGCACTGATGGCGTTCACCCAGATAATGAGCACAGGGCAAGAAGTTTGGAGGAGGAAAAGGGTGAGCTTGTGTTACTTTTGTTCAGTCATTCAATAAAAAGGTTGAGTGCCTTCTGTAGGCCAGATACTGTGACCTGCTCTTGGGAAGACCACAGTGATCAGAAACAGACATGGTTCTCATGTCTCATGCAGAGCTCATGAGCATCATGGAGCTTAAGAGTCCAGTGGAGAGACAGATATTTATCAGATGACCCCACAAGCCACTGTAAAGATGCTCCTGTGGCAAGAATAATACTCACCATACTCCAAGACCTTGGCCAAGGGGCTGAGAGCGGCCTGGGAGTTCAGACATGGCTTCCCTTCCCCAAAGTAGCTGCGCATGGGCTGGGATCTGCAGGATAAGCGAGACAGAAAGGGGAGAAGAACATCCTGAGTAAGGGAATGGCCCATGCAAAGCCTGGGGCCAGCAAGTGAGGAGGGCGGGTAGAATGAGCTCCCTGAGGAGGCTGACATGAGGTAGGCTGGGCCAGAACACACAGAGCTTTGTTGGCCATGCAGGGAGTTCTGTCTTTTCTAATTGTGCTGGCCACATTGTGGGAAGAAGCACCCTCCTGTGCTGCTGGTGGGGATGTAAACAGGTCCATGCTTAGCAGAGGGAAAATTGGCAGGATATAGAAACGCTGGGAATGTACATACCCTTTGACTCAGCAATGCTACTTCTAGGAATTTACCCTACAGGGATGGAAGTAACCTCTTCATACAAGTGTGAAGAAGTCTACGAACACATTGTGGGGGGGGGGGGTTGTTTTGGTTTGGTTTAGGGGTTTGGGCAGTGTTACTTGTAACAGCTGAAACCTAGAAGCAACTTAAATGCTCAGGAGTAGTTAAATAAATGAATATGACTGTGTGTAATTGAATACAGGGCAATCATTATAAAGGATGGGGCGGCTTTATGTGAACAAATAAGAAATAACCTCCATGATATTTTAAGTAGAAAAGGACAAGCAGAAAAGAAGGGATAAAAGTGCAGGGTGTCTGGCTGTGGGAGGTCCATGCTGAAGATCCCATACCTCCATTACCTCTTCCTCCCCACCGTCTGTTCTCACCACTCCATGAGCCCTTGCTACATTTGGGGGCAAGGGGAGGTTGCTCCTGGAGACTAACTAGATTCCATTTGTAAAGAGGCACCCTTGTCAAGGTCTCTGTTTGACTTAGCAACTCATTTGTCAGAAGACCAGCTAAGAATCTGCACCACCCTTCTACCTGTTCGTAGGACTGGAGGTGTGAGTGTAATGTGGAGTTGCAATGGGGCAGTGGGGGTAGTTTTGGAAGAATGTGTGACCAGAAAATATAGTTGTAGCCGCAAAAGGGGGCGGGAGGAACTGGTCTCTGGAATTCCCCATTGACTCAACAGGAAAAGAGCAGAGCAGTCAAGAGTGTCTTGTTGGCATTAAGAATGTACATAAACAATCCATTGGAAGCAGTCACAATTTCTCTCCCCAACAAGCCTTTGGTTGAGAACAGCTTGAAAGTCCAGATGCAGAGAGTACTGGTGCCTCCTCGAGGGGGCAGGTTGCTTTTTTGGGTTTGTCTGAGGGGAGGTGGGAATAGAAAGGTTGTCAGTTAAAGAGTGATCACTGGGACAGCCTCATCAGTCCTTGTGAAACATCAGTGTAGGTTCTGAGGAGCACAGGGGCAAGGCCAGTTCTGCAGACCCTCTCGGTTTCTACCATGATGGCCATGGGAGAAGGCCAGAGTGCAAAGCCAGTCTTCCAGACTGTTCCACACTCCATTCACCACTCTATACTATCAAACAAACACTGCATTTAAAGCTAAAAGGCAAACTACAAACCAAGAAAAAAATCATTTGAAACAAATATGGCAATAGATAAAAATAAAAATCCTTAAAATATAATGTTCTTCTAGATCATTAAGAAAATACTAACACCCAAAACAAAAATGGGCAAGGAACATGACAGAGAATTCGGAGAACAAATAAAAAGAGTTGATAAGAATATAGAGGAAAAAATCAGCATGGTTGGGCATGGTGGCTCATGCCTATAATCTCAGCACTTTGGGAGGCCGACGCAAGAGGATTGCTTGAGCCCAGGAGCTTGAGACCAGCCTGGGCAACACAGGGAGACCTGGTCTCTACAATGTTTTTTTAATTAGCCAGGTCTGGTGGTGCACGCCTGTGGTCCCAACTACTTAGAAGGGTGAGAGGGGAGAACTGCATGAGCCCAGGAGGTCAAGTCTGCAGTGAGCTGTGATCGCACATCTGCACTCCAGCCTGGGTAACAAAGTGAGACCCTGTCTCAAAAAAAAAAAAAAGAAAGAAAGAAAGAAAGAAAAGAAAATCAACGTCTCTAGTAATCAAAAATGCAAATTAAAGCAGGCTGCTATTTTTGCTCTTTCAATTTGGCACTTTTTTTTTTTTTTAAATTGAGATAGGGTCTGGCTCTGTCGCCCAGCCTGGAGTGCAGTGGCACGATCTCGGCTCACTGCAACATCTGCCTCCTAGGTTCAAGCGATTGTCCTGCCTTAGCCTCACAAGTAGCTGGGATTACAGGCACACAACACCATGCCCAGACAATTTTTGTTTTTTTTGTTTGTTTGTTTGTTTGTTTGTTTGTTTGTTTGCAGAAATGGGGTTTCACCATGTTGGCCAGGCTGGTGTCAAACTCCTGACCTCAAGTGATCCGCCCACCTCAGCCTCCCAAGTGCTGGGATTACAAGTGTAAGCCACCATGCCCGGCCAATTTGGCAGATATAATGCTCAATGTCAGCAAAGGTGAGAAGGACACTTCAGTACACTGCTGGTGATAGTAAAGAGTGGTACCGATTTATGGTGATGTGTGTCAACAAAGAGCCTGAAGAATATTATTTCCTGTAGACCTGATAACTTTATTTCTATGAATGTATCCTAAGAAAATAATCAGAAATACAGATGAAGACTTATGCTAGTGAAAAAATCAGACATAGTCAAAATACCCAACAATGGGGAATTATTTAAATACATTTCAGTACATCCACACAATGGACTATCTCATGGGCACCCTACATGCTGGTTTATGAAGAATGCTCAAAGATGTTAAAATGTTCTCGTATAATGTTAAGTGAAGTAAGCAGGAAATATAACCATGTACAAGATAGTCTCAACCATATTAAATGTGTGTGTGTTTATATATACACATATAAAAAGAGAAAATGGTATTAAGAAAAGACACCAAAATGTTAATAGAGAGGGTTGGATTGTGGGTTTCAATTCTTTCTTTTATAATTTTCAATATGTTTCCATTTTTAATAAGCGTGCTTCATTTTTATGATCAGAAAAAAATATTCAATAAAAGTTACATTTATTTGCAAGGCTGTGTTCACCATATCAGATCATTAAGTACTGGCACCATCTCTCCATTGTGCAATTGTTCTATTCTGCAGTTGTATTGCTGCTACACTTTACATTTGTTCATCTCTATATCCCCCCGTAGATTTACCCGCTAGGTGCTATCATCCTGCTGTCTCCACAGTGCTTGGCCCAGTGTCCTTACACAATGGGTCTCAAGACACATGTCATGGGTCAGAATTTACCCACTACAATGTAGATGAAACGTCTTTTAGCCCCCATTCCCTCTGATGCAGGTGGAGAGAGGAGGTCTCAAGCTCATCACGTAAAGAAAGACAATTTAAACCATCTTCCAGTTTAAACGCTCTGGTGGGATTTCATGCATACATGCTCTTGTGAGGTTCACATTCTTTATTAAGACTCTTTTTCCCTATTGACAAGGACGCTTGATTCTCCCTAACCAAAAGGGCTACTGAGTGCAGGGAAACTCATCCATCCCCGTGGCGTTGGGAACAGGCCCCTCTGGTTCCTATGCTGCCCTCCTGTTGTGGGGTCCTGCCCTCACCATCTGTACTGCTAAGGTCTGGTGTGACTCAAAGTCTCAGCACAGATAAGGTGTGGGGGCTGCTCTCTGAGAGCCAGGCCCTTCCACCTAATGCGTAGGCCCCTGCCTCAGCCTTCACTGGGGAGCTGTGGATCCGCCTGCGACTGGCTACTGGTCTCTGGGTGCCTCCACAGCCCTGCCTGCACCTCTGTAGCTAGTCCCTTCACCAGAGCTCTGCTTTTGAACCATCTGAGTTGAATTCTCTTCCCTGCTGAGCCCCTGGCTGATACAACAGTGCATGGCAGTCTCTGCTGTGGATGGTGGCTCCCTGGTGGGCAGCATCTGTTAGGGGTGTCAGTGGCAGAAACCCAGGCCAGAACACTAGACCTACACATAGTACTTTTCTCTGAGACTGGCAAGCCTGACCTCCCACTCTAGGTCGGTGAGCTGCTACCCCATTTGCCTCTCTCCTCCCGCTTCCTGTCAAGCATGTCCAGCCCAATCTCCAAGGTGGATAGACTCAGCCACAGAGCACGAAAAGGCCGTGTTGGTGTCAGGAGACAAGGCCACAGGGACTTACCACCGCTGGGGTCGAGGATAGCCGCATGCAGGTCCCGGAAGAGAGTCAGTCCCCTGCCCTGCTGCCCTCCCCCAGCTGCTGTGCCTCTTTACGAAGGAGACCTTCTCTGCTGGGCATTTTGCTAGTGCCTAGAACACTGTCTGGTCCCAGTAGATGGTGAGTCTCCCAAGGGCAGGGCTGTGATTTTGTCAGTTCCTCATTCTCACTGCTTAGCACTCTGCCTGGCTAAGTATTGGCTGACTCAACCAGTCAACACTCCCCCTTGTCTAGTTTCCTATCCAAATGTCACCCTCCTTCTGTGGCCTACTGAACAGGCACCATCCACAGAAAGCCAAGGAATTTTTTGAAGAAAACAGACATCAGCATCAGAATCCAAATTTGTCTCCTCAAGATGCAGGGATGGGCTAACATTTGCAAGATTTGCGGTGCAACAGAGGTAATTGGGATCCCTGAAATCTCCTGCCCAAGAGAGAAGTGGGGGCCTCTGACTTACTGATCATCCATGGAACCAGAGCAGAGTCTGGGTGCCGGGGTGGAAGGACGGATGGAACCCATGTCAAATGAAGGATGCCTTTTTGAAAAATGGATGTATCTAAGAGAAGAGAGAATATTCTGGAGAGTTTTATAACTACCTCAAATACTTGAAGTAGCATTGTATGAAAAACAGAGTGCATTTATTTAAGGGTATAACTACAATCAGTGGGTGAAAGTGAAAGAAGTGGGGTTTAACTCATCGATCAAAGTGTTTTAACCCTCAGAGCTATTCACAAGCGGAGCAGGAAGTTTGCACAGCTATGCACTCTCACAGCGGGGGAGTTTACACTGAGGCCGCGAGAACTTCTCCAGGGGGGCAGTGAAGGTAAATTTCTCCAGGGCCATGGAAGCCATGGAAGGAAGAGAATGCATTCCTAATCCCTAATTTTCTGTCTGGTCCTCAGGGGGAAAATATTACTTACAGGGAAATCTCAGGAGGGAAAGAAAGAACCCTGTAAGAGTGGGAGCCCTCAACCCATAGCTCACCTGAGAACTCAGCAGAGGAGTCGCCACGGCTCTATGGGGTCTCCTGGGACCACTGCAAAGAATAATTTCCCACATACCCAAAAGTGAAGCTCAGCCCCCTGCTCCATGCCCCCTGTTATTATACAGAATGGAAGCCTGAGAGTAGACAGTGGAAAGGACAATAATGACACTGTTGCTGTGTTTTCAGCACTTCCAGGCCCTGGACTAGGTGGTGTACACCCCATCTCCAACCCATCCAGGGGGTTAGGGTTGGCCTCCGTTGACAGATAAGGAAATTGAGGCTCAGGGAGATTAAGTGACTCTGCCCACCCACACCCCCACACCCAAAATGGCATGGCTGTAAAGATCCCAAGCCAGGTTTCAAGTCCAGGTCACCTGGCTCCAGCGAGTTCTCTACAACTCCCCTGGGGCAGGAGGTGTTCACCCAGACAGCATAAACTCAAGTCAGAATCCCTTTCCCCATGTTCTCGCCTCTTCCCTTCACCCTGAACCTCCTTGTCACTGGTTCATCCACCCATCCCGCCTCAGACACCTCTTCCTCCCATCACAGGCTCTCCTGACCTAAATGGAGAAATCTAGTCCAACAACGACAGACTCCACGTGCCCAGGACTAAAAGAAGCCAGGTGGCAGAGTAAATGAAAGTTGGCCAAAGGCCTCCACTTAAGCGCTTTCCATTCTGTCTGCCTTTGCATTCTGGGCTGTGCTGGGTTTGTGTGTGACTCTGTGCGTGGGGAGAGGGCTCTGTGCTTGCGGCAGAGGGCGGCTCCCAGAGCTTGGGGTAGAGGATTGATTTTAGGATGGGGAGGCTGGAGCCAAGCTCAGGAGGTGCGGGCATGGTCAACCCCATCTTTCCAGTCTCATCGGTGACTCTGGGAAATGTGTGTCAGACCAGCCGTGCTTTGGGGTGGGGGTAGTGGGGAGAATCAAGGAGAAGAGTGGTGCTGATCTAAAACCCGGGAGCAGCCGGGCATGGTGGCGTGCACCTGTAGTCTCAGCTACTCCAGAGAATGAGGTGGGAGGATTGCGTGAGCCCAGGAGTTTGAGGCTGCAGTGAGCTATGATTGTGCCACTGCACTCCAGCCTGGGAGACAGAACCAGACCAGGGAGCAGGGAGAGGCAGGGTAGAAAAAAGAACCATATTATTCTTTGGCTGCCATGGGCCCCATCAAGAAAAGCCCCTCTGGTCAGGTTCCTCCCGAAACCCACAGCCAACAGACAGCCTGTGTGCCACAGGCCAGGCAGTGGCCATCCCCAGAGCACCTGTCTCACATCCCCATGGCAGGGAGCCCTGGATCCCAGACAGGCCCCGTTGCCAAGGAGCCACGGGCAGACAGAGCGGCATGGGAGAGATCTTTTTCCATTGCTAGTCTCTGGCTCCCTCATCCCGGGCTCCTGGGACAATCAAGCCACTTGGTTTCCTATCTCATCTGCCACTGGAGCCCTCACAGAGAAGCTAGAACTAGTAGGAAAGGCAGGCAGAGAGCAAGATTCAACGAGGGGAAAGATGTCTGTGAACAAACGGGCTTGGACCGCCCCATCTGAGCATGAATAAATAAACAACAGCAATGATGAGCTGGCCGCCTTGCCACACAGCTCTGCCGGCCGAGAGAGAATTCCTTCAAAAGAATGGAGCCTCGTGCCAGTTCATTATTTATGAGCAGGGCCCACCAAGGTGGGGCCTCTGTTGTTTGTTGCAATTTAACACAGGCCTCGGTGGAGAGGGAGGGAGGGGCAGGCGCTGGGAGGGAGGGAGATCTCTGTGCAGCAGCCAAAAGCAGTAAGAGGTCAAATTCATGGCAATCATCTCAGAAAACATGATCACCCTTTCTCGGTGACAAAGGTCTGGGTGCAGCAGCCGTGTTGGGCCACTTCTCATAAATGGCACCTCTCTACCCCCTGGTCCATCAAATAGATGAATGCCACCAAATGCTCAATTCAGTGAGCATATACAGAACACCTGCCATGGGTCAGATGCCGTGCAAGTGTGCTAGGGCTCATGAAGATGAATGAGATGCCTGCATTGTCGGTAATGAGCTCAGGCTCCAGAATATCTGGGTGCAAGAGGCAATCTGCCTGGGAGAAAGACCACTTTGAGTCAGACAGGCTGGGGTTTGAATATCAGATCTGCCAGTGCCCAGCCACAGGGCCCTGGCCAAGTCGTCTGCCCAGCTGAGCTCCCATCAATTAAATGGAACCAATAATGCCTTCCTTGAGGTGTCATTTTAGCGATTACAAATAAGATATCTGGCCCAGTTCCTGGCACACGGTAGCTGCTCAATGAATTCAAGCGGCTGGTGGTAGTGATAGTATTTGACCCTCATACAAATATCTTGATCTTCAAGATCATTCAGGAAATTTCCCTTTTTCTTTCTGCTTTTATCCAAAATTTTGGCATCTCTTAGTAACTCTCAGAGTAGTCTTCATTACCCAGAATGATTCCACTATTGGCCTTACTGGAAGAGAGGAATTGATCTCCCCTTTTTGAATTTAAACATCTTCCTTCAGAATGAATTCTGCTATATTACCTTTATGACATTAGCCTTATGCTTTAGGAAATAATAATATCAAATATTTATTCACTGAGTGTTTGCTGTGTGTCAGGCAAGTGCCCTATATCCACTATCTCATTTGATCTTCACAGCAAACTTTGGCATAGGTAGTTCACTATCACCATTTTACAGATGAAGAAGCTGAGGCCTAGAGAGGTTAACTTGCCCACAATCACAGAGCAGATGACGGAGCAAAGATCCAAATAAGCCTGACCCAGAGCTCTTCGCCACCATGTGATTTACACGTGGGGTTTCCTTACCTTGGAAGTCATGCCCGCTGCCATTTGATTCAGGATAGCAAGGCCATAGATGGGCAAAACTGGGACCAAGGTCACTACCAGTTTTAGGATGAGGATTGCAGCACACTGAGAATTTCGAGGCCAGGAACCGGCAGATTCTAATTTCCCACCATAGCCAGGTTGGGAGACTCTGTGTCAGTTCCTCATATGGGACCTTGCACTGGTCTCTGATTGGTTTGGGTTTTTTTGTTGTTGTTGTTGTTTGTTTTGTTGGGACAGGGTCTCACTTTGTCCTCGAGCTGAAGTGCAGCGATGCAATCATGGCTCACTGCAACCTCTGCCCTCTGGGCTCAAACGATTCTCCCACCTCAGCCTCCCAAGTGGCTGGGATTACAGGTTCACGCCACCACACCTGGTTGTACTTTTTTTTTGTAGAGACGGGGTTTCGCCATGTTGCCCAGACTGGTCTTGAACTCCTGAGCTCAAACGGTCCACCTGTCTCGGCTTCCCAAAGTGCTGGGCTTACAGGCGTGAGCCACCCCACATGGCCTCTGATTGTTACTTGTGTGTGAATTCCTATCATCCCAACTAGACTGTGAGTGATTCAACGGGAGGGGCTGGCAACCAATCAACAGTACATATTGGGCACCTGCTGTATACCTCACCTTGTGCTGAGTGTTGCAGAGTCGAAAGAGAGGGACCCTTGGGCCTACTACGGTGGCTCTCACCTGTAATCCCAGCACTTCGGGAGGCTGAGGCAGGCAGATCACTTGAGCTTAGGAGTTCAAGACCAGCCTGGGCAACATGGTGAAACTCCATCTCTACCAAAAATACAAAAATTAGCTGAGCATGGTGGTGCATGCCTGTGGTCCCAGCTACTCCGGAGGCTGAGGTGGGAGGATTGCTTGAACCTAGGAGGCGGAGGTTGCAGTGAACTGAGATTGCACCTTTGCACTGCAGCGTGGGTGACACAGTGAGACCCAGTCTCTAAATAAATAAATAGAGGGACCCCCCTGCCTGCCAGGAGTCACAGGCAGCTGGAGGGCAGAAACACACACTCATGCCAAGACAACCGGCCACTCCAGGCCACGTGTGCCCAGGGCCCGTCGTGGAGCAAAGGGAGCATTCTTGGCTGGCACCAAGTCAGACACCTTCCATATCTGGGAGCATAAAGCAGGTGCTCAAACCTACTTGATAAATTAAACTTCTGTTTTTAGAGGTCGTGAGAAGGCAGCACCTCTGGGCCATGCCCAGCTGAGGCTGCTGATTCTGAGGTAGGAACAGAGATAGAGTCGGGAGACATGCAATGCCAAGAGAAACAAGCTTGGGCTTTGCAGGTTCATGGCCTCATTACAGCAGCAGGGAATGTAGTGAGAGTAAAAGGTAATTCTTCCAGCCCCCATTTGGGGATTGGACACAGGGCCTTGCTGTCACAATAGACCTAAACCCAGGAGAGATGATACTCAGCTGAGTTGGCCTAGACCCCTCGGGTCCCAACATGGCTCTATCCCAGAAACCAATGAATCAAAACCAGCCCTGGGGAAAATATGAGGAAGGCCAGGCTCCTGAATGCAGATTCCTCACCCTGTATTTTCCCTCCTGCTGGAGAAGCCAGGTCCCATGTGTTCAAGGGCGTGACATTCTCATGTTTCTCTCGTTCACTTCCTTTATAATCAGCACTTATTCTCAGAAAAGGCTGCAGAAATGTATTCTTATTAAGGGGTAGATAACTGACCACATTCTATAGTGTTGCCTCTCTCAGGGGTATTTGCATTTAAACCAGAATCCATGGTTTAAGTGAAAGGAATAAAACACGGATAGTGGAATTTCAGATCCTGGCAAATACAGGACGGTGTTTTGGATGGCGTAGTGTTTCTGGAGCTTCCACAATTAACACCACCTATTCTCACTAAATGTAGGCTGGTCCTGATCTTGGACATCTCAGCTGGGCCCTCTTGACCTCAGAAGGTGAAGGTCGGTCTCCCTGCTGAAGAGTCTTTGTCCCCTCCTCAACACACCCTGGTGGTCTTCAAACCCTGGTTTTGTGATAGGCCCGCAAAGGATTCATGATCCAGGGTTGAGGAGTTGCCTCTGGGTCTTTTTGTCTCTCTGTTTCTGAGGACAGAAATGCTGAACCAGCTCAACACAGGCGTGGTAGTGTTTGTAGCTCACTGTAGTTTATTTGGAGCTAGAGGTGGGGGTGGGGACAGAGGAGCAGTAGTTGGTGCGGGTGGGGGCTGGGAACAGCTGGAGTGCATTTGAGGGAGCAGCTGCCATAGAGGCTGCTCTGTGGGTGTACGGCAAAATGGTGGCTTTTAATACTTTTCAAGGGATAATCTTGTTCGATAAATCCAGCTGAGGAGGTGGGAACTACTCTCGGATGATTCCTGCCCTCCCTCCCGTCCTCCTGCAGGGCCCTCCCAAGACTCTTCCCAGTGCCCAAGCACAGTTGGGTCTGTGGGATCCCTATGCTTCCTCCCTACCCCTCCTTCTCCTCCAGCTCTGGCCTCCTGGCCTCCTCCAGTGGCCAGCCAGGGCAGAAGGAAAGGTTCTGGGCCCTTCATAAATCACCTTCTCCCTGCCTGGAAACACCCAGAGAAAGGAAGCTGCCATCTCCACAGCCACGTGGCACGGCTACCAGCAATGCCAAGAGATAATGACAGGTTGAGTGTTCTCTGCCTAGTGAGGACTTGCATGCAAATGACTCCACTCTGAATGGGCCTAATTGTCACTGCCTAATGTGGTGGCTCAGACCACCTCCTCCTCCCTCCTCTGGTGGGGAGGAAATGGAGCAGGGAGCAAAGGGGATCCTGTGGTGTGGGCGGAGGGATGGACTCAAATGGCCCCTGGGACCTGGAGCCCCAGGGAGAGGGAAGCTGGCATTTCCCCTCTGTGGGCTGGGCCTGCTAGTGCACAGCTGTGGCGAGAGTGGGGATTTGCTCCCCGACATGATCCAGAGTGAGATTCGGCTCTACAACCGTAAATCCCTTTATGCATCCCAGCTCAGCCGGGAGAGGCGGTCACGTGCCTGCAAGATGTTACCACTTGGCCAGCCAGGCCCAGGCAGAGAAAGGAGGTGTTGCAGAGAGCAAGGCAATGAAGATCCTCCCTGTGTGCTACAGGAAGCCCTGCCCCAGCCCGTCCCCAGGAACTCCCGCCGGCAACGGAAGATGTGAGGGTGGTCAGGAGTAGAGAGAGCCAACACCTACGGAATGTTTGCTTCATTTCGGAAGCTTTTCTACATGTGTTTACATGACATATATGAAGACTCATTCCCTTCTCGCCATACCTCTACCATGTGGGCTCTATGGCTGTTATCCCCAGTGTTTGCACAAAAGGAAAGGGAGGCACAGAGAAGTGAAGGAATTTGCTCCAGATGACACTTTTTGGCAGAGCCCAGATTCAAATACAGAGCCTGGCCCTAGACCTTCCACTGTGCTCTTCCACCTCCCTCTGGGAATGCACCGTTTACCCAGTGCACTCCTGGAGTCAGGGCAGCCAGATGAGTCCCGGATGCTAAACTGGGCTTTAGTGTCTGTCTCTGAGTGAGTAAGCGTGCGTCGCTATTGATGTGGTGTTTATACATCTCTGTGCACTGTATGCCCATTTTCTGACCCAGCTGGACATCCTCTGGTCTAACCAGAACCAGGGTCCTGCAGCCCTTACTGAGTTGAATCCTGGAGTGGAGTCCATGTTAATGAAGAAAGCACAGAGCGGTGGCAGATGTCTTGTGTTGAGGAAGAGAAGGCTAAGGAAGAGCTCAGTGAATATGTTCACATGGTATAGAGAGGGGCTACGGTGCTGCTGAGCAGAGAGGGCTCAGAACCCATCCCAAACATCACCTTTTCACCCATTTACAATTCTGGGGCTCATATGTGATTTCGTTTGGAGAAAGGCATTCATACTCAAAAGAAAAGTGTCCAACATTAGAAGATTTCGAAGTGTCTATTCCATAATGCTATGAGAATGAGTAATAAGGAGCCACTGAAAACTATGATTAGGAGAAGCCATTTGGAAATCCTCTTCCAGTCACAAGTATCCCAGTGAATAAGAAGGTATATGGACCAGAACTAAATGTGGCCATCCAGTAGCTGAGAGGGCTGGCTAGTGAAGAGGAAGCAGCCGCACATTCCCCTGGTAGCAACCAAAATACAGGGCTGGATCCAGGGTCCCCTCCTCAGGGTCATCCTGAGAAATCAAGGAACAAGAGGTGAAATTCACCTGTGAGGTGGTTTTGCGGCTACTGCCCTGAAATTTAACCCAAGCTGCAACGGAATGTTTCATTGTTAATTGGTCAGGAATTCTCTAATCATTGATAGGAAACTGGTGTTGAGATCCGTATTACTGTGATAATTCTGTAATTCCGCTGCATTAGTGTTATTAAATGTCACTGAGTGATTGCTTTCCCAATGTTTAAATTTTTAGTGCATTTATCCTTTCAAAACTTTAGGCATCAACCCCAAAAAAATATACCACTAAAAATCCTGCTCCAGAATGGGATAGTCAGAATGCTTCTCAAAACTCCCAGAGCTCCTAATCAGTTTAAACCAAAGCCATTCAGCCCTGATTTTGAGATCATGACAAACTCGCTTTGTGCCCAGGAAAGTTGGCGCTGCCCCTCCTTGCCACACAGACTGCCTCCCTGCTCCCTTTTTCCCCTCCTTCAACCCCTTCTCCACCCAGCCCAAACCCTGAAATTATACAGACAAGAGCAAAGACATGTTTGGACTTTATGTTTGGGGAATAAAAGAGATCAGTTAGATCAGTCTCTGAATGAAGGCAAAGATGAAGATTCCCAGTGGGGCATGGGGGCCCATAATAGACCCCAGACCAATTTCAACCCAGCTTCCGTGGCTGCATGTTGGACAGCTGCAATCTCCTAAGTCACCCTAGATGCCCATGTTATAGCTGGGCGTAGCTTGGATTGGGATGTCAGAAAAACCTGAGTTCTAATGCTTCCTTTGCTCTTCAACCTTGGGCAAGTTAATGAACGAATTCCTGCTCTTTAGTTAAGTGGGGTAATAAGTTATACTCCATAAAATAGGGGAAAACATCAAGGTTCTATGAAAACTACTATCTTTTTAATTTTTATCTTGTACAAATTCATTATAACAAAAAGTAATCCCCTTGGAAAATTTCAGGAAATGACCAAGGTAGGGAGATCTGTTACACTGGCATTCCAAGTCTCTTATTCTTGGACAGTGGAGGAGAAGGGAGGGAGGAGAGCTGGAGAGAATGTTTGAAGGTTTCATGTTCTGCTTTCTTTTGTAAGCTGTGACCACCCACATGTTGGAGGAAAATGTTAAACAATTAAATGACCAATAAATATTTACTTCTTTAATATATATATTGTATCAGGACTGGCCTGTGTCTAGGGTTTGGGCCAGGCATATTTCTATACGCTCAGTATGCCCAGGCTGAATATGTCTTTGGTTGCTTTTTTTTTTCTTTTTTTCTTTAAGTAAAGACAATATTCCTAGAGGTGTAAAAAAGCACTTGAGTTCTGGATGATTCTGAAGTTGACAATTTTCTTTCCAAGTTAGGGAAGGAGAATTAAGGGGCAAAAATAGGAGGTCAGGAGAAGACAGCACCCAAATGAAAAATCAGAATTAGCCAGGTGTGGTGGTTCACGCCTGTAATACCAGCACTTTGGGAGGCCGAAGCGGGTGGATCACTTGAGGTCAGGAGTTGGAGACCAGCCTGGCCAACATGATGAAACCCCATCTCTACTAAAAACAACAACAACAACAAATAGCTGGATGTGGTGATGCACGCCTGTAGTTCCAGCTACTCAGGAGGCTGAGGTAGGAGAATTGCTTGAACCTGGGGGGTGGAGGTTGCAGTGAGCTCAGATCGTGCCATTGCACTCCAGCCTGGGTGAGAGAGTGAGACTCCGTCTCGAAAAAGACAAAAGAAATAATTCCTAGGTCCTCCTTCTTGCAGGCTGGCAAGGACCTTGGTCTCTAACTCAGGTTGAGTCTTAGCTGCTCATGGCCCTGCTCCCACACACCTGCCCCCCAGTTTGCTTCTTGCAGAGGTGTTTCTAGCAAGTAAGGTGACTGAGGCCGTTCTGGCGCTGTCCCCGGTCCTGAAATGCCACCAGTTCCTGTCTTAGTGATTAAAGTGGCTCTCGAGTGCTCCCCTCTAGTCAGCTGTTGTGTGGAAACTAATTTCCATATAATAACATTTTGTTATTTGTAATAAATCATACCCACAGTAAGGTGACTGGGTTATGTCATTATTTGCAAACCTACAGAATGTAATTATCATATGTCGGAAAACCTCCATGCAGAACGGTGCTGTTCCAGCCGCAGCACCATCCAATAATAATAAAAATTTATATTGTGCTTTATGGGACTGCTCATCACAGTCACTGTTCTATGCCAAGGGAAAAGAAAGCCCACCGCAGGGACAAATTCAGGAACGGACAAACCTTGTAAATGCCAAACTAGTTGATCCCAAAGCTAGCTACTAGGTTTCCTCCTCTTTTTTCCTATGAGACCTTTATATAAGAGACTGGGGGTCCAGGTTTGCCTCTGCATTCAAAACAATGAAAACAATTAAAAGGAGTTTCCCTTTTATGCATTAATTACATGTGCATCAGCCTTGACTGATATTTGTTCACAAAGACTAGATTTTTGAACAAAATACCTGCATTGCTCCTTTTCACTACTTTTTCCCTGTATCCCTGTCTTCACCTCCCACACCTCATCTTCTTTTCCCCTAGAATAGGTGCTTCCATTGCTTTCTGTGAACATAGTAATGCAGGTTCCATGAGCAGTAAATGAGGGACGTGCTGATTATCCATCATCTTGCATCTGTTTCCAAAATGTCCTCTCTGGTTGAATTTCACCCAAACATAGAAATATGTGATTGCCATTAGCAATGGGCTCCCCTCTTCTCTCTCTCTCCTCCTCAACCGGACACATATGTGTCTACCCCTTTTGGCATGTCCTACTGAGATTTTTTTTTTTTTTTTCCTGAGAAGAATGGCATGTTCTGGCTGATCAGAAAATGCTCTGAACTCCCAGGGAGGTTGTGTTTCCTGGTAGAAATCCCAGTAAGAACAGAGTCTTGTAGTTTCAAAAGATCTGGACTTAAGAGTAGCAATTCTCCACCATCCAGTGCCTTGCGATCTTTTATGACTCTGGGGAGTCATTCTCCCACTTTAACCACAATGGTCTTGCTTTTATTACATGTGTGGTTGTGGCAGCAGCTCTCACAGATAATTTTGTTTAGGGCTGTGAAATTTGCCTTCAGACTCAAAATTGAATTCAACCCACTGCTTTCTGCAGGAGCGATGGGCTTGCATGTATATCTCTTTCCCAGGAATGTTTGCAGTTATTGATGCTGAATGTGGTCATTCATCATGGACAATAGAGAACAAAAAAGAATTTATTAATACATTTCCTGCTCCCACACGATTTTGTCTTGGAGCTTAAGACATGACATTTTGTTCCTTCACCACTTCTATCTGCATATTTCCACACCTGCCTCCTATCCCTCTACTTTGGGAGGTTTGTTGAAGGAAGACAGTCTTACGTTGGTTGCAAGGGAATGAGAACCTGAAAGGTCACTTTTTTTTTTTTAGCCATACATGGAGCTCACAAAAATCCAACTCAGGGTGACCCACACAAAGGTGGAGATAGAGATGGGCGACATTGATAAACTCTTCCTGACTGTGATGTAAGTTACTGAAATGCATCACCAGGGAGAGGCGCTCATCCTCTGCCTCAGATTTCAACGGAAATTGGGCGGGGCCGGCCCTGGCACCTTCCTGTTCTGTTATCCCTGCCATTTTTATCACAGCCTATCCACAGAGGGGAATGCTATGTAGTCCTTAAAATGATGTTTTTGAAGATGATTTGAGGATGCAAAATAAAAGCCCTCATTGGAATATAAAATGAAAAAAGCATATAAAACTGCATACGCAACCTGATCTCCATCACCCTTCCAAAAAAAGACTAAAAGGAAATATACCAAGTCTATCTCTTGTTGGTGGGGTTGCAGGTCATTTTTATTGTCTTACTTTGGTTTTTCTGTATTTTCCAAATTTCTTACAACAAATTGGTATTCTATTTTAATCAGGAAAAAGTAGACATTTTTTAAAAGCCCCCCAGAGACAGTGGCTCCACTGACTTTCTTGATCCCTATTCTAATGACTGACTTTCCAACCCTCCCCCTCTGCTATGAAGAAAGCCTTCCTCATTAAAGTGCTTCTGTAGCCTTCCCTCACCCTCATCTCTTCAGAGAAGTGTCTTAAGGAAATATCAAAGGGTGTGTGTGTGTGTGTGTGTGTGTGTGTGTAAGAGAAAGACAGAGTAATCATTATATCAGGAGGGAGGAAACCCACCAACCCACCATAGAAATGCAAAACAGAACAGTTAGTTAGAGAACGGCAATGGTGAACTATTGAGGAGTCCCTTCTTGACAGAGGTAACAATGAGGAATGAAAATCCCACCACAGAAACTGCCAAAGGGCAAAGGATGACAGGAGAAGTGAATAATAAAGTCTCTATGGGGCAGGATGGGGTAGAGGGGAGGAACACATCTTTCATCCCTCCCTGGCCTCCTGTCTTCCTTAGGCTCCAACCACATAGGACTAAAGATGAGAGTCACAGTAGGGAAATGAGGCTGCCCCACACCAGGGAGGAGCCTGAGTAGCCTGGCCACGGAGAGAAGACCAGATAGCCAAAGCCAGAGGAGGAGCAGGGGCTGCTGCAGGTCTGCGGGATGTCAGGTGGAGGTGATCTAACCCAGCCCGCTGGGGACACCCAGAACACAGATGTCAGAGCCAGAACACCATCTCCAAATTCACAGAAGCTGACACCCAGAGGGCAGACCTGACTGTTCCTGGAGTTTTAGGAAGGGAGACTCACACAGGTGTGCGTGCATTGCTGAGAGCATCAGCGGATCTGATGAGCTTCTCACCTGGGGCAGTGTCATCTTCTCAAGGGTGTTTGTTTGAAAACGCAAGAGGGGAGAATACTTGGGTGTCAGAGTGACTGAGGGATCTACTGGCATTTCATGCACAAAACCCAAGGATACTAAATGTCCTTCTTTGCCTAGGATAGACCCACAGGTATGTGCCTCCCCAAAATGTCAAAGTATCCCCACTGAGAAACAACAGGAGACTTTTTTCTAGGATAAACTCTCTCTGAAATGGAGCCTGATCCAGGACCCAATATCTGTGCACCTCCCTTGGAATTCCTTGAGGTTTATACTGAGTGCCCCTCTTTCCTTTTTCTGTCCTTTGTCAAGACTGAGAAAGGCTGGTGTTTACTTCCCTAGATAACCATGCCAGGTGAGACCCCACTCCCTTTTAGAAGGGCCACTTAGAAATGCAGTGAGTTCAGCCCAGTGTGGTGGCTCACACCTGTAATCCCAGCACTTTGGAAGGCTGAGGCGGGCGGATCACGAGGTCAGGAGATCGAGACCATCCTGGCTAACACGGTGAAACACCGTCTCTACTAAAAATACAAAAAAAATTAGCCAGGTGTGGTGGCGGGCGCCTGTAGTCCCATCTACTTGGGAAGCTGAGGCAGGAGACTGGCATGAACCCAGGAGGCAGAGCTTGCAGTGAGCCGAGATCACGCCACTGCACTCTAGCCTGGGAAACAGAGCAAGACTCCATCTCAAAAAAAAAAAAAAAAAACAAGAAATATAGTGAGTTCAATACTATGGTTCAAGGAAAGAGGGAGCTCCACATCCCTGTGCCAGGCAGAAACAGGCGGCTCTGTTCCTTGGCTTGTGCCAGGGCCCCAAGCCCTGCCCAGCCCAGTCTTTCCTGATAAATGAAGTTGCAGTGCTGTCCCGGCCTCTGGGCCTGGGATTTGTAGAACCCTATACACAGGCCCCGGTGGCAGACAGGCAGCCTGTCATCTCTTCTTTCCAGGTGACATGGGAGCGGCTTTGGTTCTCACATTTCATTTGTCAGGCTTTAATGAGGGAGGCCGCACAGCAGCCCTGAGGTACCACCTGAGTGACCCAGGCCCCCAGGCCCCAGCGAGGTGCACGGGGAGGCAGCTCTGTGGCTGCTTTGGGGAATCTGCCATTTTGCAAGAGGTCAGGGTGGGCGGGAGCAGGGGAGAAAGCAGAGATTTTGCTGCAGGGCAGAAGGCATCCATTTTCTTCTGCACTGAGCCTGTGAGTCTGTGACCCTGAAGCATCGCTGTGTGTGGGCACCGCCGAGGGCAGGACACGTGGGCCCAGGGGATGGAGGAGCTGGGCCTATGCCCCTCACTGCCCCCTTTCTTCAGTAGTGAGGAACAGGGACAGCCTCTTGTTTAGTGCCCCGTAAGTGCCAGGAACTGTGCCAGATGCTTGAGATGTCTTTTGCTTAATCTTCACAGCCACCCTCTGGGGTAAGTATCATTAGCCCCATTTGTGGGAGAGGATACTGAGCCTGGGGGAGGTGACTTACACATGGCAGTGGTGTTGGGGTTCACACCCCGTGCTGCCTGAGGTCAAAGCCCTTCCTCCTGAGCCCCACTGGGGCAGCGTTCAGTGCAGCAGCACGGAGCCTGGTCTCTGGAAGCAGACTGCCCGGGTGCCAGGTCTGCACCCATCATGTATGGGCTGGGTGACCTTGCAGCATGGAATCACCTCTGTATGCCTCAGCTTTCCCCCATCTGAAAAATGAGGCCAATGATGGTACTTACTGCATGGGTTATTTAAGGGATTATGTTATTGAATATGTGTAAATCGCTTAGAACATTGCCCAGCATGTAACGAAGGGTGTGTAACTATTAGCTCAATACAATGACTATGGACCATCGGTGAGCCTAGCGCTGCCTCAGCTTCCAGAGTGAGAGGTCTTCACATTAGATATCAGGGGTTATGGGGCCTTTAGCAGCCCTGTGTCAGACCCCACAGGAGACACCAAAGAAAGAAAAGAAACAGAGCCAGCCCTCAGGGGGCTTCCAGGCAAATGGAAGAGCCTGGACATGCATGCACACATACACACACACACGGACACAGATGTGGAGAATGCTTAAGACGCTGAGTGAAGACAGTGTGAGCTCAATGGGAGGCAGACTGGCGACACTGCAATGGCTCCATCCAAGCTCCTAGGCAGTCCTTGCCGAGCCGGCCTCCAGGAGGAGGTGCACTGTGAGTTACGGAGTGGAGGGATGATGGGCTAGGATGAGCAGAGGGGTGTAAGATGACAAAACCAGGAGCCCAGAGCTGCGGAGAATCCAGACTCTGACTACTGCGGGCCCCATTGACAAGTGTCCTAGGGCCCCTGCCCTACCTGATGAGCACAGCTTTCCACCCTAGCCCCAGGATTCTCCTGCTCCTCACCCTCCTCCCCATAGACATGATTGACTCAGATCAGGGGCCTGTCACCCAACCTGGCCCAGGTTGTCCCTGCCAAGGCCTGTGGTCCTTTCAAGATGCCCCCTTTTCCCAGCCCTGCCTCCCTTTGTTTAGAACTTGCAGGAAACCCACTTGGCACCAAGCACAGAACCCCACATGCCTGTAGAGCCTGGGCTGACCTGGTGAGGGGCCGGGATGCACCTGGGGACAGAGAGTCCCAAGCAAAGAAGGGATCCCTGAAGCTGCATCCCTGGCAAGTGCTCCTCCCTCGTTCCAGAATGGGCAGTGCACGGGGACCCTGGGGCATCTGTGACAGAAGCATGGGAAAGAGGGACGTAGATGCTGGCACCTGAGCCCGTTAAAACCCCATCAGAGCGCCGGGATAATTTATGAAGAGGACTCCGAAGGAATGCAAAGTGAGGGAGATGCAGAGAATGCCACCCAGGTGCATAAATCTCTGAGGCAGAAGCACTGGTTCCTACTTCTCCACGTCCCCAGACAGAGAATATTACAAATCGCGGCTCGCATAGCACTCGCAGATTCCTGCAGCTCTGATACAATACAGTAAATGCATTGTGACAGTAGCTGAGTGGATTCTATGTGCTGAACAGATGTCTCCTAGCAGACGAGGTTTCTGTGACTATATCACATTGTGCTTTCATCAATTATACATCACTCCTCATTACAGAGGCAGGCGCTCAGGACGGGATGCAGGGGCTAAGTGAGAAACCCGGCCAGACCAAGAAGCAGAAGGCAAACTTTGGGGGTGCTAGGGTGCCCACTGGGTTATGGGGGTGTTGGAACCTGCTCCTCGCCCCAGAGACCCCATATTACCCCCCTCACCCTGCCACTTCCTAACTGTGCTGCTCTCTGTATGTGAATAAATACATAAATGAATTTTTAAAAGTTCTAAATACCCCCTCTTCTACACTAGCTGAACTAGGATCATTGATTTCCATTCTCAAAATAATTATTACAAATTATTTCAAATTGTGTAGAACAATGAACCTCATATACCCATCACTCATATTTCACAACTATCAAGATGTGTCTACACCAGCTTCATCACTCCCCCTGTTTTGTGCTGAAGTGTTTAAAGTGAATCCTAGGCCTCTGGTGATTTCTCTCCTACATACACTCAGTACGAATCTTTAGGAGCAGTATGCCCATTTTCCGATATAACTGCATGATTATTGTCACTGCTTACAAAATTGACAATACTTCCTTGTCATCATCCCATTCTCAGTCTGCATTTGAGGGTCTCTGTGGCTGATGACCCCTTCCTAGCCATCACCCTGGGACATACCCCACTGCACAGTGGGTCCCAGCAGAGCCTGACCAGCAGTCCTTTCTGCTGCAGTTCTTTAGTCCTGGTCCCCAGACGCCATCCAGAACTCAGGTAATATTCTGGCCTCAGTCCTGTGCTCCATCTCGAGATGACAGCAGGGACCTGGCTCTGAGCAGGAATGTATTGCAGACCCCTGGAAGGACGGTGTGGGAGGAACAGGCAGTTCTGGCAGGCACTGGGCGTGGGGCAGTCAGTAATGACAAAAATAACTTACAGGTGTCTGGCTGCTGCTTTCTGGTGCAGACCAGTGTGTCCTAAAATGTGGCATGCATCCCTCATGGTGTGCCAGGCAATTCTAGGTGGTGCATGGACAAGTTTTTTTTTTTTTTTTTAAGTTATGTATTTAAGCCAGGCATAGTGGCACACATCTGTAGTCCTAGCTACTTGGGAGGCTGAGGTGGGAGGATTGTTTGAGCCCAGGAAGTCAAGGCCGCAGTGAGTCTTGATCACACCACTGCATTCCAGCCTGGGCAACAGAGCAAGGCTCTTTTAAAAAATCAAATAACATAATGCATTAAATCTTCATTTTTAAAAAAAGTGATCTAGCCTCTCAAGCCCATGGGTTCATGGATATCATTGCTGCAGGTGAGGACAGCCAAAAAAGTTTGGTGATTTAAGGTAGATTTTGAAAAACATATTAAATAAATAACAATGCAGATAGTATTTGGATAAGGCAAAAAATACCTAGTGAGACCCCAAACCCTGAAGTTTAGGAGCTCTGATGTGATAGAGGGAATAGAAGATTTGAAACAAGGTCATCTGAATTTCAACCCAAGCTCTGTTCATTAGCAGCTGGGTAATCACTTAACCTCTTAGGGCCTCACTTTTTCTCCTGTACCATGGGGCTATCTATGCCTGTCCACCTTGCCTACCGCACCTCATTGATGTCAAACTCAAAGGAGCAAGAAAGTGTTTCTAAACTGAGAAACCTTCCAGAATGACAAGTTTTAAGGTACACTAAGAACTTCCCCGTTTGAAAGCTTTCCGTACCTCATGTTCTTTGCCCAATCCCAGGGGCTCTTTGCAACTCACAACCTGGATTCAGTCGCTCTGGTTAGTTCTTAATGCTGCAGGTTGTTAAGCCTGGCCATTGTAATAAGCATCGATTATCATTATCAACATTATTATATTTACCTAAGATCCCTGGTGCATACGAAGACGCAGAGAGCTCTCCTGCATCATTTCCTTTACAAGAACCATTTGCCGTGTCTAAGAACCATTTCTAGAATTAATTTGCCTACTGCAAACAATTTATATTAATGAAAACACATTGAGTTGGGGGAGGTGGGAGGGGGGTGTTCCGCCTGCAGAGTGTGTTTGCTTTGTTCACCTAGAATAAAAAGAGAGTTTGAGCATGTGTTTGTTTTGAATAAATAAATAGCTGCGTGACAGGAGGACGGGCTGCCCGTGCATCGAATCCAACCGGGTCTAGCAGCCATCTCCAAGGCGCACTGCAGAGTCGGCAGGAGCCCGCTCCGGTCGCTTGCATTTTAATATGTGGTGATGTCTGTCATCTGCTTCTCTCTATTTACAGGCCCCCTCTTAGGCTTGCATTTGACCATGGTGGAGGAAGAGGCCACCAGTCCCATCTGAGGCTTGGAGTAAGCTAACATAGGGGCCTCTGTGCCTCCTGACCCCAATGCTTCCCTGCAACAGCCTCCGAAACCCACGCCTTGTTTTTCTTTGTAGCAGCCTCTCCCCCTGTGTGTCCTTATTTTATTTGGGTCGATGAGGCTCATTTTCCCCTCTGCAAATGGCAGCAGGGTCCCCTGGTCTCAGGCGCTGAATCAGACTGATGCTCCTTCTTGTCAGAGGGAAAGGGAAAGGGGAAGAAGAGGAAGAGAAAAGGGCAGGAAGGCAGGGAGGGGTGGCTTAGAGGAGGGGGACAGGATCCCCACACCCGCCCCTGGCCATGCCTCAGCCTCCCCTCCTAGTTGTTGACATCAGTGTTTGGAACTCAGTCTGCCCCACTGGCCCCACTGAATCCCTCTTGCTTGTTTGGATACAAGCATCTCACATGTTTAGTGCTTCACAGTCCCTGATGACAGCACACTCGAGAGCTCTCCTCAGCAGCAGAGTGTGGTGGCCCGGCAAGGCTACGGGCCATGAAGGCTCAGGCTGGGCTCGCTTGTATCCGGGATGCCTGTGTGTTTGCATGATAACCTACAAAACGCTTCACACCCCTCAATGCACCGGCTCAGGGGACTGCAGGGGAGGGGACTTTGTCAACATGGCTTTGTTTGGGAGCTGCTACCCGTGTTATCCCTGGTTAATTTGCCCCTACAAGGTGCACAGGCTACCTAAGGCCAGATGGGAAATCAAAAGTGATTGGAATGGGCACTGGGTGCTCAAGGAGCAGGGGGACTCCTCTGTCCCAGAGCGAAAGGCCAGGCTGCAGCACTAGCGAGTGATGGAGGAGTCATGGGCACGGCTGGCAGACAGGCAGCCCCCGACCCCCGAGCTAGGGTGGTTAAAAAAAAATGGACCCTGGTGCCAGATGCCTGGGCCTCCTTCAGGCTCTGTCCTCTATTAGCTATATGACCTCAGTGCCTCCCTCACTGTAAAATCGGGGTGACAGTGGAACCTAACCCAGGGAATTGTCAGAGGATTCCATGAACTGATATCACCAACATGCTTAGAATGGTACCTGGCACATTGAAATGCCACATCAGTCTTTGTCAAAGAAACACCATGTACCATTTGCTGCCAGTGGTCGTGGGTTATGCTGAGGTTTAAAGTGATGGCATCACCAAATCCCTGGATGTTAGACCTGGAGATCCTCCAGTGCCGAGCAGAGAGGGGCTGTGATTTCACTCAGGACCACAGGAAAGCTCAGAACACAGCTCTCCCCACACCCCTGGGAGGGAGCTCACTCTGCAGCTGATGTTCTCTCAGGGTGGAGATAAGGGACAAAGAGGAGGCATGGAGAACAGAGAATAGCTTGGATCCCAAAAACCAAGGGATTTGTAAGTATTTCTAAGTCACACTTTCCATCCCTTTCCTTTTCCACTCGCAGAGGGTAACAGCTCTGAGCCCATCCCCTGCTCCTCAGTTTATCATCTCAGTGATGGCTATGCAAGGCAGCGGGGGCTCCAGGCAGCAGAGGAGTCATGAACAACATCGGCCCGACTCATCTCTTCTGGGCAGTCCCCGCGTCTGGAGTCTTGGGCTCCCTAGAGGAGATAGGGGAGAGGGAAATGTCACCTGCTTTCACAGCCTGGACCAGGATGACAGAGAACACTGGTGTCCCCAGACCCACCATGGGGGTCAGGGGGCCAGGGACAGCGTGATGGGGAGGGTAGGAGGAGGGCAGACTGCAGCATCCGAGCCCTGCGGCTGCCACCTTCTAACTGGTTGACCTTGTGCAGGTCACTCACCTTTTCCCACCCTCTGTGTCTTCCACTACAATATAGGAATCATAATAGTATCTAAATCGTGGGGGGGGGTTGGAAAGAATCGAATGAGCTCATAATCACAACACCCTGTTCGTTGTCCATGTATCAGCTATTTCAGTTACTAGGAGGAGTGAGGGTGGTGGTCAAAAGTCTTGACCTAAGCAGCCATCTCTGAGGGGGCAGCAGCAATAAGAGTGACCCCTGGCAAAAGTGGAGAGCCTTCTCCCTGGGGTCCTGCGTGATGTGGCCACCTGCCTAAAGAACTCCAGAGAAGAGCTGACGTGTTGGTATGTCTGTCCTTGAGGACAGGATCAGATGGGACTGTGGGAGGTGATGGAGGAGCATCCTGGGGGGCCTCACCCTCTGGGCATCACTCCACTCCAGAAAAGCCAACTTGGCCTCAGCGCTGTGCAGAGCAAGCCAGATCTAGGCTTAGTCTTTGAAAACTAACATGCTGGACTCAGCAATCACTAACACCCTGGGAGAGAAGTGGTTCTTCCTCCAGGGATCTGCCTCAGGCAATGTCCCCAGAGCTTAAGGAATCTTTGTATTGCCCAGTTCGTGGAAGGGCTGAGTCCTGAAGGCTCTCCCTGCCCTTATAAACCCATCATGGAAGCAGGCATGAATTCTCCAAGCCTTCCTTGAACTTCCCCAGCCCCTCACTACTGGGCCCGCTGTCATCCTCCTGCTTCCCGCCTCCTGTCTAGATCTGATCCTGCCAGCCGAGTCGAACAGGAGGAACTGGATAACTTGAGAACTGAGAACAGAGAGAGCTGGGTCAAGGTCTCAGCTCTGTGACCTTGGGCAGCTTCTTGGTGTCAAAGAACAGGCTGTCCTAAACCTAGGAAGGGGAAGTTAAGAAGCAGATTGGTCTCTCCAGTGGGAAACTGCAAAGGGGTAGGGGTCCTCCTACACCAAGATGGCTTCCTTGTGGCACACTTCAAAATGCAGAAGGATCAGCTGTTACATGCGCCTTGGAGGCGGTGCCCCCAGCCTCCCCTCCCACCCTCCCATAGAGTGCAAGCCATGTTCTATTGCTCACGGCTGGAGGAGGGGGTTAAGATGGAAAGCAGATGTAGAGAATACAGCCCTAGGACCAGAGTCAAGAGACCTGCATTCTAGTCCCAGCTCTGCCCCCAGCTGTGTGATCTTGGAAAGTCACTTCTGCTCCCTGGCCTATTTCCTAGATCTGCAAAAGGAGGGATTGGTCCAGGGTATCCTCGGATTCCCTCATTCTAGGGTCCTGGAAGTGGCAGATCCCATCAAGGGCCCTCATGCCTTTAGCAGCAAACATTTATGGAGGGCCCCCTGCAACAGGCATGGTGCTGGATGCTGCAGATCCCGGGTGAATCAGAGACCATGCTGCCCTCAGGGTCCTCAGCAGGACAGTCAGTGCAAGGCGCATGGTATCAACAAAAATACTGTGAGAGCATGGAAAGGTGCGATTCATTCTGACAGGAAAATGGCCAAGAAGTTCTCCACGACATTTCAGCGGCGCCTCCAGGAGTGAGTGGGTCCCTGGCCCTGGCGACTCCTCCTCTCTGTGCTCCCAGACAGAGGCACCAGTTCTCCCACCCTCCTCAGCCAGCTACATCCTGCATTGCAGTGAGTGAGGATCAACAGGGGTTCCATTAGCAAGCAATTGGGTCACACCCCCATCGTCCTGATGGCATCCCTTAAATACCAGTGCTGTTCTGATTTATACATGCTTACAGATATATTTGTAGGAACTGAAACTGCTCATTTAAAATAGCAGATAAGCCAGGTGTGGTGGCTCACACCTGTAATCCCAGCACTTCGGAGGCCGAGGTGGGCGGATCACAAGGTCAGGAGAGGGAGACCACCCAGGCCAACATGTGAAAGCCTATCTCTATTAAATATACAAAAGTTAGCTGGGCGTGGTGGTGGGCGCCTGTAGTCCCAGCTACTCAGGAGGCTGAGGCAAGAGAATTGCTTGAACCCGGGAGGCTGGGGTTGCAGTGAGCTGAGATCATGCCACTGCACTCCAGCCTGGTGACAGAGCAAGACTCCATCTCAAAAAAAAAGAAAAAAAATAGCAGAAAACCCCCCAAATCCTTTCCATTTGATTTGAAGTGCACTTTGGGGGACAGAAAGTATGAATTCCTAATTCCATTTTGCTGAGTATCAAAATGAGGCGAGTCACGTGGAAGGATTGAATGACTATGAAGAGAGGAGGCCCTGAATAATCCTGGGAGATAATATTTACAAGGATAATCTGGACAGAGATCGTCAAAATCAGACTGTAGCAAAGACTCAGGCCATTCACTACTAACTGGGAATATTTTCGATGCCTTCAAGTCATGTTATAATCATAAGAGCTAATATGTATTGGACACTTGTCCTGTGCCAAGTATCATTCTGAGTACTTTCCTTGTATGATCCTATTGATCTCCCCAACAACTCTGTGAACTAGGTGGGTACTCCTGTTAAGCCATTTTACAGAAAAGGAGACTGAGTCACTTGCCCAGAGCCCATGCTCTATGCCACTATATTGCAGTTGAATATGCCACATCCTCTCTGTTCAAATGTAGCAAGCAACGTTCACAGCCGTTCAAAACCAACCCAAGTGTCCACTTCAACTTGGCACCTTAAAAAACAAAACCAACCAAAGTGGCTGAACACTTCAGGTGATGCACATGCCTGATTTTTCCTGACTTGGAACACAGAACAATTAGCAAAGCTGCCGGCAGCTACCCAGGCGCTGAGAACTTTGCTCTGAGGACTCAAAGGTCAAGACAGTAGTGATCTAGTTTTGTGCCGAGCAAGTGTTGATGCCAGACATCCTTGAAGGACTCTGGATTTGGGCAAACCTGGTGCCATGCAACTCCTTGATACAGGCCTGAATGCAGACAAACAAGCTTGCTTTGAGTTTTGCTTTGGGATTGGTTTTTTCCTCCTAAACATCCCATCTTGGGTAGACACTGGCTCCTGAGAAGCTGATAGGAAGGACTGTATCCCGGTGGTGGGGCTGGGTGGAGGCAGATGGGGAATCAGACCAAGAATCCCAGTGTCTGAGGATCTGGCACAAAAATGGAGCTAGAACAAAGACATCGTCCCTGCCCCTTGGGGCTAGAGCCCAAAGTTAGAGACCGGGAGATGAGGCAAGCATGAGTCAGTCATCTGAATGCAAGGGGACAGAAGCAGAAAAGAATTTAAATGTGTTTCTATTTTCTTAGTTCCCCGAGGATCCCTTAATATTGCACAGGGGGGTAGGAGAGGAGGGGGTGGGGAGTAGGAAAATCTCCACAAAGCAGACTTGGCCTTTGGCCGTGAGGAGATGACCCCCTGCAGGCCGTGTACAGGGGTACCAGGAAGCCTGCCCCCACAACTCCAAATGTCAGAGCTTCTTTTCTTTGGCCGAAAGCATTGTGCCTGTTAAAATGCAAATTTCTGGAGAAGAGCAACGCTAAAGTGAATCAGTCTTTCACACCAGGGTCTGATGGGGTCCATGATCACAAGGAATGTGGGAGTTGGAAAGGACTTCTGACATTCGTGGATTCAGCCTCCTCCCATTCTGTGGATGAAGATGCAGAGAGGGCAGGACAATGACCCAGGTCACAAAGCTAGGCGGGGATGGAGCCAGGCTCTCTCCAGGCCTAATCTGGTCAAGCGTGTCAGATGCTTCTGCTCCCCAAGGGCTCCGGGGCTGATGGGGGGAGGGCAGACCTGCACAGGGAGAGGGGTGGCTAGCAATGCAGAACGGAGGGTAATGGCGCTTGTGGCAGGGACTGGAGAAGAGAGAGCCGCGTAGGCCGGGCTAATCAGGGAAGGCATCCCCAAGGAGGTGGGGCTGCAGCTGAGCCTAGAAGGCTGGCAGGCGTTCAGATTTGGATGGGCAGGGGATTCTTGCGGAGCGAGATGAGGTCAGACCACGAAGCCTAAACTGTCAGATTTAGACATTGGCTAGTGTTCTATAGGTGAAGGGGAGCTGAGGAAGGATCTTGAGCAGAGGGGTACAAGCCATGTTTAAGACCTGCCTGGCAGAGGAGTGTGCAGGGAGGACTTGGAAGGGGGAACACCAGAGGCAAGGGGTCTTCAGTGCAAGTGGCTGGTAAGGGAAGCTGCACTGACAATGGGTAGGGAAGAAGAGGCCAGGGGAGAGGGTCCCAGACCTGTCCAGGCCCCGCCCATCAGCATGCGGAGGGGAAAGGCCATGGTTTCTTGAACTAGATAACCACCTGGTTACTGGGTGACCTTGCATAAATGTCTTCACCTCTCTGGGCCTCAATGTTCTCATCTCTAAAATGGGAATGCTAGTGCTACAATAATAATAATAATAATAATAATAATATCCCTGTCTCCTATGCCACATTGTGAGAATAAAATGGGATCATGTTATGAAAACACTTTGAAAGCATGAAGTGCTGTTAGCATTCTTTTGTCCTCTTTCCCTCTTGGAAATCAATACTGAAATCATTCCATGTTTCTCCCACTCAGGCTTCTTGTGCTTCAACTTTATTTACTTCAGGGCACAGCCTGAGAACTGAGGGGTCAATATCCCTACGCAGACACCACAGCCCGTGGACTGGGGCACACAGTAGGAGCACTCAGGCCCAGCCTTCCCCGGAGCTGGAGGGGCCCGGCTTCCTGGCAGGGCCCTGCGGATATTCCCCTCTCCCTTACAGCCTGGCACTCTCTGGTTTGCACTTGGCAGGCCTGAGGGTCCCCTTCACTGTCCATCCAAGCATGAGTAACTCTCTCTCTTTCTCCCCCATGCTTACCCAGGCATCCTTAGGCATAAGCATTTAATTTATTTATATTTATGAAACCTCCAACTAGGTCAATGCACTTTTATGCACATCTTGACAATTATTGATACTGTGAGCGGAAGAAGAGGACCATGTGGGCTGGAGGAACCGGCTTATCCCTCTCTCAACCAGCCAAGATCCTTGGAGACCCAGTAAGGGGAAAGTGCCTTTTTGGTGTGCTAGTTGCTGAGTTGGTATCCAAGCCTGCCTTCCCCAGCCACAGCTCAGCACTTCTCCAAAGGAATAGAGAACAGTTTTGTGGGTTCAAACCATACCACATCCCAGGTCCCTCTGGACTTGTAAATGGCTACAGAGCCCAACATCCACAAAGCAGCAGCTGAAATAAAATTAGACACCAGGTCCAGAAGAAACCAGGCTGATTCTGACAATAAATGAAACTTAACATTTCTTTTCTGCGAGTCCCAGATACCCTTCTTGTCCCCTGAACTCATTCCTGTGTCCTCAAATGCATGTCCCTTACTTTCAGAGAATGCGCATCCGATGATCATGGGATCTCTGGCCCTGTGAGAACTGTGGTGTGCTCCTTACAGGAAGCTGTGCCTAGGGATCTGGTATGGGTCTTTAAATATAGGCAGAAGTGAATTTTGAGGAGATAGGATGAGATCAGGGACAAGAAGCATTTCTGGAAATGAAGGTAGAATCTGTGTAAACAATTGAGTAAATTTGCTGATATTGGTTTCTAGAAGGGCGTGCATGGACTTTGGGTTAGAAACTCTGAGCTTAAATCGTGGCTTCATCACTTACCAGCTGCATGACCTTAATCAAGTTAACATTTCTAAGCCTCAGTTGCTTCATCTATAAAACGGGGATAATAATAGTCCCTGACTCAGAGGTGTCTTGAGAATGAGAAGAGATAACATATGCATGTAAAAGTAACGCATGGATCTTACCTGTGTTCATCACAATGCTTAATGTTCAGATGCATTGTACTAAGTGAAAGAAGCCAGACTTGAATGGCTACTCACTGTATCATTTCATAAATATAGTGTTCTAGAAAAGCCAAAACTGAAGGTAAAGGAAACAGATCAGTGGTTGCCAGGAGCTGGGGTTGGGGAGAGGGGCCGACAACAGGGACACGAAGGGGTTTGGCAGGGGATGGAACTGTTCTGTATCTTGATTGCGGTGGTGGTATGTCAGACCTTTCAGAATTGTACACTAAAATGGGTGAGATTTACTATATGCAAATTCTATCTCAATAAATCTGACCCCTCCATAAAAAAGACATAATACATTCATGTAAAAGCCTTAATGCATGGTGTTTACTAGATAATTACACTTTGATAGTGAGCAGGTGATCCATGGTAACTTATATTATTATCATTACCGTGGGGAGACCCTTCCTGCCTCAAAGTGCACAGGCACGGCAATTTTTCACAGGGGCAAAAGGGCCACAGTGCTCCTCAAAGGAGGAGGCTTCGGCTCAGTGACCTGCAGCGGTCCCTTCCAGCCTATGACATTTGTTGAAAACATTCTACCTCGTTGGCTCACCAAGTCATTTTTGCATAAGAATGACTGCGAGGTTTTGTTCTGGCTTGAACACCTTGGCAGGCTGGCAGACCTGGGTCCCATCCTCAGAGCTTAATAGCCACTTTCTCACCTGTCCTCATTGTTCTTTAATCTGTGTAATTTTAGGACCCTGTTCAGCACCTTCTCCATGTTCAAGGTTCCCATTAATAATCATGATCAGCACTTAGCTAGGTGCTTTTCATTTTCAAAGCCCATTAATTAACACTAATTAATCCACACAGCAGTGCTAGAAGGAAGGGGAGCTATCATTATCCTGGTTGCAAAAAAGCAGGAAAGAAGAAGGCTCCAGGTGATTTGCCCATGGCTTCAAAGAAGAGAGAGAGAGAAGGAAATCCTAAGCAGGGAACCCTGGTACCTCAGATCCCAGCTCAAGGCCAGAACTATTAACGATCATTAAAATGGCCAACATTTATTTAGCAATTACTGGGTGCAAGGCATCACAAAGAGCCTCTCATGCATTTTCTCATTTACATATCACAAAATTCCTGAAAGTACCTATGTGCCATGATTCTCTGTCTTTTACCAATACAGAAAGGGAGGCACAGAGAGATTAAGTACCTACCAGAGGTCACACAGCCAACACACAGTCCAGAGTAAACCTCTTCCAAACCTCGCTCTACCAGATTGCCCCTTAGAGCTAAAGCTTGCCCTGAGTCCCTTGAGCCAGCACCTAGGTGAGAAAGCTGCTGGTAACTTTGCCTTGTCCTCACCATGTGCAAAGAAGGAATGAAAGGGTCTTTGGAGGCAGCCAGCCCAGGAAGTATGAGTCACAGAACCAACCATGTAGCCACAGAAAACATGATCTCCTGAGTACATTTCCTCCCTACTCTCTGCCTCAGTTTCCATCCTTGTTCCATGAGAAGACCATCTATTCATTTTCTATACGAACACTTAAGGAGCTCAGCACAACCTTGAGCTCTGAGACACTTGAAGATGGGTAAGGCATAATCCCTGTCTTTGTGGAATTTACCGTGTCTCCAGGAAGCAAAGCTCTGATGACGGAAACAGCTAGACTGCTAAATAGCTATAAAAAACTGACACTCTTCCCAATTATTCTACATTCTAAATCACACTTTTGGACTCCACAAAACCTTTACATGGGATAACAAAATTAATTATTAAAGATTCTAAATATATCATATACCTCTAGAACTAGAAGGGAACTTACATTTACTTATTTATTTGATAAATATTTATTAAGCATCTACAATGTGCCAAGCAGTGTTCTAGGCACCAGGAATACAGTGGCAAACAAAACAAATGAAGTCACTGACTGCATAGATTTTATATTCTAGAGGAGAGAGACGGTCAACCCACAAGCCAGAAAAATATCGTCACGAACTAGAAAATATCAAACAGTGCCACATACTGTGCAGAGAATGAAAACAGAAGAAACTGAAAGAGAGTGCTCAATATCTACTTTGAATCGGGTGGTCAGGGAAGGCCTGTCTGCAGAGGGGACATTTAGCTGAGACATAAGTGGCAGGAAGGAGCCAACTGTGTGGAGATCAGGGAAGAGCTTCTAAGCAGAAGGAGCAGCTGGTGCAAAACCTTAAAGTGAAAATGATCCAGTTGTGCCCAAGGAGTGGGCAGAGAGCTGGAGTACCCAGAGTGGCATCAACAAGGATAGGGGAGCCATAAAGAGGAAGTCCAAGAAGTGGGCAGGGCCAGATTGCAGAAGGCTCTAGGTCACCGTAAAGAGTTTGAATTTGCTTGTAAGTGTTATGGCAAGCTCTGGAGGGGATGACATGCTTTTCAAAGGAGGACTTGAGCTGTCAAGTGGAGAATGGATTACAAGAGGACAAGAGTGGAAGCAGAGAGAACATTGGGCTGCAGAGCCTCGGTGGGGGAGGAGGGAGATGTTGACCCGGCCATGGCAATGTACTTAGAGAGGAATTAGATGAGTCTGGGATATATTTGGAGATAGAGCCAACAAGACTTGCTGATAATTGGGTGAAGGCAGAAAGGAAAACAGAAGAATCAAGGATAACTGCTGTATTTTTGGATGAAGTGTCTGGATGGGTTGGGATGCCCTTCATGGGGAATGGGAAGACTGGGGAGCAATAGGCTGGAGGGCTGAGGTAAGGCTAAGTTTTCTGTGCTGAACATGATCACTTTGCAATGACTATTAGACATTCAGGTGGAGGTAAAGAGTAGGCAGTTCTGGGGAAAGATCAGGGCTACAGATTCATACCTGGGAAGCCATTGGCATATGGGAGGGACTTCCAGCCATAGGAGAGAGTCTAGATAGTAGAGGGAGCTTAGGACCTTGGGGCACACCAACATTTATTTTATATTTATATTTTTTATTGATTTTTGAGACCACATCTTGCTCTGTTTCCCAGACAGGAGTGCAGTGGTGCCATCATAGCTCACTGTAGCCTTGAACTCCTGGACTCAGGCTATCCTCCCACCTCAGCCTCCCGAGTAGCTAGGACTACAGGGACATACCACTGAGCCTGGCTAATTTTTAAAAATTTTTAGAGATGGGGTCTTGCTCTGTTGGCGAGACTGGTCTTGAACTTCTGGCCTCAAGTGATCCTCCTGCCTTCGACCCCCAAAGTGGTAGAATTACAGGCATGCGCCTCTGCACCCAGCCCACACCAATATTTAGATGTGGAACAGAAGGGAGGAAGCAGGAAAGGAGACTGAGAAGGTGTGGCAGTGAGGGAGAAGGGGGATTGGGATAGACTGGTGTCATGGAAGCCAAGAGAAGTTCAGATTTTTCTTCTTTTTTTTTTTTTTTTTTTTCGAGACAGAGTTTCGCTCTTGTTGCCCAGGCTGGAATACAATGGCACAATCTCGGCTCACTGCAACCTCAGCCTCATGGCTTCAGGCAATTCTCCTGCCTCAGCCTCCCGAGTAGCTGGGATTACAGTCATGCACCACCACACCCAGCTAATATTTGCATTTTTAGTAAAGACAGGGTTTCACCATGCTGGTCAGGCTGGTCTCGGACTCCTGACCTCAGGTGATCCACCCATCCCAGCCTCCCAAAGTGCTGGGATTACAGGCATGAGCCACCATGCCAGGCTGAGAAGTTCAGATTTTTAATAGGCAAGAGGGGTCAACTGGGTGAATGCCTCTGGTGGACCAGGTAGGATAACAAAATCTTGCTTAGGGCCGGGAGTGGTGGCTCACACCTGTAATCCCAGCACTTTGGTAGACCGAGGCGGGTGGATCACTTGAGGTCAGTAGTTCAACACTAGCCTGACCAACATGGTGAAACCCTGTCTCTACTAAAAATACAAAAATTAGCCGGGCTTGGTGGCTCACGCCTGTAATCCCAGCTACTTGGGAGGCTGAGGCAGGAGAATTGCTTGAACCCGGGAGGCAGAGGTTGCAGTGAAACGAGATTGCACCACTGCACTCCAGCCTGGGCGACAGAGCGAGGCTCCGTCAAAAAAAAAAAGAAAGGAAAGAAGGAAGGAGGGAGGGAGGGAAGGAAGGAAAGGAAGGAAGGAAGGAAGGAAGGAAGGAGGGAAGGAAGGAAGGAAGGAAGGAAGGAAGGAAGGAAGGAAGGAAGGAAAGGAAGGAAGGAAGGAAGGAAAGAAGGAAGGAAGGAAAGGAGGAAAGGAGGGAGGGAGGGAGGGAGGGAGGAAGGAAGGAAATCTTACTTGGCTACATAGTTCCTAAATGTGGCCATGCAGTAAAATCACTGTAGAGCTTTTTAAAAATGTAGATGCCCATGTTGTGTTGAATTGAACACTGAGAGCAGGGCCAGGGCATCCATACTTTCTAAGATATGTTCCAGGTGATTCTGGTACAGCTAGGCCATGGACAGGGATCTGAGAACCAATAATCTTGTCCAGCCCCTGGGCCAGAGACCAGAGAGATTCAGTAACCTCGGGTGGTGACACCAGTACCAGGGACCTATGGGTTAGACCACAGGCTCCTGTTACCTAATGTGGGGCTCCGTCCATCACACTCCATTGCCATTCTGGTTGGGGCATTGGGGTGGGTATGATTTGCCATATAGAAGAAGAAATTAAATTCTCAATCAAGGATTCAAATTTCAAAGTAAGCCCAAGTCATGTGAAAAGTGGACGCCCTCGTAAGACGCCTAGAATATGCAGATCAATGGTAATAAGCCTTCGAAGGCCACCAGGTCTGTGACTCCTGCCTGGTTCTCAATTATCTGCATTTGGATTATCCACTTTCGTTGATGAAAATGTTGACTCTCTAGCTGATTGTTCCCTGACACTCGGGGCACAGCTGGGCCACATTGCTCCGGCAGCAACACATGCTCAGGAGGCAAAAGCTAGAAGGGTTTTGGGTACAAAAAGAAAAGAGTCCCTTGTGGAAACAGTCAGCCTTGACTCTGTTGTATGAGGCATTCAGGAAGGGGTGGCAGGGCCAGGGACATGTCCATTTCTTGAGCTGGTATTGTGTGCCAGGCACGGTGCTAGGAGCTCCCTTAACAAGCTCAGTATCTTCATTCTTGTCTTCATTTCTGTGGACTGAAATCCATACTGAAAGCTGGAAGGCAATGAAGATGTTGGTAAAGTGAAGGGAACTGGGAGTAGAAAGCAATCAAACAAATGTTGGGAGAGTCCACTGTTGGGAAAGCGGCCTTGTGCTCCATGGAATGGGGAGGAGCAAGACTGGACCCAAGAGCACGAGCCAGATTGGTCCTCGTGCCCTGTGGAGAACCCCTCACCTCTGGGAAGGGGAGTTGCTCTTCCTCCTCGCTGGACAAAAACCCCCTCATCCATCCACATGGAGTCAGTGAAACCCAGAATGAGACCCCAAACCCAATCACCCCTCTCAAGGCAACTTCTTCACAGACCCTGATTGTAAAGGGGTCAGTTGGTCCTAGAAGGTCCGGGTAAGGGTACAGCAGCCTCAGCACACACCCATCACAGGGAGCTGATGGGATTCTTCAGAGCCCAGGCTCTGCAGATATAGGGCAGGAGCCTCGCTGGTGGAAAAAGTGCCCTTTGTGTAGGTGGAAGGGCTGGGCACTCGGGCTCTGGCATCCTATTCAGAGCCCAGACAAGCATCCAGGACCCTCTGCATCCTCTCTATTCTGTAGCGCAGACAAGGGTGTCATTCCAGCAGTGTGGGCCCAAGCCTTTGCTTGCTTGCTTGTTCTTTTTTTGTTTGTTTTGTTTTGTTTTGTTTTGTTTTGTTTTGTTTTGGGTTGTTTTTGTTTTTGGACAGGATCTGGCTCTGTCACCCAAACTGGAGTGCAGTGGCATGATCATGGCTCACTGCAGCCTCCAGCTCCCGGGTTTGAGTGATCCTCCCACCTCAGCCTCCTGAGCAGCTGGGACCACAGGTGTGCACCACCCTGCCCAAGCCTTTGGGTTTTTTTTATTGTTCTCAACTACTATGTGTAGAGAGCAAAGCTCTGCCTATTTGAAAGACCCTGACTTACAACATCTTAGTTGGAGGTCAAGCTTTGAGCTCTTCTCATGCAGGAGTCTCAACCCCAGCCATACAGCAAATCACCACAAGAAGCTTTATCAAACCAGATGCCAGGACTTCACCTTGGCCTACTGAATCAGAAGCCTCAAGGGTAGAGCTTGGGCCTGTAACTTTGAAAAGTGATCCTAATATGCATCAGAGGCTGAGAACCACCAGTTGGAACTTATCAGGTCCCCTGTAAGCCTTTCCTCTTCTAAGCAACTCCCTACCTCACCCCATTTCTTCTAGTGCTTGTGGTGGGTCTCAAACCATGCGTCATCCCGGGTGCTTTGCTCTGGTTTCTACCAACAGAGCCCAGTCCTCCAGATGTGGTCCCAGAGCGTCTTGTTCTCAGGACACAGGACTTCTGTTCTGTTTTTTATTTTTGAAATGGAGTTTCACTCTTGTTGCCCAGGCTGGAATGTAATGGCACTATCTTAGCTCATTGCAACCTCCGCCTCCTGGGTTCAAGTGATTCTCCTTCCTCAACCTCCCGAGTAGCTGGGATTACAGGCGCCTATGACCATGCCCAGTTAATTTTTGTATCTTTAGTAGAGACGGGGTTTCACCATGTTAGCCAGGCTGGTCTCGAACTCCTGACCTCAGGAGATCCACCCTCCTCGGCCTCCCAAAGTGCTGGGATTACAGGTGTGAGCCACCACACCCGGCAGGATTTCTGTTCTAGTAACTGTGCCTGCTCACCCCTGGGACTGTAGCTTGTGGCCAGGCCTCCCCTTCCCAGGCCAGGCAGTGGACTCTTTTCCTCTAAGTACTGCTCTTTGCACATGCTGCTTTCTGTAGTCTGGCTGGTGCTGGTGCCCAGGGAGGTTCCGTGGCAGGCCCCACAGTAGGGCTGGGGCAGAGCCCAGAGGACCCAATGCCAGTCCTCATTGAGTCCAGGCCTGCACTTCTGCCCTTGAGAGGTAGGGAGTGCCAGGCTCAGGGGCCCACACACTTGGAGCTGCTCTCAGAGGGAAGATGATAAGGGGAGGCACCACAGAGACAGTGCAGGGTCACCAAGTTCGTGTCCACTGGTGAATGCTAAAGGGCCCCTGCATCTGGAGAAAAGGCCAACCCATGGCTCTCTGGCAGAGGCCTAAGAGCAGAGAGTAGGTGATTTGCAGAAAGGATGTGGGCCTCAGAGACAGTCCAAACCATGACAGCTCAGCTCCCCATTAATACCAGCAGAGGCAACCTCCTTCGGAGCCTGCCCCAAGGAACCCTCCACCTAATCTCCCCACAGTGGTAGAGACTAGGGCCTCTTTCAAGAGCAGGGAAGACACCCTGAGTACCAGGCCTCTCTAGGACCACCCAGGGATTCAGAACTCTGCTGCTCCTTCCCCTGCCTCTAAATGGGTAGGTTTTGCCCAAAAATGTGGCACCCATTTGTTCTTCTGGAGAATTGGATCCCCCAGGGGAGAAAGTGAGACCAAGAGCTAGAATGTGCAGCTGCCAGAGTGGCCCAGGAGTCGAGGTGGAAGGGTGGGTGGACACACTGGCCCCCCTTCCCTCCCATCCAGCTCCTAGAATGAGGGATCCAGCACTTCCTCCTTCCCAGCTCCAGAAAGCTATGGAATGGTAGAGCTGGAGGGAGCTCAGGGGGAAGCAGAGAACAGCCTTGGCCTCGTGAACATCCTGCCGAGCATGAGGGACTCACAGCAGCAGAGGGAGGAGGCAGTAGCTGGCAGATGCTGGGCATTCTCCTTCAGCTGTGCCAGGGGCCCTGAAGGATTTGGTGGAACAGGGCAGGAGGCAGCAAGGTTCTCCTTCACCAGGAAAAGGTGCCTGCATCCTCCTTCAATGCTCTTCTTGAGATACCACCCTTTGGCTGTCTTCTGGAAGCGTAAGGGAGAACTTAGCATTTGGGGCTTACTGTTCCACGGGGGGCTGAAGCATATTTGCTTTGCTGCATGGCACTGAAGTGGTCGGCGACAGGAGGCTGCAGGGCAGAGGACGCTGATGGCCTCACTGGAGAGCTGTCTTCACTGCAGGATCCCACCTACCTCTGGATGTTGTGACTGAGGGATGCCCACCCAGGGGATTACCTGGCTGGGGCTGAAGCAGAGGGTGGGGCGGAGCACCCGAGGTACCACCGGCTAGGCCTGGGGCAGAGTGATCCAGTGGAAGGTTCTGAATGGAAGAGAGATGGGCTCCTCTGCCTCCTGTAGCTGTCAGGGGCTGTCACAGGCAGCCCTGCCCAGCCGGCCCCAGCAGCCCAGCTGAGAGGGGATTGAAAGATTCTTCCAGACTGGAATCTAATTGATAACCACCCGTGTCTAGGCACCAATACCCATAAATGCAAACTGCTCTAGTCTCTAGAAAGCTGGACCTGAGCTTGCAGAGAGCGTACGGCCAGCGTACTCTGCGTATGATCTGCAGCAGTAGCAGATCGGGGTTGGAGTGTTCAGATCACCTTCTGAATGCACGACAGGACACGTGTGAGCTTCGAGTGCTAGCTGGTGCCACGTAGAAGCAGTGTAAACTTGAGCTCCATTTTCCCCATTTGGAGAAGGGGAAGGTAAAACAATAGCTCTCTCACAGGGCCATTATGAAGAACAGCTAAGATAACAACTGTGAAAGTGCTGTTATCACCATTATCACCATTAGGGCCATTATGAACATTAAGGTTGATGGGGCTCAATCTACAGGTCACTTCTCCTCTCCCTCTGCCCCCGGGCGATGCCTGATTGACCCCACATTCTGAGAGAGCAGGGCTCTCTGGCCTTGTGAGGTCTCCAGGGCAGGAGGGTGGGCCAGAGCCTGAGAGAAGCATGTCTAGTTATACCTGCACTTGAACGGGCAGAGGAGAACCTGATCAACCACCACTTATCTAATGAAGGGCAGGGACTCATTTGCCTTCACTCAACTGATTTGCGGGAACCAGATCTTTGCATAGCATATCCCCGCCTCCCCCCAATCCCCTACCGGATGTTGGACTCCCTAATAATTCCCCTGTAAGTACTTATTGAGCACTATTTGCCCACCATGGGTTCTAGCTTACAAACAGAGCTGGTGTGACCGGAGGATACACTCCTTCACTAAAGGGGATGGGGCAAGGAGTCCCTACGGCAGAAGAATGAGATAGGGAGGGGAGGCTAATGCCACAAGCCAGTTTCACAAGGAGTAATCCACATTCATTATCATGGTGGTGAAATGCCAGGTTGAACATCAGGAACCCTGACTTCCTCCAGGCTTCCTCACCAGCCAGCTGGGTGACATTTCCTCACCTCCCAGGCCTAGGCTGGAAACTCGGAGAGGCCACAGCTGAGCAAACCCTTGTGAAAACCACAAAGGCTTTCTGCCCTGTGAGAAATGTTTACTCATTAGAAGAGGAAGGCAAGAATGTTACAGGGAAGGGGTCCCGATCCAGATCCCAAGAGAGGGTTCTTGGATCTCGTGCAAGAAAGAATTCAGGGCGAGTCCATAAAGTGAAAGCAACTTTGTTAGGAAAGTAAAGAAATAAAAGAATGGCTATTCCATAAACAGAGCAGCCCCAAGGGCTGCTGGTTGCCCATTTTTCTGGTTATTTCTTGATGATTTGCTAAACAAGGGGTGGATTATTCATGCCTCCCCTTTTTAGACCATATAGGATACCTTCCTGACGTTGCCATGGCATTGGAAACTGTATTGGCGCTGGTGGGAGTGTAGCAATGAGGACGACCAGAGGTCACTGTCATCACCATCTTGGTTTTGGTGGGTTTTGGCCAGCTCCTTTACTGCAACCTGTTTTATCAGCAAGGTCTTTATGACCTTCATCTTGTGCTGACCTATCTTATCCTGTGACTTAGAATTCCTTAGCCGTCTGGGAATGCAGCCCAGTAGGTATCAGCCTCATTTTACCCAGCCCCTATTCAAGATGGAGTTGCTCTGGTTCAAATGCCTCTGAAAGGAGAACACCTGTAGGTGGGGGGAGGACGGGCTGAGGACCCAGACCCAGGGCCTTCATCTGCATCCACTCTTCCTTGTTCACCTTCCTCTCAAATAGCTGGTCCCAGCAGGCTAGCACAGAGCTCACCTGGGCTCCAGGGCAGGTTCTTCCCCTGGGAATACCGGAAATCTCAGCAAAACAGTGTGATGAAGGCTAGTGCTCCAGGAGGCCAGAGAGACCAGATCAGAGTGCTGGACAGAGTCCAGAGAGTGGGCTCCTCCTTCCAGCGTGGCCCCTCACTCACTCAGTCCACGATCTCAGGAGCATCATTCCCTCTCTCTGCACTGCAGTGTCCTCCTCTGTGAAATGGGCACAGTAATACCTACCTCTAGGATGGGTAAGAGTGACAGCTGCTCAGTAAATTGTAGCAATAACTGCAATGATAAGGATGATCTCCAAAGCCCTTTGCTGCTCTCAAATCCTCTGCTCCCAGGCCAGGGATATTTCTCAAGCCCCCACAACCATTTGTTCTAGAGGCAGAGGGCCCTGGGCACAGGCGTGATCCCTCTGGAGCACTGGTCTCCCGACATCGTCCCCACCAGGGCTCTGCTCGTCTCCATAATGAGGTTTGAGTTTCATTATATCATTTCTCTGGTGCCCAGCAAAACATCATCATAGGCACAGGTTCTGCAAGAGGCCAAGAGTAATCTATAAAGCTTAGCATCTACCCTCAGCTGCCATGTGTGGGAAGCTGGCCTTGTAGCTGGCGTGGGGCCAGGCTGGCAGAGAGCTGGATCCTGATTCGTCTTTGAGCTCCTCAAAGGAACAAGGCTTCAGCCTCAGCACCAGGTTCCAGCTGCCGTGGCCAGTGTCTTCTTAGTGTCTTAGCTGGACCTCCCACTCCCACCCCTGTGAAGGGTCATGACCCTCAGTGGCCCCTGAGTGGTAGACATAATTAGCAGAGGCCCACGCCATCTGCCACTGGCCACTAGGGCAGCATGCACAAAGTGTGGTAGTCAAGGGAAATATTAACAGGTCTTGCATACACACACAATAGATATTGTAAAGGGATTGGTATTCCTTTGCTGCAGGACTTCTCAGTCACCTTAAACTGCTCAGTCACCAAAAATGTATTCAGCACCTACTAGGTGCCAAGTACTCATCTAGCTGCTTGGAATAAGTGGTGAATAAGACACACAAGTTTTATGCTCTCATGACACTTATATTTCAGTGCAGAGGGAGGTATAAAATAAATTTGCAAGTAAATAAGAGAACTTCAAATGGTGAGTGCTGTGAAGAAAGCAAACCAGTAAAGGGACAGAGGGGGACTGATGTGTTAATATGCATTGTGACTGTCTAAGGAGAAGCAGAACGGCATGTTCTATGAGCAAGTCTCAGAACTGCAATTCCTTGGAAAGGTATTGAGGAATGCTCTAGAATGGTCCTAACACTCAAATCTAAAGCGTTCATCCTTGGCATGAGATACCCCGAAAACTACCCCATCATCTCCAGGATAGCATCTGAGACGCGCCAGCCGACCCCGCCATTCTAGCTCACATCCCCCCACCCCTCTAGAAAGCTGAGCCAGCTTGAACATCCCCCAACACATTCCCGCATTCCCACATGCTCAACACGTTCCTGCTTCCCAGAAAGGCTCCCGTGCCTTCTTTGCCTGGCAAACATGTCCTCATCCTTCAAGGTTGTATTAGACAGGGTAGGTGATCCAAGATCTCAATGACTTAATCTTATACAAGTTTATTTCTCATTCACATCCCATGCCAGAGAGTCAGGAACAGCTCTGTTCTTCACAGTTCGTTCTTTCTCCTAGGGGCCCAGAGCCCTCCACTGGGATTGCCTGTATGTGGCCAGCAAGGGGAGAAGAGAGTAAGTGTGGAGGAACATGCAGGAGACCTTGGGAGCCAGGCCTGGAGTGAGTTCATCATTTCAACTGCATCTGTTGGTCAGACTGAGCTGCATTCACAAGCCTACCTGGCTGCAGAGGGTCTGGGAAACGGAATGTCACTCAGCCTACAGGAAGAGGAAAGGTGGCCAGTAGCATTATCTCAGTTCAAGTGTCACCACCTTAGCCAAGGTAGTACAGAATGAGGGAAGTGGCTTGGTGTAATAGAAAGGAAGTAGGCAGGGCTTGGCAGGGTGGCTCATGCCTCTAACCCCAGCACTTTGGGAGGCCAAGGTGGGAGGATCAAGAGTTTGAGACCTGGGCAACAAGACGAAATCCCACCTCTACACAAAATACAAAAATCCCATCTCTATGAAATACAAAAATCCCATCTCTACAAAAACAAGGCTGTGCAGAAGCTCTTTAGTTTAATTAGATCCCATTTGTCAATTTTGGCTTTGGTTGCCATTGCTTTCGGTGTTTTAGACATGAAGTCCTTGCCCATGCCTATGTCCTGAATGGTAATGCCTAGGTTTTCTTCTAGGGTTTTTATGGTTTTAGGTCTAACGTTTAAGTCTGTAATCCATCTTGAATTGATTTTTGTATAAGGTGTAAGGAAGGGATCCAGTTTCAGCTTTCTACATATGGCTAGCCAGTTTTCCCAGCACCATTTATTAAATAGGGAATCCTTTCCCCATTGCTTATTTTTCTCAGGTTTGTCAAAGATCAGATAGTTGTAGATATGCGGCGTTATTTCTGAGGGCTCTGTTCTGTTCCATTGATCTATATCTCTGTTTTGGTACCAGTACCATGCTGTTTTGCTTACTGTAGCCTTGTAGTATAGTTTGAAGTCAGGTAGTGTGATGCCTCCAGCTTTGTTCTTTTGGCTTAGGATTGACTTGGTGATGCGGGCTCTTTTTTGGTTCCACATGAACTTTAAAGTAGTTTTTTCCAATTCTTGAAGAAAGTCATTGGTAGCCTGATGGTGATGGCATTGAATCTGTAAATTACCTTGGGCAGTATGGCCATTTTCAGGATATTGATTCTTCCTACCCGTGAGCATGGAATGTTCTTCCATTTGTTTGTATCCTCTTTTATTTCCTTGAGCAGTGGTTTGTAGTTCTCCTTGAAGAGGTCGTTCATGTCCCTTGTAAGTTGGATTCCTAGGTATTTTATTCTCTTTGAAGCAATTGTGAATGGGAGTTCACTCATGATTTGGCTCTCTGTCTGTTGTTGGTGTATAAGAATGCTTGTGATTTTTGTACATTGATTTTGTATCCTGAGACTTTGCTGAAGTTGCTTATCAGCTTAAGGAGATTTTGGGCTGAGACAGTGAGGTTTTCTAGATATACAATCATGTCATCTGCAAACAGGGACAATTTGACTTCCTCTTTTCCTAACTGAATACCCTTTATTTCCTTCTCCTGCCTGATTGCCCTGGCCAGAACTTCCAACACTATGTTGAATAGGAGTGGTGAGAGAGGGCATCCCTGTCTTGTGCCCGTTTTCAAAGGGAATGCTTCCAGTTTTTGCCCATTCAGTATGATATTGGCTGTGGGTTTGTCATAGATAGCTGTTATTATTTTGAGATACATCCCATCAATACCTAATTTATTGAGAGTTTTTAGCAGGAAGGGTTGTTGAATTTTGTCAAAGGCCTTTTCTGCATTTATTGAGATAATCATTTGGTTTTTGTCTTTGGTTCTGTTTATATGCTAGATTACATTTATTGATTTGTGTATATTGAACCAGCCTTGCATCCCAGGGATGAAGCCCACTTGATCATGGTGGATAAGCTTTTTGATGTGCTGCTGGATTCGGTTTGCCAGTATTTTATTGAGGATTTTTGCATCAATGTTCATCAAGGCTATTGGTCTAAAATTCTCTTTTTTGGTTGTGTCTCTGCCCGGCTTTGGTATCAGGATGATGCTGGCCTCATAAAATGAGTTAGGGAGGATTCCCTCTTTTTCTATTGATTGGAATAGTTTCAGAAGGAATGGTACCAGTTCCTCCTTGTACCTCTGATAGAATTCGGCTGTGAATCCATCTGGTCCTGGACTCTTTTTGGTTGGTAAGCTATTGATTATTGCCACAATTTCAGCTCCTGTTATTGGTCTATTCACAGATTCAGCTTCTTCCTGGTTTAGTCTTGGGAGAGTGTATGTGTCGAGGAATTTATCCATTTCTTCTAGATTTTCTAGTTTATTTGCATAGAGGTGTTTATAGTATTCTCTAAAGAGCTTCTGCACAGCAAAAGAAACTACCATCAGAGTGAACAGGCAACCTACAAAATGGGAGAAAATTTTCACAACCTACTCATCTGACAAAGGGCTAGTGTCCAGAATCTACAATGAACTCAAACAAATTTACAAGAAAAAAACAAACCACCCCATCAAAAAGTGGGTGAAGGACATGAACAGACACTTCTCAAAAGAAGACATTTATGCAGCCAAAAAACACATGAAAAAATGCTCACCATCACTGGCCATCAGAGAAATGCAAATCAAAACCACAATGAGATACCATCTCACACCAGTTAGAATGGCAATCATTAAAAAGTCAGGAAACAACAGGTGCTGGAGAGGATGTGGAGAAATAAGAACACTTTTACACTGTTAGTGGGACCGTAAACTAGTTCAACCATTGTGGAAGTCAGTGTGGCGATTCCTCAGGGATCTAGAACTAGAAATACCATTTGACCCAGCCATCCCATTACTGGGTATATACCCAAAGGACTATAAATCCTGCTGCTATAAAGATACATGCACATGTATGTTTATTGCAGCATTATTCACAATAGCAAAGACTTGGAACCAACCCAAATGTCCAACAATGATAGACTGGATTAAGAAAATGTGGCACATATACACCATGGAATACTGTGCAGCCGTAAAAAATGATGAGTTCATGTCCTTTGTAGGGACATGGATGAAATTGGAAATCATCATTCTCAGTAAACTATCGCAAGAACAAAAAACCAAACACCGCATATTCTCACTCATAGGTGGGAATTGAACAATGAAAACACATGGACACAGGAAGGGGAACATCACACTCTGGGGACTGTTGTGGGGTAGGGGGAGTGGGGAGGGATAGCATTGGGAGATATACCTAATGCTAGATGATGAGTTAGTGGGTGCAGCACACCAGCATGGCACATGTATACATATGTAACTAACCTGCACATGGTGCACATGTACCCTAAAACTTAAAGTATAATAATAATAAATAAATAAATAAAACAAACAAAAAAAAAACCAAGGCAAAAATCACATCACTACAAAAAAATACAAAAGTTAGCTGGGCATGGTGGGTGTCACCTGTGGTCTCAGCTAATCACAAAGCTGAGGTGGGAGGATCGCCTGAGCCCAGGAAGCAGAGGTTGCAGTGAGCGGTGATTGCACCACTGCACTCCAGCCTGGGTAACAGAGCAAGGCCCTAGAAAAAAAAAAAAGAGAGAGAGAGAGAGAAAGAAAAGAAAGGGAGAAAGAGAGACAGAAAGAAAAGAAAGGATGTAGGGTTTGAAATCAACAGACCTGAGCTTCTGTTTTGTCTGTACAATTTATGCAGAGGGTGGAGGGTAGCCTGACTTCTGTCACAGGACCAGCTCTCTAATTTTGTACAAGTCACTCTATAGGTCTCCGTCCCCTCATCTATTAAACAGAGATGATGATGGTGATAATGATAACAATTAACTGGGAGGATTGCAGGAGGATAAAATGGCATAGTCTGCATGAAGTGCCCAACCCATGGCCAGTGCTTACAAATGTTATCTAAGATCAGCATGAGCTCTGAGAACCTGGCTTAGGCTACCAGTCCTCAGGCCCCACTTTGTCACGGAGATGACAGTGAGGGAGGGGGGAGACAGTTGTCCAAGAGATATCTGCCCATCTCAGAATGAGCCTGCTGTGTGGCTTTGAGCTTTGGCATGCAGAGGACAGGGTCTGCACCGTCCCTGATCTGGTCACACCCCCTACTCAGTCTTCCGCCGCCATCAAGCTCTGAGTGAGCCTGGCCATGCATCTGTCACACCTAGAGGGCAGCCTGGGCCAGAGACACAAACAGCCTGTAGCCAGCTGAGTGCTGAGGGAGAGGGGGAAAAAAACACCAAAAAGGTGAGACAGTGGGCCTAAGCACAGGGGATGGGGGCATGGTGAAGCCATTTCCTGCCACCCACATGGAGCCCCTTCTGTGTGGCAGACACTCATCCAGGATCTTAGGATAGAGCAGTGGAATAACAAAGATCCCTGCCCTCATGGGGCTTATGATCCAGCAGGAAGAGACAGACAATGAGTCATAATAAACAAGTAAATTAGATACTGTGTTTGTGTATCAATGCCACGTCAGAAATGCTAAGGGGCATAGGTACAAATACACGGTTTGAGAGAAGAAATAAGACCTAGTGTTAGATATAGATCAATAGGGTCACTGGAGTTTACAGTAATCCATTGTATATTTCAGAATAGCTAGAAGAGAAACATTCAACTGTTTCTGACATAAAGAAAAGACAAATATTCAAGGTGATGAATATCCTCAATTCACTGATCTGATCTTTACAAATTTTATGAATGTATTAAATTATCACATGTACCCCCAAAACGATGTACCTTTAGTACACATTGATTTTTAAAACAGAAGAAATACTAAGGAGAAAGCAGAGCAGAAAAAAGCAGGTGAGAAGGGCAGGGGAGGGGCGGGATGCAGCACTGAACAGGTGGTCAGGTCGTCATTGAAAGTGAGGTTTGGCCGGGCACAGTGGCTCATGCCTGTTAATCCCAACACTTTGGGAGGCCGAGGTGGGCAGATCACCTGAGGTCAGGAGTTCAAGACCAGCCTGACCAACATGGTGAAACCCCGTCTCTACTAAAAATACAAAAATTAGCTGGGTATGGTGGCAGACACCTATAATCTCAGCTACTTGGGAGGCTGAGGCAGTGGAATCGCTTGAACCCAGGAGGTGGAGGTTGCAGTGAGCCGAGATCGCACCACTGCACTCCAACCTGGGTGACAGAGCGAGACTCCATCAAAAAGAAAGAAGAAAGAAAGAAAGAAAGAGAGAGAGAGAAGAAAGAGAAGGAAAGAAGGAAGGAAAGGAAAGAAGGAAGAAAGGAAGGAAGGATAGGAAGGAAGGAAGGAAGGAGGAAGGAAAGAAAAAGAAAGAAAGAAAGAGAGAGAGAGAGGTTTGAGCAGAGCCTTGAGGGAGGCAAGGAGTGAGCAGCAGAGACCCAGGCAGAGCCTCCCAGCAGAGGGACCAGCAAGAGCAGAGGTCTGAGGCAGGAGGGTGCTTTGCATGTTCAGGGGCAGCAAAGAAGCCAGAGCAGCTGCAGCAGGAGAATCGCCGGGACCTGCAAGGCCTATTGATTGCGGATGATTGTTCCAGAGCAGAGCAATGTCCCTTTGGCCTCTTGAGAGCTGTGTGTTCTCTGGTGAATAAAAACAATAACAAAGGCTAGGGAGTGCTTCTCAACGTGTTCAAAGAAGAGTGTCTCTGCACAAGGTAGAGAAATGGATTCCATCTCGGAAGGCAATGAGTTGGCCCAGATACTACTCATCAGTCCAAAGAGACCAGCAGAGGTTTAAGTTGCCATACCCTGGTACATTTCTATGAAACAGGAGTGTGAGTCAGTCCTCTGAAGCTTTAAACCAAGCTTACACTTTTCCCTCTTGCGGATACAGTGTTAAACAGACATCTTTTCCCAAAAATAGAACTGCTTGGTGACATGGAAAACTATGTGGCAGGGAACCCTCCACCTCGGTGAACTCCACTAGTGGGCCCCTGGGAACTCCTGGGCCACTACGCCCTTGGCACTTGCAGCCTTCTTGGCACTTTCACCACCTCTCCTTGCTCAGGCTTTGATCTCCTAGTTAGACTGGCACCCGTCACAGATGCAGAGAAGCCCACAGAGTGCATCATCCATTTCATCCATCATTTCTCCTCATGTCTTCCTTCCATTGCCAGGGTGCACAGGCCTAGCCCAGCCCTTTTCACATGTCGTATGTTGTGCAAATCTGCCCTCAGAATGGTCCTCGCTGTCACACGGCTCGTCCCATAGAGAAGCAGTACAACACTGGTCTATTTTCTCAATCAATTCCGCTTTGAGGTCCATTATAATAGTTCTCGTCTTCTCCCCACCACTTACAACACTGAATGCTTTTACATTTTCCAAACAAGAGAAAGTGAATGCAATGGTCACAAAGTAGGCACAAACTCAGCAAACACATGATAGACACACCACATGGGGAACAAGGCCTAATGACAGGTGAACGTGTGATTCCCTCTGGCACGGAGCTTCCTTTACATCTATGAAAGCGTGGAAGTAGAACCTTCACAAGCAGAGGGGCTTTTGTCAGCTTTTTAAAAATGCAGCTGGCCCCTGACTTCTCCATCCCAGTTCTTCCTAGCCTCTGCCCAGGTTCCATATTTAAGCAAGCCTGGAGAGCTGGGGAACTGGAGGGCCAAGCTGAGCTGACCCAGCACCATGCGTGCTGCCGTGTCATCCATTTCATCTGGTTCTCAGCTGTTCTTTGGGATTTATTTCCCCTCTCTCTTTCCTTTATCCCGTCTTTGCTGAATATCCCAACTTTCTTCCTATATGCAAGAAATAAACACATTAAATAAAAGACAACCTGCCCCAGAGTCAGCTACAAGCACCCTCCACTCCAGGACCAGCTATTGGGTGGGTGAGACACCACTAGGAAATGGCCTTGGTGCTGCAGTGACTGCTCTTGGCGTTCACTTCATTTCAGCAAGCAGTTGGCTAGGATGGGAGGCTGGAACGGGGGCACGTCAATGAGTGATTGTAATAATAACCTTGAATTTTCTGCATCAGATCCTTCCAGACAGTGTCAGCAAGCCTTCCAACATCCTTATAAAATAGATATGATTGCCTCCACTTTAGAAAGAAGGAACTGATAGCAGGGTGTGGTGTAGCACACCTGTAATCCCAGCTACTCAGGAGGCTGAGGCAGGAGAACCACTTGAACCCGGGAGATGGAGGTTGCAGTGAGCCAAGATGGCACCACTGCATTCCAGCCTGGGCAACAGAGTCTGTCTCAAAACAGAAAAAGAAAAACAAGGAAAGAAAGAAGGAACTGAGGAGAAAAGTTAAGCACCTTCATTCGTTCATTCATTTGTTCATTCATTCATTCACAAGGTGCCTACTCTGTGAGCTACTGGCCAAGAACTAGTGTTCAAGCCCAAGTCTGTTAGATCCCACCAGTTTCTGGTGACTCATGCTTCTTTAACCTTGGGCCTCAGAAAACTTGCCCTGCAGCCAAGGAGACCCACATGTCGTTTCGGTGCCACTCACAAAGTGGGGTTAAACACATCTGATGCGAGTCACATGTCACATGCTGTGGGAGCTGGAAGCAAGAAATGATTCCAAGGGGATCTGGAAAGGCACACAGAAGACGTGGCACTTGCATGGGGCTGGCACACACACCCTGGCGAGGAGCCCTGGAGTCCAGTCCCTAGAGAGAGGGGGTGTTGTTGTGTGTATGGGAGCAGCCCATCCTAGGAGGCAGGCATATGAGAGGCTTGGGGGGCTCCCTTGGGACCCACAGTGCGTCAGTAACTGGAGCTTGAGCTCCTCAGACTCCACATGGCAGGACAGAATCTTAGAGGGCCACTTCCATGCCCCTAGCAGCTGGCCCTCAGTGCTGGGTCAGACCCAGAGCCCCAGAAAGCCTGCCCCTCTGAACCAAGGGGCATCAGGAGTCTGTGACACCCTATTCCCTCTCAACACTGTCTCTGCAGCAGAGGCTGTGAGTCTACGCCTCCTCCCTGCCCCTGCTTCCCACTGTCCCCACTCCTCCAACATGTTCCTCCTGGACTTCTATGCTCATAGAATTGCTGTATGCAATCATTTATTCATGCCACATCTACCAGTTGACTATTGGTGCCAGGCATTGTGGAAGGTGCTGAGGAAACAGCTGGAGTCAAAGCAGACCTGACGCTGTACTCTGGGAGCATGTGCCTTAATGGGGAGATGAATACATAAGTGGCAGTTGCAATGCCGTTCATGCAGTAAGCCCAGGGCATTCTGGGGCTAGTACGAGGGGCATCCTGCCCTTCCTGAGTGACCTCCAAGGGCTTTTCAGTAGAAGTAAAGCTGAGCTAGAACGTGAAGATAAGTTGTTAACCTAGGGGCTGGGTAGAGTAGGAAACAGACCCAGACCATCACAGGCAGAGGGACCTGCACATGCAAAGGCCCAGAGGAGAGGAGAGGAGAGGAGAACAAGGGGCGCTATAGGAAGAGGTTCTGGGTGGATGGAGCAAGGCAAGGGGCAGGAGGATGCTTGGAGACATGACTGGAGCAGCCCCACAGAACTGTAGCATGTGCAGATTTCATCCCCATAGCCGCACAGAGCTGCTGCAGGATTTTAAGTGCAGGAGTGGCAGAATCACAGAGCGAGGTCTGAAGAGTCATCTGGCACAACTTCTCATTTTGGACAAAGAGGCCAAAACTCAGAGACAGGAAGCAGCTTGTGCGGTGTCACTGTGGAACTGGTTAGAACTCAGGTCTCCAGACTCATTGTCCAGTGCTCACTGCCCTGGGCTGCAGCCTCACCTCCCATTAGGGAGGGATCTGAAGATGCAAGAGGGAGAAGACACAGGTCCTCCTCCCACTGCCCTGCTGAGAAGAGGAGAGCCTGCCTTCCTCACCAGGTGCTCCAGTGCTGCCCAGAGGCACAGACATGTTCACCAATAAACTCTGTGTCCACAACAGCCTGGGGAGGGGTCTGCCCCTGCAGCCTGAGCTCTCCTGCTCACCTGCCAATAATGGCTGTGCCCAGGGGCCCCAGCACCCGCCCTCCATCTCTATCCCTGAAACCCATCTGGCAGCCCTGGAGCCCCGCCCTCAGGAGAGCTCTTGGTCCAGGCCCCACCAGGGTGGGGAGTTAAGCTTGGTTAGACATTTCCTGTTACTGCCTCATTAATTATGCAATACAATGATGATTAATTTTACAGTAAGAAGTAAAGCTGTTGGAGGGAATGGGCAGTGGGGGAGAAGGGGTGTGGGGGGCACAGGATGAAAACCATTGCCCCTAAAACAGGGATGGGCAGGCAGGATGTTATGCCAATTTTTCTCTGACACTCTGAGTCTCAGGGGCATCTCCCAGGGACTCAGGAAACTTGCACAGGAGCTAGATTTCTGCCACCCTGGCAAGAGGCAGGTACAGAAGCAAAGCCATGAGGTTTGCCTGCCCCAGGTCCTAACAAGGTCCCAGAGAGAGCCTTGGCTAGGAGTCAAAAGGCTGGGTTCTGAGTCTGGCTTTCCCGTGAGTTAACTGTCTGTCCTCAGTTTCTTACATGTAAAATAGGATTATCAACTCTCACCTGGTCTACTTGAATGGAGCAATACGCAAATCAAATGAGAAGGGTTTGAAAGCACCAGTGTAAAATACAATGAGGATATGACAGTAGAGAAGGGGACTGCAGTGGCTACAGGGCTGTTTCTGGACAGCTTGAGACATCAACTCATCCCTCTGGGCTTAGTGGCGCACCTCCTGAAGTTGCTGTGCTGATTAAATAAGATACTGTATCCAAAACCGTAGCATAGTACCTGGACAAAGTAGGCACTCAACAAATGGTGGCTGGATTTAGAGCTATTATTATTTCCATCATCACCATCACTAATAAAATGCAGACCTTTCCAGCCCTTAAATTCTTCACTGTGTCCCTGGTCAAAGTGGCCCCCCCTTTCTTTCAAGGGAGAAGCCCACTTCAATGCCCCATCACACCCTCATCCTGCCCCCACCCCTCCCAGCAGCCGGGCCTGTCTAAATTCACTTGGGGAACTCACCCAAGGAGCTCTGGGCAGGGGGCTGGAGCTTCTCTGGGTTTGGGGCAGGACTTTCCCCCTTTGGCTTCTTCCTACCTAGCCCTTTGCCCCTCCCCCCAACTCTAGGCCCTTCCTTCCTGTATCCCACCCTCCCTCTCACCCCAGCCAGCCTGACATCCCGACACCTGAGTGGTGAGCCCTGCTGTGGCTTCCGTGCCCTGGGCGAGGGTCTCTCTGTAGACATTCTCCCCTCCTTCTCCAGTGGGAGCTCTCTGCCCCTTCTTCAGCCCAGGGACACCTGTGGTCTGAAGAGCGCCTCTTCATGCCACCAAGCCAAACTTGGGTCTGCCTGCCTGGCTCAGCAAAGCCAAACACTGATGCTGAGATTTGCAACGAGAGGGGGGATAAAAGGCACGTATTGCGGGGCACCAAACAAGAATCAGACAAACTCCCTGATGGCTTACAAGCAAGGGCTTATAAAGGAAGGGTACATTTCAGAAAAGCAGGAGTTACAGGCAAAAATCATAAATCCATACATAGTGCAAGGTCATACATGGGTTTGGCACAAAAAGGTGAGATATATTGAAGTGCAGGGCTTAGAGGTCACAGGTGGATTTAGAGATTTTTAAATTTGCAGTTGGTTACGAAAGTGAGGCTTTGTCTAAAAACTCGGGGTCAGTGACAAGGAATGTGAAGATTTGGCCTGAGGGCATGACTCTCCCCAGTCCCCTCAGGAAGGGACTCAGAAAGACCGGCTGGAGTTCAGTCCTCAGTGTCCCCTTACCTGAGCTGTACATGATGGCGGTCGGCATTTTCCATTGGGTTTGGGTCTGGGTTTCTGAATATTAAGATGTTATCTCTGGTGTCTTTCTTTTCTTTCTTTCTTTGTGTCTGTTTTTCTGTCTTTCTTTTTCTTTTTTTCCCCATATATGGAAGGAGACCACCACGTCTGTTGTCCTTCCCAACTTCTCCCCAACCTCCCCTTTTCCCTAGTTTATAAGACAGGAGAAAAGGGAGAAAGCCAAAAGTTGGAAAGAGACAGAAGTAAGATAAATAGCTAGACGACCTTGGCACCACCACCTGGCCCTGGTGATTAAAATAATAATAATAAAATTAACCCCTGACCAAAACTACTGGTGTTATCTGTAAATTCCAGACATTGTATGAGAAAGCACTGTAAAATTTTTGTTCTGTTAGCTGATGTATGTAGCCCCCAGTCACCTTCCTCACGCTTACTTGATCTATTATGACCCTTTCACGTGGACCCCTTAGAGTTGTAAGCCCTTAAAAGGGCTAGGAATTTCTTTTTCGGGGAGCTTGGCTCTTAAGACGCGAGTCTGCCGATGCTCCCAGCCAAATAAAAACCTCTTCCTTCTTTAATCCAGTGTCTGAGGAGTTTTGTCTGTGACTCGTCCTGCTACACATAGAGACGGGGTTTTTCCATGTTGCCCAGGCTGGTGTTGAGCTCCTGGGCTCATGCAATCCACCCTCCTCAGCTTCCCAAAGTGTTGGAATTACAGGCGTGAGCCACCGTGCCCAGCCATTATCTTTGGTTTCTATAGGTAACTGAACATCTCGTGGCTCCAACTTCCTTGGGTGGCTATTGTTTTATTATCTTCTTGCTTCTCTGGTTGCTCATTTACTTCTCAGGGCTAGTAAGGTGCCTGGAATTTCCCTGGAAGGGACTCAAGATTTTCCTTTATTTCCATGTTTTGGGGGACCCTGGCAGGCCCTTAAGGGTCCCCGCTCCACCTCACTTGCTCACGTTTCGTGAAATTTCATGGATCTGTGGTGCCTGTAGGTGCTGGCAGCAGCTTCTCAGTTTGCCCACAGCTACATGCCCACTGCTTCTTTTGTTGCCTCTATGGCACCCGGCACTGCCCTGTGCCTGGGAGACACTGGCTAAACCTCATCGCCCATCCCCGTCTTTTCTGCTTTTTGTCCCTCTCCTCTGATCCTGCCACCAGGGTTCCCAGTCCTGGTGGGAAATGTCCATCATTGACATTTTGGACCTGATCATTCTCTGTTGTGGTTGCTATCCCGGGCTTGTAGGATATTTAGCAGTGTCCCTGGCCTTTACCCACTAGATGCTAGAAGCAACTGCTCTCTCCTCACACCCAGTCATGACAACCAAAAATGCCTCCACACATTGCCATATGTCTCCTAAGGGGCGAAAATCACCCCTCGTTGAGAACCATGGCCCTAGATCTACACCCTAGATAGATCTAGGCCCCTAAAGCCTCAGCCCGCTTTTTCCCCACCCCATCCCTGCTCCCTTGCTTTGTTCCTTCTCACTGCCTCCCTCCTGATCACCCCACAGCCAAGTGGCACTTTATAGCCCACACTGGACTAAGCACCTTCTGCAGCTGGAACAGCTGCTCTTTCTTCCGGCTACCCAAAGCCAGAGCTGCTCAAGATGGAGACAGAAAATGCAAATTGCACACAGTGAAATGCTTTGCTGACGCCTGGGGCCTCTCCCTTGTTTTCTGCTCAGATGAAAGGCAGGAAGAGGGGCTCGAGTGAGGCGGGCAGGGACTCCTGGGAAGCTGCGGCTCGCTTTCTACCCAGCTCCCACTGTACCCAACCCCCTCCAGGGACGGTGGTCAGGAGGGGGGCTGGGGAAACTCCATGCTCTTCAAAGGCACAGAAGAAGGTGGAGAGCAGGGTGGAGCCTTCTTTCCTGCACCTTAGGGCTTCAGAGCCCCACGTCTCTTCCAGGGAAGCAGCCCAGACTGGTATTAAGTGTTTTCAGCCTAATCCTGAGAGGTCACCTTCTTTCTCTAAGTCAGAGCCTCCCCTGCCACACTGCCTCTGCACCTTCTTCCTGCAAGTCCCCCACCTGCTTAACCTCCCACTCATGACACCTGACTCTCATAGACTAACTACGGGCATCTTAAATTCCTTCAGCATCACCATGAAGTGCTCAGAAGAATCCCTTTATGGCTATTGGAAAGATCCCTCACCCAAGATCTAGCCCAACGTGCATCCTGCCTGGTCCTGTGTGGACTGTCCCTTCCCTGCATCCATCTCCAGGAGAGGGCATTGCTCCCCTCTCACTGGTGAGATGCTAATGTGCCACCGCTTTACTAGCATCCTCCACCCCACCAGACCAATTTAATCCAACAAAAAGGGATTCATACTGCAGCTAAGAAGATGTGGGCATGTCGGCGGTGAAGCTTCTAGAATCTAGATGGATGGCTACATAAGGTCGCCAGCCCTTCCCTAGTGCCCTTGAAGTCCCACTGGACAAGCTGACTTCTCTGGGCCTTTGACCCTCACTGGGAGGCCAAGGACATGGTTACACCCATCTCTTCAGTGGTCAGCAATGATGAGGCCATACTGGGGCATAGCTGTACCATCAGACCGAGTCCCCACTTCCAGGGCCCTGGGGTCAGGTGGTATCTCACGTAGGGTAGGTCCATGGGATGCATCTTTGTCTTCACCTTTTTCCACCACCCCTCTGCCTGCTTCCTTCAGGCCCACTAGCAGGGTGAGAGAAATTAACTGGAAAAGATTTAGATTAACTGGACAAGATTTAGATTGACACCTGTGAGTCGAGAAAGGAAAGGGTCTCCAGTTTCTTTCTCTCTGTCTCTGTAAATATAACCTAGTTCATCCTTGTAACACCCTTCTCCCCTCCAGAAACCTTCTGTGGCCCTCTGTGGCCCATCAGATGAGCTAGAGCCCCTTGCCCCGGCATTCAAAGCCTGCACCATGCAGCCCACAGTCTGTACCTGCTGGACCTCCTGTAGCCCCCAACTGACCCCTCAGCTCCAGCCAGAACTGAGGATGTCCCTTCTCCCCATCTCCCTGCAGGGTCACTGAGCTCTTTCTGTGTGCCAGGCCCCATGCTGATCACTTCATAATGCTTCATCTCCTGTAATTCTCATAACGCGCCTCTGAGATTGGTGCTGGGATTAACCTCCTTTTACAAATGTGGAAACTGGGGCACAGAGGAATTGGAAACTGACATCAATAAGTGGCAGAGCCAGACCTTGGCCCCAGACAGTGCAACTGCAGAATCTGCTGCACATCCTACCCTCCTCCTCCACCTTCTCTTCCCCCTCCTCCCCCGCCCCTCCTCAAGGACCCTTGGAATAAGCTCCCCCCTGGCTTCCTGCTGCCAACCTCACTCCATTCAGAGCCCCCTCCATACTCTGCAGGAGAGGGCTTTCCATGAATCAGAGCTGATCACCATAGTTAAGCTGCCATGTCTGTAGGGCCCAGCATGACCCTCTCTCCCTCTGCTGAAAGCCCTCAGCCACCACCTATGCACAGGCTAAAAGGCAGGCTCCTCTCTGGTCACTCAAGTCTTCACACTCAGGCCCTGTGGTGTCTAATTCATCACCCGCCAAACCCCTGCTCTCCCTGCCCCGTGCATCCCTGCTTCCCAGATGCTCCCTGCCCTTTCCTGCCTTAACACCTTTGCATATGATGTGGCCTTCACTTCCAATACATCACCTCACTCCCAAACTGGGAGAGAAGACACACGTGTCCTTCAGGACCCAGCTCAACTGCAACCTCCTCTGTGACACCTTCCCTGACTCTCCCAGAGACAGCGGTCACTTCATCCTCTGGGCTCCCTGCGCACCTTGAGCTCCTCCTGTCAGGGAGTTTGTTTCTGGGTCTGTATCCACCTCCGCAGATCCTGAGCCCCTGGAGGTCAGAAGAGTTCTAGTCAACCCATCATTACTGAGCACTTGCCATCTGCCTGATACACAGGCACCAGGGGTCCAGATCTGAACAAGATCTTGACCTTCAAGGAGCTTCTGTCTAGCAGAGAGCTGGCATGAAATACCCAATCTTAAGAAAGGTGATAAATAGTATGAGAGAGGTGGCCATGGGTTGCTACGGGAGCCCAGACATGGGGTAACACACCCATCCAGGGCAATGCCCCACCTGAGTGCAAAGGCCATGGAAGAAGCTGTCTGGCCAAAAAAAGGAAGCAGCTCAGAAGGAAGAGGGGCCATGCAGGGGGCCCAGCATGAGCAGAGGCACAGAGTGTGGGGTCTACAGGAGATGCAAGGTGCCATCATGTGAGAAGATGGTAGAGAAGAGGCAGGGGACGTGGAAGCAGTCAGAGGGGATGAGTTTGGGTACTGTCTCCATTAGAACTGCATTTGGCTGTATGTAACGAAAACCCTCCACAACAGCGTGGCCAAATTAGAGACCTGTTTTTCTTGTCTAACAAGGAGTCTGGGGACTGGCAGTTCAGGGCTGACCCAGGAGATCAGGCTCCTGTTCCCTTCCTGCTCTGCCATCCTCATGATTGCAACACAGCTGCACTTCTGAGCCTCACTTTCCAGCAGGAAAAAAGGAGGCAGGACAATGTTTAAAATGTTTGTGCCAGGCCGGGCGCGGTGGCTCACACCTATAATCCCAGCACTTTGGTAGGCCAAGGCAGGTGGTTCACTTGAGGTCAGGAGTTCGAGACCAGCCTGGTCAACATGGTGAAACTCCGTCTCTACTAAAAATACAAAAATTAGCCAGGTGTGGTTGTTCCCACCTGTAGTCCCAGCTACTTGGATGAGGCAGGAGAATCCCTTGAACCCAGGAGGCGGAGGTTTCAGTGAGCCGAGATCGCACCACCGCACTCCAGCCTGGGTGACAGAGCAAGACTTCATCTCAAAAAATAAAAATAATAAATAATAAATAATAGAATAAAATGTTTTTGTCCATGGTATCTGTCTTTTACTATTTTTTGAAATTGTGGTAGAATATACATGACAACATTTCCCATCTTAACCATTTTAAGTGTCCAGTTCAGTGGCATGAAGTATATTCACATTGTGGTACAGCCATCGCCACTATTTCCAAAACTTTGTCATCAGAAACTCTGGACCCACTATGAGCAATAGCTCCCCATTCCCCCTCCCCTCAGCCCCTGGAAACCACCATTCTTCTTTCTGTCTCTATGAAATGGACTACTCTAGGGACCTCACATAAGTAGAATCATACAGTATTTGTCCCTTTGTGTCTGCCTTATTTTACTAAGGATAATGTCCTCAAAGTTCATCCATGTTGTAGCATATGTCAGAATTTCCTTCCTTTTAAAGGCTGAATAATATTCCATTGTATGTGTATGCAATGTTCTATTTATCTATTCATCTGTCAGTGGACATTTGAGTTGCTTCCACCTTTTGGCTATTGTGAATAATGCTGCTCCGAGCATGGGTGTACAAATACCTCTTCCAGTCCCGGCTTCAGTTCTTGTGGGTGTATACCCAGACACTTCTGGATACATACCCAAATTGCTGGATCACATGGTGATTCTAGGTTTCATTTTTTTTGAGGAGCCATCCACTGTTTTGCTAGCTGCTGTGCCATTTTATATTCCCACCATCAGTGCACGAGGATTTCAATTTTGCCACATCCTTGCCAACACTTGTTATTTTCTGAGTTTTGGGTTTGTTTTTTAATAATAGCTATCCTCATGGGAATGAGGTAGTATCTCAATGCGGTTTTGATTTTTCATTTCCCTAGTGTTGAGCATCTTTTCCTGTACTTATTAGCCATCTGTATCTCTTCTTTGGGGAACTGTCTATTCAAGTCGTTTGACCATGTTTAAACTGGGTTGTTTGGTTTTGTTGTTGAATTGTAAGCATTCTTTATATATTCTGGATATTAACCCCTTATCAGAGATATGATTTGCAAATATTTTCTCCCATTCCATGGGTTGCCTTTTCACTCTGATGGTTGAGTCCTCTGATGCATAGAAGTTTTACATGTTGATGATGTCCAATTTATCTATTGTTTTCTTTTGTTAGCTGTGCTTTTGGTGTCATATCCAAGAAATTGTTGCCAGATCCAGTGTAATGAAGGTTTTCCCTTATCTGTTCTTCTAAGAGTTTTATCATTTTAGGCTCTTGCACTCAGGCCTTCGATCCATTGTGAATGTCTGTCCTTTCTGTTTGAAGAAGAAATGCTTTCTCGGAAGCCCTTCCCTATCCCTCAACCCTCAAGAAACTTGATCTCATCACCCAGAACAGGCGGTGATGGACAACTTTGCCAACCCAAAAACATTTGTAAGAAAGGGAAAATAGATATTGTATAGACAGCAAGCAGTGTCTTCCCAACCACGCACTTCCCCGGGCCAGCCTGGGACAATACTGAGCACATCGCGCACTTGTAGTAAGCAGACACTCGGGTCTGTGCCTGTTGAATTCCCTGGTGAATGGTCAACTGGGAACAGGCCAGTGGAGTGACTTCATGGAGGCAGAAATGACCCTGGATTTGACACTAAAGGTGCAAGCCCTGGCCCGCCACTTCCAGCCTTGTTGCCTCCAGCAAGACACTTCACCTAGCTGAACCTGTTGTCTCGACCTCAAAACGATGATAGCAATCACTTTCCTTTACGTCAGTGTTTCACAGATTACAGGACCCTCTTGCATATATTATCCTTTTCATCCCCACAAGGACCCTGTGAAGTAGATAGGGTAGGATTTCGTTAATCTCTGTTTTCAAGGTGAGGAAATGATTGCCCAGAGAGATTAAGTGATTTACCCAAGGAGGCTCAGCTGAGTGCCAAAAAGGGCCCTCTAACTTCCCAGGCAGTGTGGTCCCCTTCCTGCTCATCTCGGGGGCAGGGGAGAGGGGGGTGGATTGTGAGTGTCAAATGAGGGCCTGGACAGGAAAGTGCTTTGCAGAAAAATGGGTGTGTTTGGTTTTTCAGTGTCTGTGTAGATTGGGGATGGTTCTATTTGCTCCATAGGAGATGCAACAAGATGAGATTAGGTCAAAGCAGGAGAGTCAAGGCACCTGCTTTCCTCCCAGGCACCTGTTGAGACAATTGTCAAGGCGGGAGGGCTGCTCCACTGACTGACATTCCCCACAGCCCAGTAGGGACGTAGCTCCCAGAGAGGGTTTTTACTCTACGGGTCAGACACCTTCCAGGTGCATGCCCACCCCGATGGACCTGCAGGCTCTGTTACCGCAGCTCCTCGCCTCTCTCCCTTCCCCGCAGCTGCCCCCACCCCATCACACTCTGTCCCCCACCTTCTCTTCCCCCTCCATACTCCCTCCTTTCAAAAGTATAATGAGTCTGATAAGACATTGTCTCCTTAACAGGATTAGCCACGGAGATCTCTTGTCCCCTCCCACTCATTCTGTAATACTCCTCATCTCGTGTCCTGTAATTTTCTGCTGGTATCAGAAGCTCTGGACCACCTCGGTGATATTAATTTCTCCTCGCTCTTTAATGGTGTGACTGCTGATATGCTGAGATGCCCCCCACAGCCGCCAGGCCACCAAGGCCCTGTGGGTAAATTACACGAAGCCCTCAGAGGCTCTCTCCCTCCAAAGTCAGCTGCTGTCCCCTCCAGACCCCCTTTCCCCAACTGCCCCATCTCCCAGTTCTGGGGGCAGCAACTACCTCTATCTTATAGGCCAAGGAGGCAGGTCTAAACATGGCACTCAGGTGGCAGAAGGATGACAAATGCATGCCCCCAATCCAGTTCTTCCCTTCCCTTTCTACCCTGCACCCAACACGCGTCCCTCAGAAGACTCTAAGCAGGGTGCAGGCAGGGAGAGTCAGGCACGGTGGGGGAGAGGGCTGAGCTCTGGACCTGAGTTCTCCTCCTAGGTCTGTGACATAGACAACCTAATGACTTATACAACCTTTCTGAGCCTCAGTTTTCTCATCTGTACATTGGGGATGACCATATACATCTGGCAGGATTGTGGGAAAAGCCCAGAGTTCAGGACCTGACACACAGCAGGTGCCTGGCTGGAGTTTAGTGGGATTGGAGAATGCAGCTTTTGGAATTTTACCCAGAAATGCTTTCTCAACCCTGAGGTATATCCCCAAACTTTTTGTTTGCACCAATTCTCTCTGACCTTTGTCCTTCCAGATATCTTTTTCTTTACACGTTTTTAGGGACTAATGCAGAGGAAACTTTATGGCCCTTCAACCCAAAATGTTAATTAGAGGATAACGCAACGTGTAGGGTGAATCCTGAGAAGAGGGGGCAGGAAAAGAAGAGAATTGCCTGACCCCTGCCCCCAGCCCATGGCTGAGGACAGAGAAAAGGGGCATCCTGAGAAAGGCCATGTCCCGCATAATCTGGGGCCAAGGGCAAGAAGAAACCCTGACTTGGGGTCAGCTGGGCATTTTCAGGAAGAGAGAGAGATACAGGCAGGCCAGTGCCCGGAGGAGTTAACAGAGGTAGAGAGGAAATTGCCAGAGTCAGAAGAGGTGAGGCTGGAGCTAAATCTAAGTTAATTTGGAAACAGTTTTGTGATCGATTGTGCAGAGAGTGTCAGCGAGTGAGAGGTGGGAAATTGCACCTGTCTGGTGAATGAGCTCAGAATTCCAAGTGTGCTGGGGAGGCTGGTGCCACGCTGGCCAATGCCAAGGTGGGGAGGCAGTGCGTGTCCAGGGAGCTGGCGGGGCCCGTCTCCTTGCTCAGAAGATAAATGCACAAAAAGCATAGCAGAAATCATCTATTATACCTTTACTGTATGCCCAGCCCAGTGTGAAACCGTTACCTAAATTTCTCAGATAATGTTTGTAACACCCTGAAAGCTGGCCATGGGCAGCAGCTAATGTCAATAAACAGACACTGGGCTTTCAGGCCAGACACTGGGCTTTCAGGCCAGACACTGGGGCCAGGGAGGTGGGATTTGAGGCCTCTGTCCTGAAGGAATGTGGAGTCACACAATCTAGGTTCGAATCCCAAATGTGTTGTTCTCTAACTCTGTGACTTTAGGCAAGCTTCTGAATCTCTATGAGCCCAGTTCCCTTGTCTATAAAATGAGGATCATATTGCCCTCCTCTCAGGATGAAATTGAGGCAATGCATGTAAAGTATCTAGCACTAAGCCTAGAACATAGTGGAAATTATCAATTAAGAGGTACGTCCTCTTAATTGGCAAGCTATCAGTGAATTTTACAAATTAATAGTAAAAGGCCAGTATATGATGAAAGCTGGATAAGGGGTATAGATACTGTGAGCTAGGGGTAGCAAGAAATGACTAACTAAGGGCTGTCAGGAGACAAGGGAGAAGAGGTGCTGAGATGACCCAGTGTGGAAAGGTTGGTGCATGGACCAGTAGAGTTGGGGCAGAGCACTCATATACTCATATGTTCACATGTTCACAACACAAATGTTGATGGGACTTGGAACATTTCTACCTTTACTGATAAGCTCCCTGGCTGGCATGGCTGATGTACATACAGTCACGCCGATTAGCCTGTAAGCTTAAAAAGCAGAGGTTCAAAATAGCTGAATTGCCTCTGCTATTTGAGCAGCAGCAGAGGATTTTTAACAGTTCTAAGAAGAGGAAAATGGGAGTCAAGCATGATCTAGAATCACTGGCCCAGCAGTCACTCCAAGCTCCGGAGTGTACCGATGTAGACGTTGGATGGGAAGCTGTAAGTCATAATCATGAGAGCAATCGTTTATCACGCAATCACTGTGCAGGCGCTGGGCCTGGCACTTTAATTCACGTGACCACTACAACTCTGTGTGATTGGTACTGTTATTAGCACAATTTTATAGATGAGAAAACTGAGTTAGAGAGGCTAAGTAACCTGTGCAAGGTCACACTGATAGAACGGAAGTCTATCTGACTTCAGAGCCACGTACTTGCCACTGAGGCAGAGTAGCCAAGATTCATGCGCTCATTCAATCATCCATTCATTCATTTAAGGAATATTTTTTGAGCACCATCTCGAAGGTGTTGTAACTGAAACTGAGCCCAGAGCAGTGACCAACATGCGCCGGGCCTTTACCAAGTGCCAGGCTAGGGCTGTGCTAAGGACTGGGAGGCAGGGGAATGAGCCCACCTGCTGCTCCTGGCCTTTGGAGGCTGCAGCCACTCATTGTGGGGCTTCTGTGTGCAGGAGGAGGCCATTGGAGGCCTCTGAGGCAGGTAGACCCCCGGAGTGGGAAGGTGGTGATGGGGAAACACATGTAGGAAGGACAGAGGGATGGTCTCCACTGCCACCCAGTGCCCTTGGAGCCACACAGGGACACAGGGGCAGACACCAGATGGCTGCAAGAGGTCACAGTGCCATGTCCCTTTTAGCCACATCCCCTTATGAGAACCAGTAAGACCCGTTTTCTCCTTGTCTGTGTATAAGCACCCCATTATTACCAAGGCATGAAAAAGCAGAGACAGAAATGAGCCCATGTGAGGCACAGTTCCACGGCAGCCCAGCGACTCCTCCCGGTAACTCTCTAGAGGGTGTGATCAAAACCACCTTGTAGATTTCAAGACTGCGGGGTTTCTTCTCTGGGACTTGCATCCAGGTCACACAGCTGTAAAGCTGGCCCAATCTTCCAGCTCTACATCCAATGCTCCATCTCCAATGTGATCCAACCAGAACTAACGGTGCACTCGGGAATTCCCAGCCTTGGCCCAGCTGTTATGGGGAGGTTCAGAGGAGTGATACTGATATATCACTCTTTAAGAAGCCTGCATCCCACCTAGGAATACAAAGATGACCCCGTCCAAATGTGGAACTTGAGGCCCTCCTGGGTCCCAGGCTGTGGCCCAACGGTGGGAGCCGTGAACTGTCTGGAAAGGGAGAGAAGGTTCTGGTTAGCTGGACTTTAAGAGAGGGTCTAAGAGGGGCCTTGCTGGGGTGCAGGGAAGGGTGTACCCCTATGGGAAGGAGCTGGCAGGACTCCCCATGGCCAAGTAGTGTACTTGGAAATACCTACCAAAAGTCTGGCTCTGGATTTGGACAGCCCCAGCTTTGAGATTTGGGGCAAGTTGCTGTGACCTCTCTGATCCTCAGCTTCCTTGACTGTTAGAGGGGAAGAAGAAAACCCTTAGCCCAAGAAGGCTGTTGCAAGAATTAAAGCAGATGGTGGGAAGAGGGCTGGCTTAGAGCCTGGAATCCATTCCACGGTATTGAGCCTTTGCCACTGAGACAAGGCTGGGGCGACAGCGGCCGCTGGGATCCACACCTGCCCTCAAGGGCTTACTCTCTAGGGACAGTACCAGGCCTTGCATGTCTCAGTCCACACCTTGTCCCAGTAGAGACGAGTATGCAGTGAAGCGGCACATAAGGCAGAAAGACCCGTGGTGGGGGTCTTCTCCAGGAAGGGGATGTGAGCTGACTCTAAGGGGTGGGTCAGGATGAACCCTGGGAAGGGGTGGGAGAGTGTCATGAGCAGCAGCAAGGCTTGGGAGCGGAGGACCAGCGTGGCTGGAGGTCAGGGGCATGACTGTGGGCTTGGGCTGCCCTGCTAAGGATTTTGGTCTTCATCCTGAGAAAAATAGGAAGCCACGAGATGTTTTCAGCATGATCAGATGTCTATTTCAAGTGAGTCTGTCTGGCTATAGTGAGAATGAATTAGATAAGACCACAAGTCTTACAGACACACAGTAGCTGCTTGCTAAACGGCAGCAGAGCGGCCTTTATAGCACGCGGGGTGTTGGGGGAGGGAAGGTTGAGCAGGGAGCAGGGCTCCATGAGGGCCAGGCCCTGGGGTCAGAAAGCATATCCCTGCTATTCCTACCACCTCCTAGCTGCAGAGCCACCCAGGGTAAAAGAACAATCCCAACTGCTCAGTGGCTAATGGCGGTGTAGGGTGTAGGGCGGTCCTTCAGGGCAGGAGCAGAAGGGTGGGGCCGCGCCTTAGAAGCGAGCCAAGGGCGGGCAGCTGCCATCCTCCTCCCCAAGGCCCAGGCACACAAGGGTCCCCTTCCCTGCCGCCGTGCAGCTACTGGGGTTCTGTTGCAAGGAGGTAGCTTTCCCGAATTGTAATAACAGTGATTTCTATTATACCGTGAGCATCTGACACATGGAGTGAGAGCTACAAAGCACCCCCAGCGGGAAACATAAAAGTGGGGGTGGGGGCTCTGGGGAGGGTTGGAGGCTGTCGCCCCCGGCTGGGCTCTGCCATGTGCAGCGGACGAGGGCCGGGAATAAAGAGGCTTATTTCAGCACCCTGTTATTATGGCATCTTGTTTTCATAGTTTGTTCAACAAACCTCTCTCCCTCTCCCTCTCCCCACTCCTCGCCTCTCTTTTTTTCATCTTCCTCTCTCAGCAAATCCATTTAAATGCAATTCTATTCTTAAAGCGCCCCTCTCATGCATGTCTAATGAATGTCAGGGAAATGCTATTACAATGGGGCTGAGGAGGGCCCAATCTGCAGTGTGTGTACAAGTCATTTGAAAGGAAGCCTGGGAGCGCTCCAGTTTTATTACAGCATAATTAGAAATAAAATCTTGTTGCAATATGAGGATGAGAGATGTGTGCTAATCCTGGGGTAGAGAAAGATAGAGCTGTATTTAGAGGAAAGGATTCGGGGAGAGAGAGAACTAGCCACCGTGCCTCTGCACCCCCTCCCCCAGATTTGTCTGCTGCTCCCCACCCTCTGCACCCCTAAGACCTCTAGGAGCTGCTCCGGAGACAGTGAGGGACCCTTCTAGATCTCAGTTGCCCCAAGTGGTCACTCTGTCAGGGCTCCCGGGAAGCTGAGTAGGGTCCTTTCTGGTAACTCCACACCCCTCCCACCTACTTAAAAGACCAGTCTGTGGGCAGTTAGGAGTTGGTGGGAATGGCTGGCAGAGCCCTGGACTTGGAGACTGAGATCCAGGTCAAGTTCTGAGTCCCCCACTTAGAAGAGCTATGCATTCATTTATTCATTCAGTTGTTCAACACTTGCTGATCACCTGTTATGTACCAGGCACTGCGCTGGGTGCACTCGTTAACTGGTAATTGTCACAGGAAACAGGTTCAGAGAGATTCAGTGGCTCACGTGGCGTCATCCAGCTAGACAGGAGAACCCAAGTCCAATCCAAGCCTTCTGACTGCAGAGCTGGGTTCTCTCTGCTCTACCATGCTGTTAACTTCCTGTGTCCTCCTGAGTGCTTCTGACACCTGTCTCTCCAGTAATGCCATCTCCTATAGAGCCCAAAGGCAGAGATAAAGATGGTGGGACCTGACTGTTCCCCTTTACAGTGCAGAAAGGGGGACTTGGGGGTGGTGACACCACTTCAGCACTGACGGGCAGGCCAAAGCTTCTGGCTCTGCGTGCCTCGCACAAGTTCGCATAGCCGAGGTCCCGCCTCCCATCCATCCATTCTTCTCCTGACCCAGGCGTGTCCACCCTGCCTGACCCCAGTTGCACAAGCAAACAGCAATGGGCCAGGAGACAGGAGGCTGCTCTTGACATCTGCGCTCTGACCACACAGATGAGTTGTGTGACGCTGTGCTTCGGTTTCCTCCACGGGGGATGAGATCTGAGTCTTTGATTGAGGGTGCAGATGAGGCCCAGCCTGTGTTAACGACCCATTCCCAGGGCTAGTTCCCTGCCCACCTCATCCCTGGATGATGCCTTCAGCTTCCTCCCTGCCTCCCCTCAGCTCCTGGCCCCTGATGCCCACCGGATGGTCTTAGACTCAGTCTTTCTTCCCCATCACATTCTCTGAACCCAGCCTGTACAGTACAGCCTGAAGCCTGGTGACCTTCAGAATTGGCTCCCCTCTGCCTTTCTCCCCTCCCCATCTTCATGTCTTTGCAGAGCAGGACCCGGTTCTAGAATGTCTGTTAGTGCTGGAAGAGTCCTAGGGAAGAGCATGTCCAGATGAGGAGTGTATTCATTTTCTCTGGCTGCCATAACACAATACCACAGACTGGGTGGCCTAAACAAATTTCTTTCTTACAGTTCTGGAGGCTGGAAGTCTAAGGTCAAGGTCATGGCAGGTGTGGTTTCTGGTGAGGCCTCTCTCCCTGGCTTGCAGATGGCCACCTTCTCGCTGTGTCCTCACATGGCCTTTTCTCTGTGTGTGCACATCCTTGTGTTTTGTGTGTGTGTGTGTGTGTGTGTGTGTTTTTTTTTACGGAATCTTGCTCTGTCGCCCAGGCTAGAGTGTGGTGGCACGATCTCAGCTCACCACAACCTCCACCTCCTGGGTTCAAGCAATTCTCCTGCCTCGGCCTCCCGAGTATCTGGGATTACAGGCGCCCGCCACCACGCCCAGCTAGTTTTTGTATTTTTAGTAGAGACCGGGTTTTTTCATCTTGGCCAGGCTGGTCTCAAACTCCCGACATCGTGATCCACCCATCTCAGCCTCCCAAAGTGCTGGGATTACAGGCATGAGCCACCACACCCAGCCTCTTCCTCTTGTTATAAGGGCATCATCAGTCAGGACCCCACCCTCATGACTTCATTTAACCTTAACCACCTCTTTAAAGGCTCTATCTCCAGATACAGTTGCATTGGGAGTTAAGGCTTCAACATAACATGTTGGGGGAAACAATTCAGTCCAAAACAAGGAGGATCTAAAACCTAGAGCCAGCCTGGCCTGAGCTGGGACTTGAATCCCTGTTCCCGACTCACATCTCATGTGCTTTTCACTCTGCTACAAATCTCCCTCTGGGGTACTGAGTTGAGGGTTTACAATCCTAGGAGTTCAGAGTCCAAGGAAAGGAGAGGAAGAAGGATGGGCCTGGCTTCCCTTGGTTTTTTCAAACCCAGGCTGGCAGGGACTCCCAGGTTATTCACCATCAGCAGGTGGAACCAAAAGGAAAGAAAGGAAGGTGCCCTGCAGAGTCCGCCTTGACTTGCTCCCCGCAGGCTGCCCTGGTGCCAGGGCCCCCAGGCAGGAGCTAATTCCCGCCAGCCAGGAAGTATCCATCACCCTCAACTGCCCTGCCCCACAGCACAAATAGCTTGGGAGGAAAGGACAGCCCTGATTGTGGGGCAAGTTATCTCATTAGTCCTATGAACTATCTGCAGGCTCCACACTGCAGGCTGACGACACTGTTTTTATAAATCTGTATTGCATGGAGCAGCAACTGGTAACCTGTATTGATTGCAATTTCTCTTTTTGAATTGGGAGGTCCCTGGGGGCCAGTTGAGGTACTTCGAGGCCCTGGCATCCTGAAGCTACCCCAGGAAACAGACTTGAGCTGTGACAGACTAAGTAGCTCTTCTCTTCCAAGAGAGACAACGATTTTTTTCTGACCCTGTGGCCAAAGCCTGGTCTCAATGCAAAGCCTCACCCTATTCGCTTCCTCCTCCCTCTGACTCCATATCCCCCATTGCCTACTGGGACCTTCCTTGCAGAGGAAATGGGGGAGGCAAAGCAGGAAACCCCTTCCTCAGCTTCTGGTTTTCCTGCTTCAGGAAGGCATCTGACTCCAATAGTGGAAAAGCAGCTCCCAACCCCATGTGAATACCTATGCACTACATACGCATCATAGACCTGCCTCCCATTTAGTATTAAGATCTTTAAAAAAAACAAAACAAACAAAAAAAAAACTGCCCTATAAGCATGCAGTGCATATACATCACAACAGCCTTTCATAAGTATTGTTGCATGGACACCACAGAAGAACTCCACGAACAGAGAAAATCGGGGTTTAGAATCCCTAATTTGGGGGTGAGCAAACGCCCAGAAAGGTTAACAGGTGTTCCTAAAGCCACACAGCTGGTAGGTGGCAGGTCTCAAACCTCCAAATACAGAGCTCTGTATAGTACCCATTGGGACCTATGCCTCCCTAAGCTGCCAGCCCCTTTCTTGTCCCCTACAATGCCCCATCAGCCTGTGCAAGTGTACCCAACAGGTACATGCACCAGCACAGGGTCACACACCAGCGCAGGTACACATGCCAGTGCAGGTACACACACCAGCACAGGGTCACACACCAGCACAGGTACACAACATGCCAGCACAGATACACAACATGCCAGTGCAGGTACACACACCAGTGCAGGTACACACACGAGCACAGGTTCACAAGCCAGTGCAGGTACACAACATGCCAGCGCATGCACCATGCTCCCTTGCAGGCACATTCAGCCACCTGCCCAAGATCACACTTCCCACTAACACATGGCAACTGATCATGGCAGGATTTTTTTTCTCCCTAAGCCTCAGCTTCTGAGTCCCCCTAACCTCTTACTTCACTCTGCACTAGCCTGTGAGATCATTCATCCACTCTTTCATTCAGTAACTGTAATGTCTTCCAAAACTGGTCTCATCTCACCATTTGCCCACCCACCTACTGTGGCCCTGGCTAGTGAGAGGGAAGCCTCCATCGGAAGAATGAAGAGGCCAGGGGACCAACCTCTGCCCAGAAAGGAGAGAGAAGTCCACCTCACGGGGAAGGGGTTAGCCAAAGCACCCCCAGCATGCAGCACACACTTTCCTGGCAGCAGGGTTGGAGGAAACAGCTCTGAATTTGTGTTCAGGAGCCCCAGGTGTGAGTCCAGGCTCTTCCACTCACTAGATGTGTGGCTTGAACAAGTCTCTTAGCCCAAGCCATAATTTCCTCATCTGTAAAGGAAGAGAAGGATGGTCTTCCTAGGTGTGTACCAATGGTCAAGAGAGGGAAGATGTGCCTGGCACAGTGCCTAGTATTTGATAGGCATTTCAGCACATGGGTGCCCACTGATTCATGCACCTCGGGGTGCTTTTCTCGCAGTTTTTATAACAATTTAAGATATTTCACCTGGATCTCTCTCCAAATCCAAAGTACAGTGCTTGGAGAGAGGTACCTAAAAGAGTTGGGGAGGGGAAGTTTATAGCTGCTGGTGCCTGGACACAGGGCTTCTTCCACAAGGGCCCGAGCTGTGGAAACCTTTCATGTGTAAGAGATTGAGCTCCCCTTAAGACAGGCAGAGATGGAACCACCCAAGGCAGCTTGAGTCCAGGGCTTCTCTTTCCTCAGAGCACAGCACTACATCGCCTGCACTGTTTTTTTTTTGTTGTTGTTGTTGTTGTTGTTTTTGTGTTTTGTTTTGTTTTGTTTTGTTTTGTTTTTTTGATAGGGAGTCTCACTCTGTCTCCCAGCTGAAATGCAGTCATGCGATCTCGGCTCACTGCTGGATTCAAGCGATTCTCCTGTCTCAGCCTTCTGAGTAGCTGAAATTACAGGAGCCTGACACCATACCCAGCTAATTTTTGTATTTTAGTAGAGACGGGGTTTCACCATGTTGCCCAGGCTGGTCTCAAACTCCAGACCTCAAGTGATCCACCCTACTTGGCCTCCCAAAGTGCTGGGATTACAGGCATGAGCCACAGTGCCCGGCCTCATTGCATCTTCTATTTCACATACCTCTGATCTGAATGTTGGGTCCTGGACTTGAATGTGGTTCCATCCTGAAACCAGCAGCCCTGTGTTGCTAGTAGTCCCTCTTCGGGCTGGGGGTAGCATTTCCAATCTAATCACCTAACGAAGAAGAGGTACATCTTTAGTCGGAGAGGGACACAGAAGCCGGGATGCTACTGAGGGAGTGTCTGTTCCCACCTTCCCCCTGGGCCCTGCCATGGGAAGTGTGAGGTCCCACTGCCCACATGGGCTCAGCTGGGAGGCCTTGCAGGGGCCTCACTAAGATAAGACCACCATGGCTTACAGTCCAGACAACCTGGGCTGTGTTCTTGTCTGTACTTTTTCTCTTCTGTTAGCTCCAAACCATCCATCTTGCTTTATGTCCCAAGCTGGGGAAACAAGGAAAGGATCAAAGTGGCCCAAAGAGGAAATAGTGGCCCAAACCATTGCAATGTGGCAGCAGTGGCTAGAGGGGGAGAGACAACCAGGGCACAGGGCACATTGGGAACAGGAGTCCAGGTTGGAAGTTCAGCTGCCTCACCCCATGTGGAGATGCCTCCTCCACTGCCAGGATTCATTGATTCAACACATCAGATGTTCACTGAGCATCTGCTGTGTGCAAGATGTCTTCTGGAGCTGGCATACAGGGTGAACCAAAATAACTTCTTGCTCTCAAACAGAAGCAGCGTGTGCTCCAAGGACAAATAAAGCAGAGTAAAGAGTTGGGCAGGGACGAGGGACACAGTCTAATTTTTAGAGAGTGGTCAGACAAGACTTCTCCAAGGAGCTGTCTACTAAGCAGAGACCTGAATGAGGCCAGAAGTAAGTCAAGGAAAAAGCATTTCAGGCCAAAAGGAATTTGTGACAGCAAAGGCCTTGGGGTGGAAGTGTGCAAATGCACGTGCAGACACACGCATTTTAAAATCCCCGTAGTAGATGATCCTCAAGGGTTATTGCAGCTCCAACATTCCTTAAGCCGTGAACTTCTAAATCGCTGGGGGAGAAAGGTTCTTAAGGATGGTCTGGTTTATTTCTTCTATTCAAGACTGAAATCCCCTACGCAATATCTCAGCCAAGGGTTTCTTCAGCATCAACTTAAATACCCCCCAGTGACAGGAGACTCACTACCTGACAAAGACACTCATTCCAACTTTTTTTATTATTATTACTGTACTTTAAGTTCCAGGGTACATGTGCACAACATGCAGGTTTGTTACAGAGGCATACATGTGCCATGTTGGTTTGCTGCACCCATCAACTCGTCATTTACATGAGGTATTTCTCCTAATGCTATCCCTCCCCCCAGCCCCTCATCCCCCGACAGGCCCTAGTGTGTGATGTTCCCCGCCCTGTGTCCAAGTGATTTCATTGTTCAAATCCCACCTATCACTCATTCCAACTTTTTATAGCCTTGACTTAAATTTTTTTTCAACTTTAATTGTGGTAAAATATACATAACATAAAATTTACCATCTTAATCATTTTTAAGGGTTAAGTTCAGTCATGTTTAAGTTCAGTTGCCTTTTGTAAAACTGAAACTCCATTCCCTTTAAACCAGCAGTCCCCCACTGGTTTCATGGAAGACGATATTTCCACGGGACAGGGGTAGGGGGATACGGGTGAAACTGTTTCATTTCAGATCATGAGGCATTAGATTCTCATAAGGAGCGTGCAACCTAGATCCCTCGCAGGCACAGTTCACAATAGGGTTCGCACTCCTGTGAGAATCTAATGCTGCTGCTGATCTGACAGGAGGAAATGCTCGCTCGCCTGCCACTCACCTCCAGCTCTGAGGCCCAGTTACTAACAGGCCACGAACAGGTACTGGTCCACGGCCCCAAGGTTGGGAACCCCTGCATTAAACAACTCCCCCTTTTCCCTCCCTCTAGCCCCTAGCAACCACCATTCTACTTTCTGTCTCTATGAGCTTGACAACTCCAATACTTCCTATAAGTAAAGTAGAATCATGCCATATTTGCCTTTTTGCAGTTGGCTTATTTCACTTAGGATAATGTCCTCAAGACGCATCCATGTTGAAGCACGTGCCCAAATTTCCATCTTTTTCAAGACTGAATAATATTCCATTGTATGTATATATCACATGTCGTTTATCCATTTGTCTGTTGATGGACAGTTTGGTTTCTTCCACCTTTTTGGCTATTGTGAATAACGCTGCTATGAACTTGGGTGTGCAAATATCTCTCTCCCTGCTTTCAGTTCTTTTGGATATATACCCATAAGTAGAATCACTGGATCGTATAGTAATTCTATTTTTTATTTTGGGGGGAACCATCACACTACTTAATCTTGACTTTTGAATGCTCACTTTTGTGTGCATCTGGCAAACCTCTTGCCACTGCTAATTAGACCTTTATTCCTTTTTTTTTTTTTTTTTTTTTTTTGACAGAGTTTTACTCTTGTTGCCCAGGCTGGAGTGCAATGGCGTGATCTCAGCTCTCTGCAACATCCACCTCCCGGGTTCAAGCGATTCTCCTGCCTCAGCTTCCTGAGTAGCTGGGATTACAGGCACCCACCACCAGGCCCGGCTAGTTTTTGTATTTTTAGCAGAGATGGGGTTTCACCACATTGGCCAGGCTGGTCTCGAACTCCTGACCTCAGGTGATCCACCCTCCTTGGCCTCCCAAAGTACTGGGATTATAGGTGTGAGCCACTGCGCCCAGCCTAGACCATTTTTCTTAAAGGTCTAACTGGTTGTAGTAGAAATAGTGATTAGCAGGACAAGAGGTTTGCCAGGTGCAGAAACACTCAGAAATGGGAGTGGGTTTAATCTGGGAAGGCTTCCTGAAGAAGGTGAATTTCCAGCTGGGATCAGACTTTTCTGGGTTGCAGTTTCCTCGTGAGTGAAATGGGGACAAAACTGCCGTAGAGTTTTGGGAAATTTCTTCGTGCATTCATTCTGGAAACACGTACTGAGTGCCTGTTTTATGACCGGATTGAGATGGGAATGCACTGGAGGATTCTGAACAGAGGAGCCGCAGGATCTGACGTGGATTGAAAGCATTGCTCTGGCTGTGTGCTGGGGACAGAAGGAGGAGGGGCAGTGGTGGATTCAGGGTGGCCAGTCAGGAGGCTGCTGGCCCCTGCCTCCTTCAATCCTTTCCTTTCCTTTGCTCTAGAGACTGCAGTGGGATCTGTCCAGTTCAGATCCTCCCCCAAACCCCCAGTTTCCCCCTCCTCCCCTGTCTATCACCTTCTCCCCACCACACTCCCCCTCACCCCTCCCTGAGAGCAGAGCAGCCAGGGCCCCACCTTTGCAGAGGGTGGCTTCTCTCTGTCCAGCCCTCTGGGGCTGCCAGAAACCCAGAGGTTTCTATCAATTATCTCTCCATGGCTCCTGCAGCTCCAGGGAGTCTCGAAAGCCCAGCTCTCTGACCTTTTAGAAAAAGACAGAAAAGATGCTGTCAGCTCACTTAACACCTGTGTGCAGGGCCTCAGAATTGCCAAGGAGGCTTCTTCATCTCCAAGCTCCCTGCTCTCCAACCCAGCTCCTGAGGAGGAAGGAGGGAGTCCACCTGCAGGAGGCCTGACCGCAGGAGGCGCTGGGGGCCCGGCAGCCCCAACCTCAGCTACTCCGGCCCTTCATCTTCCTGAGATGACATGGAGCCAGCCACCCACGTGCTGGGGACTTTCATACTCAGTATTTAATTTAATCCTCCCAACAGCCCTGTGACATCAGTTCTATTTCTTTTCTCCATTTTCCTGAAGAAGAAATGGGGCTTGCGCTAGTATAGTGGGATCATGGAGACATCAAATTGTCAATGAGTGTGAAGAGTCTTTGCAAATTGATCTCATCCAGGGGTTCTCTGCCCTGCACATAAGACACTCCCTACAGCTCTTTAAAAAATCCATTCCCAGACCACCACACCCTCAGAGATTCAGAGTTCCATTTGAAAAGATCCTTTGATGATTCTCATCTACAAACATGGTTGAAAACACTCACCAAATCCAAATTCCCCTCTTTTTACGGATGGGAAACTGAGGGTCTGAGAGAAGACTGGCCCTCTCTAAAGGCACCCTGGGTGAGCTGCCCAGAGCTGCCATGAGAAATCACTGCAAACTGGGTGGCTTTAAACAACAGAGTTCTGGAGACTGGAAGTCCAAAATGGAGGTGCTGGCAGGGCCAGCGTCTCTCTACAGGCTCCAGAGGAGGGTTCTTCCTGGCCTCTCCTAGCTTCTGGTGGCTGCTGGCAATCCTTGCGTTTCGTTGCTGTTACGTGCATCCTCCTGCCTCTGCTTCCGCCTCTGCACAGCACTTTCCCTGGGTGCGTGTCTGTGTCCAGATCGCCCTCTTCTTAGACGAACACTAGTCTTATTAGAACTCAGGGCTCAATCTAACCCAGGAGGACCCCATTTAAACTTGATTACATTTGCAAAGACCGTATTTCCAGTAAGGTCACATTCACAGATCCTAGGAGGCACTAATTTGTTGGGGGGATGCTATTCAACCCAGGATACACCCCAACATGAGTGGCAGAGCCTGGACTCCAACCTGGCCTCCTATATCCCCACCCTGGGCTTTCCCCGCCACCCCTGGTGGCCCAGCCCCCCTTTGTACAGCTCCTTTTACTCATAGCTTCCACAAGACCTTCCACAGCCTTCCCCAGTACCCCAGCACTGACGGCCACGCCTTCCATGGTGGAAGGATATTGTCTCCTAACTGTGGGATCCCAGAGGGCAGAGACCAAGTCCAGGACTTCTCCCATGGTGCCCAGACCAAGACCTGGAGACACTCCAGAAAGACGTGATAGATTCAGCCAAACTGAGCTGGATGGATGAATGCTCCTCCAGGAGGCAGTGAGGACCTCATTGACAGAAGCGACCAGGCAGAGGCTGGCTGACCATATGTCCCTATGAGTGGTGCTGTCATTCTAGGAGAGTCAGTCCAGCACAGAGCTTTGGAAGAGCATAGGAAGTCGACTAATGGTCCAGGCTCTACCACCTTCTAGCTGTGTGACCTTGGATGGATTATGTAACTTCTCTGTGCTTCAGTTAATAATAATTGTATCCATTTCAAAGGGTTGTGGGGATTAAATGAGATAATGTACGTAAAGTCATTGGCCTAATTTGTAATAGCTACTCAATAAATACTTAGCTTTAAAAAAAGTAGAGTCCTGCTCGAGATCACAGAGAAAAGGGGATGGCAAAACAGGTCAGGGTCTTTGTAGTAATAATAAAAGGAAGAAAAGCAGAAACCAACCACTCCCCTAGTCATAAGCATGTAGATAGATGATACCACAGCCTTTGAAATATGTCAATCAATCAAGCAATGTCAAGGGCACAGTCAGCATTTAAACGTAGCTCTGTGTCTTGGTCTTACAGCCTAAAGGAATGGCACCCTCCAGCCTAAACCCACAGGGACACTGTTGGCATTTGGGGTGGAACAGTTCTTTGTGACTCAAGCCCCTAACCACTAAATGCCCTTAGCAACCCCAAATTATGCTGTCAACCCCAAATGTCCCACCTCCCCCAACCTGTCCAAGTGGCTTCAGGATTGGTGCTGGACCCGGAGGTACTGGCTGCCATTTTTTCCTTCTCCCGTGGGACCCAGCCTGCCTCAAAGCAGAGAACGTGGGCCAGCTACTCTTCTCCCTTCCCAGGGATGGCTAGTTGCCTCTGGGGTGCAGAGCATGGGCTGCCAGCCCGGGAGGCCAGCCATGTTGTCCAACCCTGGCCCGTCTCCATCCCCAAACAGCGGGCCGGGCCTCCCTCCGCTCTCCACACTGTATGAGGCTCACTCCACATGCCTCTTGCTCCTTCCTTCCCCAGCAGGGTCCACCGTCCGATGCTCATCAAACATGCAGAACTGATGTTGCACAAGCCCCCCCAAGGGGACTAACATCATACCCCTGATTTCTCCTTCCCCTCTCGCGCTGTGCATCCCCCTGGCTGCAGCCTGCCTTTGTTTCAGGAGGAGCAAAACACTGTGTCTGAAAACGTTACTGCAATTAAATATGCACAAGAAGGGGGGGAGGGAGGGGAAAATGAGGACAATGAAGGATGTGAAACATCAGATGCAGCAGCTGCTTGTTGCTATAGAAACCCTAGCTCCCCACAACCATCAAGGCAGCATCAGCCCCCCACCCCCCACCCCTAGTTTAAAATCCTCGTAGGGCCAAGTGCTCTGTTTGTCTTGAGGTGCCGGGAGATGCAAGATCACAGGGTCCTAGCTGTCCAGGGCTGGAGCACCTGTCGGCTGTGAGCATTGATTTCTGTGTCTTTCCTGCTTTTCCTCACCCCACCATCACTACCTCCCGACACTGGCACTTCTGATTGGCAGCAACGCCCTCCAGTAGTTCTGCATTCCAGTCCCAGTTACATAATAAATTACAAGAGAGCTTCCGCGTTTGACTTTGGGATGTCACAACATGGAGACAAAACGGCACATGCAGAGTCCACTGGGGAGCTGGCTTTCTCCGTGCTTCCTCGGTTCCTCTGACAGCCAGCTGCAGGGCTTGGCGCCCTCCACCTTCCTTCTCGTCCTCACCCACAGCCCCGAGTGGGGGTCTGCCTAGTTGCGGGGTCTGCCCGGCTGTGGTCTGTGTGCTGGAGCCGGGCAGAGCGGGGTGTCCACAAACTCTAGGTTCCAGAAGACGGGCAGGCTGCCAGATGGCCGAGTGCCCATCTGGGAGGATCCCCAACAAGATGTAGCTCAACCGGGATCAATGGGAAGTTCCAGACTCTGGCCCACATAACCACTGTCCAAGGACAGAGAGAGGGAAAGTGGCATGGCAGCAGCTCACAGAGACAGGGCCAGGGTCTTTAGTTGACTGCAAGGAGAGTAGTATAACGGGGGTGCCTCCCTCCTCCCACACCATCCCCATGACAAGGTGATGCAGGCTGAGGCTGGGTGTTGGTAGTCTTGCTCTACTCTGCTCTGATGGGCTAAGTCTAATCTTAGAGGCTCTCAAAGTGGGGCACAGTGTCTGGCACATGGTAGGTCCAGTCCTATACAGAGATGTGCGGGAGGGAGGAAAGAAAGGAGGGAGGGAGGGGCAATTGGAATTGTAGATAAACCAAAGTTCATTCAGAAGCAAGAGACCAGACTGATGAAGTTATTTGAAACTATATTAAATAAATAACTATTAAAAAATAAAATCCCTGGCATCCCAGCTCTTTGGAGGGCCAAGGCAGAAGGATCCTTTGCATCCAGGAGTTTGAGACCAGCCTGGGCAACATAGCGAGACCTCATCTCTACAAAAATTTTTTTTTAGCTAGCCAGTTGTGGTGGTGCATGACTGTGGTCCCAGCTACTGGGGAGGCTGGGGTGCGAGGATCGCTTGAGCCCAGGATGTCAAGGCTGCAATGAGCTGTGATCACACCACTGCACTCAGTCTGGGTGGCAGAGTGACAGTCTGTCTCAAAAAATATATAAAATGAAAATAAAATCCTAAGGCTGTTAACCCTGAAGAAAATTCAAAGGGCATCACAGCTGCCTTCCAGTGTATGAGGGAGTATGTCAGGAACACGGGTTTCGGCTGGTTCAGCGGGGCACCAGTGAGTCAAAGCAGGACACACAGAGGGAGCGCCAAGAAGATCAGTGGTCACCAAGGAAGACTGATCTAAAAGTCAACTTTGGAATGGGCTGCTGAGTGAGGGAGGGAGTTCCCCAGCCCCAGAGATATTCAAACGAAGGCTGATGAACCTTTGTCAAAGATATCGTCGTGCACTCAGCTTTTCAGCCCTGCAGTTCTACGGCCTCCAGTGGCAGAAGGTGCCCTACGGTGAGGTCCCCACCTCCAGGTGCTGAGAATCTTGGACTTGTGCTTGGGATGGTGGAGGGAGATGGGTGGGATACCACAGAATATTCCTCACAAGAGCAGAGCTCTCATCTTGGCTGAGGGGATGTCACTTAGGCCTCAGGTAGCAGACCTCTAAATAATAGGGCTAGAAGGGCATGGAACTGCCCAAAATGTTTCCCTCTGCCAGCCTGACATGTGGTGCTATCGGGTTCTTCCTGTGGGTTCAGCATGACCCTCTCCCCTGCAGCTTTGAAGTCACTATCAGTATCCTGATTCCAAGGCCCCCTCCCATGGAAATGGCAGCCTGGGCCCTCCGGGTCTGCCTGGGAAATCCCCAAAGAGGAGGCAGAGGACCCCAGTGTTCTCCTCTCCATCTCAGTCTGGCCTCAGTGGGAGGACACATCCATGAGCTTAGGGAGTCTAGTGCAAACCCCGCCCCCCAACCCTCAAGTCCAGTTTTCTCCTTTAAATCAGCCTTTATCAGCTCAAGGTCAGGGTGAGCCTTAGGACCTTAGACAAGGAAATCCACTTCCCCTCTGGGATGGAGTGGGGGGTCTTGTGTGGCAATCTGCAAAGTGGGCACGCTGCCACCTGTGCTTCCTGCTCTCCTGCTAGGTCCCAACAGTCGGGGCAGAGATGGCTGTGGCAGTGGCAGGAGACATAGAGCACCGTGCCTGTCCTCTTCACTGCCTTGCACACAACGGGTGTTTGAGAACTGTTTGAATGATTTTTGTGTATCTGCCCCTCCTTGTCCCCATCCTGGTATAGCTTTGCCTCAATAATCATTTGTTGAGTGAATAAAGGATTTAAATTGAGAGAAGGGGATGGAGGCTTATGTATAATTCCATGCAGAAGGACAACTGGGAGTCAGAAGTTCCAGTCCACTTCCTGGCTGTGCGACCTGGGCCAGTTACTTTACTACAAGCCTCAGTTTCCTTCTTTGTAAAATAGAGTTAGCATCTCGAACAGTTGTAAAAGCCAATGAGCAAGGAATATGAAAGAGTTTTGCAAACTCTTGCAAAGAGGTAGGAAAGATGAGAACTAATATTCACTTAGTGAGGGCTTATTCTGCACCAGACACCTTATTATTTTTATTTTTACTTTTTTAGAGACAAGAGTCTCACACTGTCACCCAGGCTGGAGTACAGTGGTGTGATCATGGCTCACTGCAGCCTTGACCTCCTGGGCTCAGGCAATCCTCCTGCCTCAGCCTCCCAAGTATCTGGGACTACCGGCGTGCCCTACCAAACCCAGCTAATTGTTTAATTTTTTTTTTTTTTAATAGACAGGGTCTCCCCCTATATTGCCCAGGCTAGTCTCCAACTCCAATTCCTGGTCTCAAGTGATCCTCCTGCCTCAGCCTCCCAAAGCATTGGGATTACAGGTGCGAGCCACCACACCTGGCCCCATTTTTTAAATCTGTACACCCACCCAATTATTTGTATCCTATTGTACAGATAAGGCTCAGAGAGGTTAAGTAACTTTCCCAAGGTCACACAGCCCATAAGTAGAAAAGCCAGATCGGGACCCAGATCTCAGTCTAACTCTAAAGCCCAGCTTCTTTCTGTTAAACCCTGGAGCATCTACACTGAAAGGAACAATTACTACCATTTCTATTTGTCATTTTGTTTGTGTGTGAAAATCCTCATCTGTCAGAGACGCTACCCTGCCTCTGAGGCTGTACGAAACCGGGAAGTAACGAACTATGTCCTGATTGTGTCTCCAGAACACAGGTTTTTTATTACCTACCACGGCGGGCTGTACATCTCTGACGTACAGAAGGAGGACGCCCTCTCCACCTATCGCTGCATCACCAAGCACAAGTATAGCGGGGAGACCCGGCAGAGCAATGGGGCACGCCTCTCTGTGACAGGTAGGGGAGAGGGCCTGGGGAGAACGGGGCAGGCTGGGAAGGGAGGACACCAGGCCATCCCTGGAACTTGGCACGCCCCACCGCAGATGGAGGAGCCCCCTGTGTACTCAGGGAAATCAGAGAAAGAGATTAAAGAAATCAGGTACTGAAACCACCAAGGAAGACCTCTTTGCTATGTTTTCATTTTCAAATAATGAGGCTACGAGACTCACCCTCTTTTTCCCTTTTTTTTCCTTTTTTTTTTGTCTTTCCTGTCAGGAAGCTGATAGATAAAATCTGATACTCAAACATAGTAACTATTAGTGTTGCTTTTGCTGGGGGTGGGGGGATTGCATTTCCATGCCTCTAGGTGCTTGTGAGTATTCTATCCTTTCTTTCTTTTCTTTTCCTTTCTTTCTTTATTTCGTCCCTCCCTCCCTCCCTCCCTCCCTCCCTCCTCCCTCCTCCCTTCCCTTCCCTTTCCTTCCCTTCCCTTTCTTTCTTTTTCCTGAGACGGAGTTTCTCTCTTGTTGCCCAGGCTGGAGTGCAATGGCATGATCTTGGCTAACTGTAACTTCCGCCCCCTGGGTTCAAGCAATTCTCCTGCCTCAACCTCCTGAGCAGCTGGGATTATAGGCATGCGCCACCACGCCCGGCTAATTTTTGTGTTTTTTTAGTAGAGACAGGGTTTCACCATGTTGGCTAGGCCGGTCTTGAACTCCTGACCTCAGGTGAGCTGCCCGCCTCAGCCTCCCAAAGTGCTGGGATTGCAGGTATGTGCCACTGCGCCCGGCCTGAGGATTCTATCTGATCAATGAGTACATATGTATCTTTTGTCATAGGCCACCTCGCAACATTTGAAAGCAGGCAGAACATAATTTATAAACAAAATATTTCTAAACAGAATAGAGGATTCTTCTTTTGGGGTGATTATAGCTTCTCGGGAGGGATAGAAACTGGTGTTTATTGAATCCTCCTGTGTATCTGGGATTCCCTCATTTGTTTCTGTCAGGGACCGTCATAGCCCTGTGAGGTGTGTGCTGTTTCCCCTATTTTTACAGGCGAGAAAACCAAATCTTAGGGAAGCCAAGCGACTTGCCAGAGCTATTTAACCAGTGGGAGGCACAGCCAGAATTCAAACTCTGAACCCCTGGCCTCGGTGTCCTTCCAGCTACAGGACCCCATAGAAGGGGTCAGTTGAATGCCCATACCCATGCTGAGGTCACAGAGAGGCGCTCCTCGAGGTAGGCTTTCTGAACAGTGGTTTCCAAACTCTTTGACCACAATGCCCAGACAGACGTTCTTATCACAGCCTGCGCGATGCACACTGGCATTTTCTACCATGCTCGTTGCAAGGCGCTCTGGAATTTTCTATTCTATTCTATCTAATTCTGATTTCTCTAAATGCTGGCCACAACTCACCAAATGGATTTCACAACCTCCTAAAAGTTTGCGGGTTGCGAGTTGAAAATCTCTGTCTTGAGATTGGAGTTTTTGGAACGGGGATGAACGCTAAGTCAGAACACCCGGCTTTTGGGATTAGACTCATGAAATCTCGCAGCCTCTCTAGGCCTCTGGAAAAGGAACCAGTCTAGGTGGCTGCTCTGATTCTGTGTGCCTCTGCCGCTCAGAGCTCTGCCCTGAGTTTGGTGGTTTGGTGATGAGCTCTGCCCTGACCCACAGAGACTCTCTCCAGGACCACTTCCACTTGTCTGTCACATGTGGGGCAAGGCCAGGAGATCAGGAGCTGGGAGGGCAACAACCCGGCTCCCGATTCACCCCTGTGTCTTCAGCGCCTGGCCCTGTGCCTAACACACACGAGGTGCCGAGTAAATATTTATGGCATTAATCAATGCCGAGGGAAACCGTGCTGTCATAAGAGTAGGGGACGGGGCTGCTCCGTGCAGCCCCATCTTTGTGGCTTGACTTTGGAATCTGCAGCCCAATTTCCAAAGGGCTCGCCTCAAAATGACGGGGACTTGTGTGTATGGTGTTTTGCATCTCATTTGCATGCTTATCCTGCAATGTGGGAAAGACACAGAAATCCCCTTCCTGCAGGCCTGCTCCCTTCTCCTCCGTGAATATTTGGCCCCTTCATCCTCTAGTCTCCTGGGTGGACCTCTAGCTTTTGGGGGCACTAGGCAAGAGTCCCTCAAAAAGAGACATTCTTTGAACTGGAGGCCATGCCAGCCCTTCTTCCCCTCCTCTTTCACCACCAGCTTCCGGGAGAAGGGGCGAGGGGGAGGAGACTCACAGATAAAGCCCAAATAGAAAAGCGGGCATGAAGATGGGACGGTACCGACAGACAAGAGAGAGGCCCCGGCACAAAGAGAGATTGGCATGGGGCACAGGAAAGGCAGAACGGAGGGACATGCACAGAGACAAAGGAAGCGAGCGACGGGGCTCCAGGGAGGGGGCACATGCAGCGACGCGGGGCCCTGATGTGATGGGATGTGACAAGGCGATCTGCAAGCTGCTTGTCTCGGCAAAAATGCAACTGATACTGGAGCAAGCAGTGCCGAGGGGGTTGGCACTGTGTGGAGCCCAGAGCCCGTCTCAGGCTCACCCGCCCCTCCCCATTGCACTTGGGTTCCACTCCCCAGAGCTGAGGGTGGAGATCAGTCCCCACAGAGAGGCAGGCACGAGTGTCCGCTGAGATGTTTCAGTCTCTAGAGGCCAGGACCCCCGAGAGCTCCTGGGGCTTGTTGCGGATGAGAATGGCACAAATGGCAGTGCATTGGAGGTGGTCAGTTCATGAGAACAGGAAGCACATTTGTGGTCTCTTCAGCACTCAGGGCTAAAGTTGCTGGGGGTGGGGAGAGATAACGAGGTGTATTATTAAGATGGCAGTTATGAATTAGGCCAAACTTTCCATCTCCGCCTCAACACTCACTAGTTGTGCAGCCTGGCATAAAATAATGTTCCAAACCTCAGCTGCCTCATCCGGAAAATGGGAGTAACAAAATGTACTCCTGCTGGGTTGCCATGAGAATGAAACAGAATATCTCCTATTAAGAAAGGCCAGGCGTGGTGATTCAGGCCTGTAATCCTAGCACTTTGGGAGGCCAAAGCAGGTGGCTCACTTGAGGACAGGAGTTCAAGACCAGCCTGGCCAACATGGCAAAACCCCATCTTTACTAAAAATACAAACGTTAGCCGAGTGTGGTGGCACATACCTGTAATCCCAGCTACTCGGGAGGCGGAGGCAAAGAATCGCTTGAACCAGGGAGGCAGAGGTTGCAGTGAACCGAGAACGCGAGATCATGCCACTGCACTCCAGCCTGGGTGACAGAGTGAGACTCTGTCTCCAAAATAAATAAATAAATAAATACCGCCTATAAAAAGCTTAGCTAGTGCCTGACACAGGAAGCTCTGGACAGACAGTAGCTGCTACTATTATTGTCAGTGGTGGTTGTTCTGCTGTTGCTACATTGTTATTCCTACTACATTCCCAAGGGGGGGGGCGGGGGGCGGCAACTTTCATTTTTCTGTATTTTCCAAGTTGCAGAGGCAGTTGCAAGAATAGTCTGTGCCTCCACAAAATACAACCTAATCATAATCATTCCAGACATCTAGGTGCTTTTTTAGAGCTTACCAAGTGCTTTCAGGTGTATTAACTCACTCTGTCCCCACCATAACTCAGTGGGATGGGCATTGTCACCTGCAGTTATAAAGGAGGAGACTAGTGGTCAGAGAGGCTGAGGGACTGGAATCGGATCCCCAGCTCACAAAGGACAGAGCCAGGTGCAGAAGCCATGCTCCTGGTGGTGCCCTAACCACCTAACCACAGCAATGCTGTTCAGCTGGCTATGGGGGCAGGGTTCCCAGCAGCCTCCCCAGGGCATCTCAGATCCCCAGCCAGCCTAGCCTAGCTCCAGTGCACCCCCAGCAGTTTCTCAAGCCTGACCATCTGTCTCCCCCAGCCCTGCTTCAGTGCTAGGAGCACCCAGTCCCCCCGGGCTGTCGCCATGTACACGCCGCAGCATTTTACTTCTGCTCTGGAGTAATGGAAGAGGTTTCTTTCCCTCAGAATTTAATTTCACGCCTGAGCCTCGGTGATTAATTCCCTCCCTCCGCCCCTTCCTCCACCACCCTGATGGCCCCTCCGCTTGTAAATTCTGCAGTGTGCCACGGAATTTGTGTATTTTGCATCAATTAAGTGTCACATTGAGTAATTCTTCCTTGGCACTGGGTTTGTTTATCCCAGCCATTCCCACCGGGTTGGGGGTGGGAGAAGAGGCCACAGAATCTGGCAGGCAGGGCACATGAGCTCTAGATAGTAATTGTCCCACGCATCTGCAGCTGGATTGAGCGTCTAAAGCGCTTCCACACACCTATACTACTGGTTGCCTGCAACGGCCTTGTGAAGTCTGGAGGCAATGTTATCACCTCCACCAGGGCAGGTGGGGAAACTCGGGCTCTAGGAGATCACAAAACTTGCCCAAGGTCACAGGGCTTCTCAGTGACCCAGGCAGAACTTGCCCCTGGAGAGCCTGATTCCCAACCCGGGCTCCTTCTGTGGCCCACAGGCAGCCCCTGACGAGCACTGGAAGGTGGGAAGAGAACAGAGATTCTTTCCCCTAGAGAGGAGAATTCTCACCCCAACCCCTCTCCAGGGCAATTGCTGAGGGCAGAGGAAAGCTTCCATTAGTGAAGGGACCACTATCCACTCCTAAGCAAAATTTAGGATTTTAGATTACTCCATCTCAGACGCCATTTACTGAACAAGGGTGGGGGAGACCTGGCTTCTGATCTTAGCTCCATGTTGTGATCCCAGGCAGGTCCCTGTACGTCGCTGGTCTCAGCATCCTCATCTCTTTGTGCCTCAAGCTCCCTAAGCCAGCTCTATAATTCCACAAGTCTATACAGTTCTGCAATGTGGATTTCTATCCAGAAAAATCAGACTACTCGCCTGCCCATGCCTGAGTGCCCCATTCATCCTCCCTAGACATTTATGGTTCAGCAGCCTGGGGAGATACAGCAGCGGTTTAACGCTGCCTTGAGGAGCTCGGTCTTCCAGGTGCTGACTGCCCTTGGAAGGGGCAGTGCTGATGGGGGCTGCCTCTGGAGAGTCACGTGGGGTGGCAGAGGGCAGGAGGGTGGGGAGATGGGGAGACTCCCTTTATGACATGCTCTTCTATACTTTCTGAAGTTTTGCCAAGTCCATATGTTATCTATTTTATCTGTTAAAACACTTTTAAAGCTTGTATTAGTATTAGTATCATCATTATTTTTGAGACAAGATCTTGCTCTGTTGCCCAGGATGGAGTACAGTAGCACAATCATAGCTCACTGCAGCCTCACATCTCTGGCTCAATTGATCCTCCCACCTCAGCCTCCTGAGTAGCCAGGACCACAGGCTTGTGCCACCACACCTGGCACTATAGTCATGTGTGTGTGTATGGTTTTGTTTGTTTGCTTGGTAGACATGGGATCTCACTGTGTTGCCCGGGCTGGTCTCCAACTCCTGGGCTCAAGTGATCTTCCCACCTCAGCCTCCCAAAGTGCTGAGATTACAGGCATGAGCTACTATGCCTGACCTATTATTAAAACATTTATTTTAAAAGAAGGGGAAGTTCTGAGCTGGGCACGGTGGCTCATGCCTGTAATCTCAGCACTTTGGGAAGCCGAGGCGGGTGGATCACAAGGTCAGGAGTTCAAGACCAGCCTGGCCAAGATGGTGAAACTCCGTCTCCACTAAAAATACAAAAATTAGCTGGGCATGGTGGCGGGCACCTGTAATCCCAGCTTCTTGGGAGGCTGAGACAGAGAATTGCTTGAACCCGGGAGGCGGAGGTTGCAGTGAGCCAAGATCACACCACTGCACTCCAGCCTGGGTGACAGAGTGAGACTCTGTCTCAAAAAAATAAAAATAAAAATAAATAGCAGGGAGTTCTTTGAAAATAAAATGAAAGAAAAAGAAAAATCTGTGGGAGTCATTGAGAGTGGCCTGGAGAAGGCATCCAGAAGAGGTGACATTTAAGCTGGTTTGTGAAAGATGAGTAGGAGCTGGCCAGGCAGAGCAGGCTGGCTGGGCATCCAGGTGACCCAGGTGACCCAGCACACCACCGCAGGCTTCCATGGAGACAGGGGACAGTGTAGGCAGGCCAGGCCGACTCACTGGCCCAGATCATAGAAGGCCTTGGCATTGAGGATAAGCAGCGGAGGTGTGTTGTGTAGGTGAGGGGCATCCTGGGGAGGTTTAAAACAGGAGGAGGTCCCCCAGGGGCAGGAAACCCAGAGAGGCCTTGGAGGGTGGGAACGAGCCTGAGAGGGCCGACAGGACACCACTCAGAAATTCCTGGGCATTGCACACAGAATCCTGCCCGCAGGCGCTATGGTTTTCTGCAGCTTCAGGCCACAGGTCTCGTAGTTGCTGGTTTCTCTTGGTTTTGGAATGCGAAATAGAGGATTGTCACAGGTGACTGTGGTGGGGCTTCTGAATCCTTCTAGGCTCTGATGGAAATGCACTGGTCATTTCTGAATCTGTCCAGAGTTTAGGCAGAAGACAGAGCAGGAACAGATAGATCGTCCTCCCATCTCCCAGTAGGCCTAGAGAGATACTTACCATGAATTGCAAACTTGAGACGTCATGACACATCACTGCTCTACAGCCTGGGCCAGAATCCAGGGACAGAGCTAGGTATGGTGGCTCAGGCCTGTAATCTCAGCATTTTCAGAGGCCAAGGCAGGCGGATCACCCGAGGTCAGGAGTTCGAGACCAGCCTGGCCAACATGGTGAAATCCTGTCTCTACTAAAAGTACAAAAAATAGCTGGGTGTGGTGGTGCGTGCCTGTAGGCCCAGCTACTTGGGAGGCTGAGACAGGAGAATTGCTTGAACCTGGGAGGTGGAGGTTGCAGTGAGCCAAGATCACCCACTGCCCTCCAGGCTGGGTGACAGAGTGATTGAGACTCCATTTCAAAAAAAAAAAAAGAAGCCAGGGACTCTCCGTGGGAAAGGAGTTCTCATGCACACCCTCTCCCTCCCTGCACGTCTTGCTCTCTTCCGCCTTCTTCCCTTCTTCCATCTGTCTCTCTGTCTGTCACTCTAGTCCCGAACTCCATCATATCCTCTCCTCCTCCCAGCCCCTGCTGGGAATCCCAGTCAAAGTTGTCTGGGGCTTGGTCTGGCCTGAGCACAGAAGACACAGTGCACCCTCCCTGAAATGTTCCTCTGGAGCCGCCCTGGAAACTGCTCGCTGTGGGCGCCAGTGGGCAGCAGGCTCCTGTCTGGGTGCTTGCCTTCCCTCCCCCAGCGCCACTTCATCCCACCCAGGGCTGGCCAGGGCTGCCGACCCTCTCTGCCTTCCAGACCCTGCTGAGTCGATCCCCACCATCCTGGATGGCTTCCACTCCCAGGAAGTGTGGGCCGGCCACACCGTGGAGCTGCCCTGCACCGCCTCGGGCTACCCTATCCCCGCCATCCGCTGGCTCAAGGATGGCCGGCCCCTCCCGGCTGACAGCCGCTGGACCAAGCGCATCACAGGGCTGACCATCAGCGACTTGCGGACCGAGGACAGCGGCACCTACATTTGTGAGGTCACCAACACCTTCGGTTCGGCAGAGGCCACAGGCATCCTCATGGTCATTGGTGAGTCGGGGAAGCCCCTTCTGCAGCCCCAGTAACCTCTGAGGGCGCCTCAGGGGTCGGGGGAGGAGTGTGGCCGACAGCTGGACCTGTCTCTGACCAGGCCCTGGGAATAACCCTGGCTGACTGGGGAAGGCAGTCTGGTATCCTGGAAAAGCCCTTGGCTTGAAATCAGGAGGCCTGCCTTTTGTTTCTGGCATTAGCAGATAGTAACTGACTTTGGGCAAATCACATAACCATGACCATCAGCTCAGTGCCGTTCTCTGTAAAATGGGAAAGTGGTCCCAGCCTTCCTACCTCCCAGAGGTCATGAGGCTCCAGTGGGATGAGGAGGGTGATGGTGATGTGCTCGCCATGAGGGCAGGGCTTCCGGGCTTGTAGGGAGGTAGTGTCCGAACTAAGGGAAGCAAGGCAGCTGTCAATCCACTAGAGAGGACATACATCCCAATCCTAGGGTGACATTCAGGATGTTTCACAATCATTGATAGGGGCACTGATTAATCAGATCAGAAACTGGCCATAAACAAGCAAATCATCTCTGCCAGGACCTTCCAGCTGGATGTCAACCCTGGTTCCTTCCTATTCCTCCTCCTGCCCCTTCTAGGGGTCCAAGGAGCTGGTGTGGAGAGCAGGTGGCCTTAGCATACCCCTGCTGCTGAGGAGCCCCCAAGGCAGGCAGAGAGGGTAGAAGCAGATGGGCGAATGCCCTGGAAAGCACTCTGGATGCGGATTTGTGAGGCCCAGCTCACCCCTTTCCCCCTACCCCACCTCTCTCCACTCCTGTGTGACCCAGCCTCAAGGTTCCCATCTGTGAAATGAAGAAGTTCCTTCTAGCTCCGGCATCAAGAGTCTGACTCTCTGAGTTCCCTGCTCTCTAGGCTGCAGTGGGGCTGGGATCTGGACACCCTTGAGGAAATGCCATGCCTCATGAGACAGGAATGAGGCTGTCATTACTAACAGCATCCTGAGGGTTATTCAACGTGGGCAGTGGAAAGAGAACGTCCAGAGGTGATCCCACCTCTCATCCTGGTTGACCAAAGAAACTCTCTTCCCACCTCCCATTCATTGTGAGCATAGGGCAGTAGGGCTGCAGACCCTCAGGCTGACCAGAGAACCACAGCAGAGCCCACTTCTGGGCCTAGTGTCTGACTCCCACAGCCCAGATAAGGGCTGAGTCTCCTTCCTCACAGTCAAGAGAGTCTTGAGAGTTGGAGTGTGTTTATCTACAGTGCCTGGAAGAGCGCCCCAACACAAATTCACTGTCAAGGTGGAAGAACAGAAAGAGCCCCAAGAAATGCTCTGGGATGGCAGTGCACGGTGCAAATGCTTAGGTTAAAACGCTGAAAGCCCTACTTCAGGGGCCTGGGGGTTCCTCTCGTACAAACAAGCCCTGGACAGCAGAGCAGACAGAGGATCAGGATTGGCACCTCCCTTCCTGCCCTAAGCACTGTCTGAAAAAGTTTATTCCAGTATTACCTTCACCTCCTTCCCACCCTCCTGCTCTACACTCTCTCTCTTTCTCTCTCTTTCTCTCCAAATAGGTCAGAAGGGCAACACACCCTCAAATCCTTGGAAAATTAGCAAACCTTCCTGTAGGTAAATGCAGTGTTCACAGCTCCTGCACCAGTGTATGCAGGCAAGCGGAGACACACAGACACAGGCACACATGTTGAAAATGCACCTGCCCGCCTCCCCAAGTACGCATGCACACGTATATGGTGCCTGTACCCATGCACAGCTACATAATCCCTTCACAGGAACATGCCCATATCCAAGTACACTCTCACAGATGTACAGCAAGTCACCACTTCCAGATGTGTACACTCCCACACTGACCCTGAATGCATCTTCTCTGATCCCCAGCCCCCTACCCCTCCCCACAGCAGGCTTGTTTGGACCACCAAGGTTCAAGGGGAATCAATGTGACTTTTCTCCATCTGCCAGCCTCTCTACAGCCTCTCCCTGCCAGGTTCATGGAGAGGAAAGCAATGCTTTCCATACCCCCTACTCCTCCACGAAGCCCCCCACCTAACCTGTGCCAAGCCCACACAGGAGCAGTGAGGAGACGGTGGCTAGCAGAGCACTGGGAGCTCCGGCTGGCGACTGGGATGAGCAGGAGGCCACCTGACTCAATGTGCACTGACATTTCCTGGAGAGCAGGCAGAGGCTCTGGGAAACGAGTAGGGAGAAGCAAGCATGCGGTCATTTATGCTTTGGCTGCACTCGGCCCACATGAGCTTGCAATCTTCCTCTCTCCTGCAGGCTTCCTCACTTGGGGTACCAAGCTATACAGGGAGCCTGAGCCCCCATACAGAGCCCCTAGCCCATAGAGATCAAGGAGAGGTCAGTTTGGAGCCTGTAAATGGCTTGCTAAGCCAGTTAGACCATCAGTAATGACTCCGGTCATGGTAGGCCTATGAGGCTGAGAGACGTCACCCTGCTCTCAAGTGGCCCACAGTCCAGAGGGAAAGGGAGACAGACACAAAAGAGGTGATGAAGAGACAGGGTGCTCAGTGTGGTGTGAGTTATACACAGCGGGGCTAGAGGAGGGATCCTTAGCCCAACCTGGGAGGGAGAGTGATGTCCAGGAAGGCTTCCTGGAAGAGGTGACACCATGCGAAGGATGAGCAAGAATTAGGCACAGAATGCTCTAGGTGAGGCCCTGGGGCCAGAAACAGCCCAGGGTATGCAGAAATCGCAGGCAGGTTGCTGGTGCTCTAAAGACCTATGGCTTTGGTGACAACGGAACCCCTTTGAACCCCTACAGTCAGGCCCTTAGGGCCTTGAGGGCCTCAAATGCCATGCTGAATTGGAGTCATGGAAGTTCTGAGCAGCGAGTGGCTGGCTGCAGCATGGAGGACAGCTGGGGGGAGGCAGGGAGGTGCTGCCACGTGGATCCAGGTTGGGAGCTCCAGGCCTGCAGTGGGGCAATGCCAAGCAGGGGGTCCACAGATCCAACTAGAGGAAATCAGACCAGCAGCACATAGCAATGTGTTATCTCCGCAAGTATGGGAGACAGCCTGCTGGGCCAAGGGTGCCCCCCCCGGTTTCTGAGGTGGGTGGCGGGGAGAATAAAGAGCCAGTCAAGTCTCCGCCCTCCTCAGTGAGCCAGAGGGAGCCTCACACTCTCACCAGGCACAGGGACACGTTTTAGGGGAGCACAGGCCATCAGAACAACAAATACCCAGAGATCCCTCAGTCTGAGCCTGCCATTTCACAAATGAGTAAACTGAGGACTAGAGTAAGGAATTCCCCAGTCCCAGTCCACACAAGGGGTCTGGAGGCAGAACCTGGGCCTTTTGTGACCCCTAACTACCCCCAGCTACACTCCACTCACAGTAAGCCCTTTTTCTGTTCTTTCCTCCCTCCCATTTCCCCTCACGTCTCCCTGGCCCGGCCCAGATCCCCTTCATGTGACCCTGACACCAAAGAAGCTGAAGACCGGCATTGGCAGCACGGTCATCCTCTCCTGTGCCCTGACGGGCTCCCCAGAGTTCACCATCCGCTGGTATCGCAACACGGAGCTGGTGCTGCCTGACGAGGCCATCTCCATCCGCGGGCTCAGCAACGAGACGCTGCTCATCACCTCGGCCCAGAAGAGCCATTCCGGGGCCTACCAGTGCTTCGCTACCCGCAAGGCCCAGACCGCCCAGGACTTTGCCATCATTGCACTTGAGGGTGAGCTGGGGCGCCAGGACACAGGGGGCGGGTTCAGGGCTGCCGAGCTCATTCCCTCCCTTCTGCTGAGGTGGGAGCAATGCCAGGAGGCATTAAACCAGCGCTCACTACACACCAGGCCGGTGCACCATCTCACCCTAAGGGCCCTGTGTGGAAGCCCTTTTTTATATTTAAATCTTTTTAATCTTTTTTCCTTTTTTGAGGCAGAGTCCCACTCTGTCTCTCAGGCTGGAGAACAGTAGTGCGATCACAGCTCACTGCAGCCTCAACCTCCCTGGCTCAAGCAATCCTCCCACCTCAGCCTCCCAAGTAGCTGTGACTACGGGCAGGGACCATCTTGCACCATGCTAATGTCCAAGGTTATTCTGTTCACCTGGCTAATTTTTTATGGTTTGTTTTGTTTTGTTTTCAGAGACAGAGTCTCACTATGTTGCTCAGGCTGGTCTTGAACTGGGGTGAAGCGATCCTCCCGCCTGGGCTGAGGCCTTTACTTTTTTTTTTTTAATGATGTTACCCATTTTGCTGTTGAGGAAACTGCAGCTTTGGTCACTTGTCCGAGTTCACACAGCTCTGCCCAAGGGACAGAGCAGAGATTTGAGCTCAGGTCTCTTAACCATCATACTCTACTGTCTCTGCCCTTGGAAATTACTAGAATTTCAGTATTAGAGGAGTCTTCAGAGGCTGGAAGAGTGCCAGTGACCTCTAGACTTGCAATTCCTCTCCCTGCCTGAGACCTCTTCAAGGCAGGCTCTGTGTCTCACCAGCATCCTGGGTTTTTACCTGTTTGTTTGTTTCTCTATCTCCTCCTTTAAAGCTGCCAGCACCCGGAGTTCCTTACCCAGCACCTCTGTGTATGGTTGTTCAGGTTGTTCACTGCACACGTTGCCCAGCCAAGAGGGTAGGTGAGGACTGAAATCCAGCCTGCACCTCATTTGCCAACCCATCAGCCCTGGCACTGGGCTGTGCCCACACAGAGGAGGCACCACTTTCTCATTTGTACAAAGGAGCAGTGGGGGCTGGCAGAAACCCTGTCCTTACAAACAAGTTTAATGGTTCCCCACCTCCTCCTTCATTGCCACCAAAACAAACACAACACAATTCTGTTCCTTCTAAGGATTTGTCGTAACAAAGATACCAGCCAAACCCAAGCAAGCCCCACAGGTATGGGATCCTCCCCAGGTGTCCTCGTCACAGCCTGTGGGTCTGCACTCCTTGAAGGTGTGAGGCACCCAGGAACCTAAGCCCTCATTCCTCACCCCGACCAGACAAACATTTGTCTTCCTTTTTGTTTCTTGTTTCTGTTTCTTAGAGACGGGTCTCATTGCTCTGTTGCCCAGGCTGGAGTGCAGTGATGCAATCATAGCTCACTGCGGCCTCAAACTCCTGAGTTCAAGCAATCCTCCTGCCTCAGCTCCTGAGTAGCTGGGACTACAGGCATGTGCCACCACACCTGGCTATTTTTTTACATTTTTTCTAAAGACATGGTCTCCCTACATTGCCCAGACTGGTCTCAAACTCCTGGGTTCAAGCAGTCCTCCCATCTCAGCCTCCCAGAGTGCTGAGATTACAAGCATAAGCAACCGTGGCTGGCCTACTTTTAAAGTACTTAATGCCTATTTTAATCCTTTTCAACAATCCTGTGCGGAAGGATGGCCAGGGTTAATAATTACATCCCCGTGTTCCACGTGAGGAAGCCAGGGCACAGAGGTTAATTGTCTTGTCCAAGGTTATTCTGTTAGCCAAGACTTAAGCCCCGGCCAAGACTCCTCACTGCCACCGCCTCTGTGCACTTTCAGCCTCAGACTTAAGGCCTTGTGCTAACAGGGTTGCAGCGCCACCACCCCCTCCTGAGGCCCCACGCAGAGGGAACTGGAATCAGACTCCACAGGGCCAGGCGGTTCCATATGTAGTTCTAAGCAGTTAACTTCTGAGCTTGTGTCTTTATTAATAGAGGAAGAGTTGAGAGGAAGCAGCATTTATCAAGAAATTACAAAGCGCTGTGTGAAGCCTCTGAAATGTATTAATTCATTTTATCCTCAGACTATCCATGAGGTGGGTATAATCATGATTGCTATTATCCCCATCCTCCGTCCATGAGACAAAAGACTCAGAGAGGTTAAGCAACTTGACCAAAGACCCAGAGCTAATAAGTGATTGAGGGAGGATGCAAACCCTACAGCCTGAATCCATGTACAGCAGTAACTGGCACCACTTGGGGTTGCGGATAGCAGAAGAATTGATGTACACAAAAGTTCTTGTTTGCTCTTATGGCTGCTTTTTGCCTCCTCCCCTGCTGAGGTGGGGTGGCTGGGGGGACCGTCTCTCCATGGCTTGGTGACCCTGAAGGGGGCTTCTCGCTCCCTGCAGATGGCACGCCCCGCATCGTCTCGTCCTTCAGCGAGAAGGTGGTCAACCCCGGGGAGCAGTTCTCACTGATGTGTGCGGCCAAGGGCGCCCCGCCCCCCACGGTCACCTGGGCCCTCGACGATGAGCCCATCGTGCGGGATGGCAGCCACCGCACCAACCAGTACACCATGTCGGACGGCACCACCATCAGCCACATGAACGTCACAGGCCCCCAGATCCGCGACGGGGGCGTGTACCGGTGCACAGCGCGGAACTTGGTGGGCAGTGCTGAATATCAGGCGCGAATAAACGTAAGAGGTGCCTGTCTACATTTAAATATCAGAATAGGTTTTTGAGTTCCTTTGCCATCTCTGTGGTTACCATTATTCTTGTGCTGATTAGTACTTATTATTAATCGTCATTTTGATTTTAGTAGAGGTCTCTCTCCCCTCTCTCGTCCCCTTTTCCTGCCCTCCTCAAGCGCCATCATCCATTCTTGTGTGCGTGTGTGTGTCTGGTACAGTTCACCCTCATTCACCTCCCCATTCCCCCTCCTCCTTCCTCCTGTCCAGAAATCCAGCCAGCCCAGCCCCTTCTCTTACCCTCTAGCCCATTCCTCCCCATCAAATCTCTCTGGGGCCCAAGTATGCTAAACACCTGCTGGTATCTGCCAGCCCCACCAGGGCCTTGTAAGGGCAAGACAGTGCAGGGGCTGGGGACCAGGCTTGGTCTTTAACATGGTTGCCCACCCAAGCTGTGCTCCCTCTGTCCTCCCACTGAGCCAGCCCCCAAAATGCTCCAGGAGGTATAAGCAACCAGGAGCCAGGGCACCATCTTCTCCCGCAAGGCTCACACCATCAAGAGTAAGAGGCTGAGGCTGGGTGGGGGTGTCCCAAGGAAGGCAGCCTCCAAGAGTGGGGAAAGGAGTCCTCAAGGGCATCATCCCCACATCTCAGTTCTTCAAGTCACTGTGGTGAGAACACAGTCTCCTCTGAAGCTCTTTGTAGCCCGATGGGGTCTGACTGGTCTTCATCTGACCCTACTGCTGACCCCTGACCCAAGGGCAGAGGAGCAGGGGGACAGCAGGAAGGGAAGGGGCACTGATCCAGGGGCACCCCTGGTTGCCGTGGGGGTAGGAAAAGGAGCAAAGGTGGAGTTTCATGTTGAATTTGCCTGTGCCAAGCCTTGGACTCCTGACAGAAGTGTGGGTTTCCCATCTGGCCACCCTCCTGCCCTCTCCTCTGTATTGGAAGGGGGACAGAGATGCAGGGCCCTGGAAGATTTCCCAGTCGGGCCCTGGAAGATTTCCCAGTTGGGCCCCTCATGTTCTGGATGGGGACCTGAGGCCCAGAGAGTACCTTGTACCCTGTGGAGCACTGTCTTGCTTGGTAGCCTCTGAACTCCCTTTCCATCCCCTAGATTGCCATCTGCCCAGCAAGCCTAGCCCAGGACACTCTCTCTCCCCAGCCAGCACTATCAGAGCCCCTTTCACAGCTCCTTCCCAGGGGCCTACAATACACATTTACTTGTTGAACGAAAGTCATCAGCTCACCTGGCGAAGACCTTCCTGTTGTTTTTAAGTAATTAACTTAAATTCCTTTTGGGTACGAGATCAAAATAAGCAAGTAGAATGGAAACAACAAAATCTCTACCTTTCCACTTTAATCCCAAAATCTTAATCTCCCCATAAATGAGGACTTGCCCTCCCAAATCCCAGTCACTTCTTGGTGGGGCTGCAGTTTGGTCCTATCCCTGTCCCACGAGGGGAATGGCTCTTGGCCAAGGCATGTATATACTGCGTCCGTTTGCAACTCTTTGAAGCTAGTAACAGTGAGTCCTGGAGAGACTGTGGGCACCCCCCAATTCCAGCCCCTGTCTGTAGCTTTGTAAAAAGGCATCCCTGTGCCCCCACCAAATGTCCGCCCCCGAAAGTCTCAGGGGCCGAGTGCCTGAGAAGAGCACCGCAGGGTGGTGCCTGGCTGTCCCTGGCTGACAGCAGCACATGCCCTTCTCCTCCTCCTCCTCTCTTCTGACTCCTGCCCAGGCCCACCCAGCATCCGGGCTATGCGGAACATCACAGCAGTCGCCGGGCGGGACACCCTTATCAACTGCAGGGTCATCGGCTATCCCTACTACTCCATCAAGTGGTACAAGGATGCCCTGCTGCTGCCAGACAACCACCGCCAGGTGGTGTTTGAGAATGGGACCCTCAAGCTGACTGACGTGCAGAAGGGCATGGATGAGGGGGAGTACCTGTGCAGTGTCCTCATCCAGCCCCAGCTCTCCATCAGCCAGAGCGTTCACGTAGCCGTCAAAGGTAGGCCTCCCTCACCAGCCAGGGCCCCTGCCCGCCTGACCACCCAGGATGCGTGGGCCTTTCCCCAGCTGGGACTCAGACAACAATAGGCAATCCTGGGTGAACGGAAGGCTGAGCAAGAGAGGCCCCAGCTTGGCATTCAGAAAAAAGGGAGCAGGGCAGAAGACTGTGGGTGGACGCAGGCCATGAGCTCCTCTACATCCGGGGTCCTCCTCGGGCTGCAGAATAAGACAGCACACACCCCAGGTGCATGAGAGGGTGAGTTACAGATAAAGGAGGCAGGCTGCCTTCTGGGAGAGAGGCCAGGTCAGAGATGGGCTGCATGGGGCCTCTGCTGTTGGGATGGAGCCCCCAGGAGCTCAGCGGGCCCACACAAGGAGGCCACAAGCAACAGGAGGCCAGGGTTGACAGAGCACGCTGGGAGCCCTGACCCCCTGTGGGATACACAGTACCCAGGCTGCTTCTACAGGACTGGGAACACCCTTCCACCTGCTAGTACTGCTTGAGGCCTGGAAAGTGCTGTGTGGTGCTTAAAAGCCTCCTCCCTCAGGCCGGGCACAGTGGCTCACGTTGTAATCCCAGCACTTTGGGAGGCCGAGGCGGGTGGATCATGAGGTCAGGAGTTTGAGACCAGCCTGGCCCAAATGATGAAACCCCGTCTCTACTAAAAATTCAAAAATTAGCCGGGCGTGGTGGTAGGTGCCTGTAATCCCAGCTACTTGGGAGGCTGAGGCAGGATAATTGCTTGAACCTGGGAGGCAGAGGTTGCAGTGAGCCGAGATTGAGCCATTGCACTCCAGCCTGGGCAACAAGAGTTGAAACTCTGTCTCAAAAAAAAAAAAAAAAAAAAAAAAAAGCTTCGTCCCTCCTGGGCCCTTGACATCCACCTGGGTGAGGTCTTTGTTTCATGCCTGGTCCTGGGTAGCCGCTCACTAAGTCTGTGGATCAAATGAATGAGTGAATATAAATGTTCAAATACATGAGCATGTGAGTCAATGACAATGTCTCCTTGGTTCTGGGGCTGCGAAGGTCTTCGAAACCCCCAAATACATTCTTTGGGACTGACAGACCTGGAGACTGTCTGGATGGTGTGTGACAGGAGGGTGGCCTGGTTTCTCTGGGGCCAGGCTGGGGAGGTGGATACCCCCAGGCTTGACTAAGGAGAAGCCTGTGAAAACCAGGCTACAGGGGTTGGGTACTGAGTCAGCCACGGCTGTGATGGCTGAAGAGCTTATGTCTCTTCGTGAAGAGCCAGGATGGGCTCAGGCCTGGGGAGGATAAGTGGACAGGCTGTCCTCTGCAGCCTGAGGCTACAGAAGCATGAAGACCTCAGCCTGGGGCTCCGCCTGGGAGGAAGGGAGGTCTGGGGGTCTCCAGCCACCATCCTGGGCTATCGCAGCAGGCTGCGATGGTTATAATGATCTGCCACTGTCACTGCGGCAGGCGCACTGTGTGCCTCTCACATTGCTCCATGCTCCACGTGCAGTGCCATCTTCGACCCCACAGCTGCCCACTCAGCTAAGGCAGGTAACATTTCCTCCCCAGTTTTCGGGGCAGAAAGTGGAGGCATAGAAAAGTTAAGAAAGGCCGGGTGCAGTGGCCCACGCCTGTAATCCCAGCACTTTGGGAAGCCGAGGTAGGCGGATCACCTGAGGTCAGGAGTTTGAGACCAGCCTGACCAATGTGGAGAAACCCTGTCTCTAGTAAAAATACAAAATTAGCAGAGCGTGGTGGCACATGCCTGTAATACCAGCTACTTGGGAGGCAGAAGCAGGAGAATAACTTGAACCTGGGAGGTGGAGGTTGCAGTGAGCTTAGATCGTGCCATTGCACTCCAGCCTAGGCAACAAGAGTGAAACTCCATCTCAAAAAAAAAAAAAAAAAAAAAAAAAAAGAAAAAGAAAAGAAAAGTTAAGTAAATTGCCATCTGGTGTCAGAATCTTTCCCAGGTCTGCATAACTCCAGAACCTGGGCTCCAACCGAGAATGGCCCCGAGCCAGGGAAAGGACAGGCTGGAGGGAGGACCGTTTGCTCCATGCTCTGCCTTAGGAATAAAGACATAGAGCTTCTGGGACTGCCAGGGAGGGTGTGGAAGAGACAAGAGTCCTTGAGAACTCTGAGGGCCCTGTCACCTGGGGGCTTCCCTCTCCTGAGCATCTGTGTCACAACCCAGGGCAGTGGGGAGGGGAAGCTGGGGAGAACCCCCTTTGTATCCCCAAGGGAAGAGAGGGAGGAATAGCGTTGACCAGGGGAGGAGAGCTAGCAGGAGGCCCATGGAAGGAAGAAAAAGAGAAGAGGGGTCCAGGCCTGGGAAGGGGCTCTGGCATGGGGGGAAGGCCCTGGGGACCCCCTGGCTGCTGCTTTGCCCAAGACTGGAAGCAACATGGAACACACACACTATCGGCAGCAAGAGGGACATATGGGAAGAGGAAGGGTTTGTGGAGGACCCTCAAGCATGTGATATCACTGGACATCCGGTGGAAGGGCCTGGTGGCCAGCTGGAAGGACTGAACGTGGCAGTGGAAGGCTGGGTGGAGACTTCTCCCCCAGCTCCTGCCATCAGTGCACAGGAGCCGAGTCACAAGCCTGTGTGCCCAACACCCATCACAGTGCCAGACAGTGTGTGCTTTGAACTGAAACTGAGACATTAGGCTGAGTTGGAGTGACTTACTAGGAAACCTCACTTTGAGCCCAGGAAAATGGACTTTTTTTTTTTTTTTTTTTTTGAGATAGAGTCTTGCTCTGTCACCCAGGTTGCAGTGCAGTGGCGTGATCTCAGCTCACTACAACCTCCTCCTCCTGGTTTCAAGCAATTCTCCTGTCTCAGCCTCCTGAGTAGCTGGGACTACAGGCGCACGCCACCACGCCCAGCTAATTTTTGTATTTTTAGTAGAGATGGGATTTCACCATATTGGTCAGGCTGGTCTCGGACTCCTGACCTCAGGTGATCCACACACCTTGGCCTCCCAAAGTGCTGGGATTACAGGCATGAGCCACCGCTCCCGGATGAAAGTGGACTGTCAAAGTCTACTTTGAGAACTTACTAGGAAACCTCACCGTGGCCATCTGAGGTCTGGGAGGAGAGAGGAGACCCTCACAGCCAAACACCCATTTCCCTGCTGTTGCGAGGGAGCCATGTGGAAGGGCATCCTGGCCACTTTCTCTGCCCAGCCCAGGGGCCTTGCCGTACCACCAGGGACCTAACAACCCCCAGCCCACATCCCCGCCCCTGTCATCTGGGACAAATCAGCTTGGTGGCTGTGTACACAGCTCAACCTGCCTCCTTTAAGCAGCATCACGGGCCGGGCCGCCTGTATCCATTTCCCTTACAAGCAGTGGACCGAGAGTTTAAGTGTAAACATCACATATTAAAACATCTAACCTTTGCTCCACTCCCTGCGCCAGCCCTCACTGGCAAGCATTTGGTCGGGTTTGTTGGCTTAAAAAAAATAATAACGGGTGCAGCGGGCCTCAGAGGACTCGGAACGTCCTGAAAGCTGCTTCTGCTCATCAATTATTCAGCCCCATTCAGGGAGTGATCAGTCCTAATGAATTGAATCTGATGCATTCCGTCTCGGCGACTCGCTGGGCCTGTTGTGATGGTGCTGAGCGACAGTGTCTCTGCAGCCCAGGGAGAGGGAGGGAAGTGGGGGGAAGGGGAGGGGTGTGTGTGTGTGTGTGTGTGTGTGTGTGTGTGTGTGTGTGATCCTAGAGGACAGAGCCCATGCCTTGGCCACGTGTGAGTCCCCAGCACCCAGCATAAGCTGTGCATAGCAGGCATGTGTGTGTGTGTGTGTGTGTGTGTGTGTGTGTGTGTGTGTGTACACACGCTTGCATGCACACCTTCCCCCTTCCCCACCCTCAGGGTCTGAAAAAATCCCAGAAATCCAGCCCTGAGGCGGGTGTAGTCACCTGTTTTCTCTCTGGACCAAGAAGCAGCATGGGTGTGAGGGGCTCTGGGACGTGCCCCCACCACTCCAAAAGCTCAGGCCCCCTCATCCCCATTTTTTCCCTGACTCCCTCTCCCACCTCATTAGAATGCGCTTTTGCAGAAGAACCATCAGAGCTGATTATGATCACGCTGCTTGATTAGCGGATGCGCTGTTCCAAGAACTACCCAAGGAGGGGGGTGGAGGAGGTGCCCGTGGGCATGGCGGGGGCCCTGACTTGGAGGGGGAGAAGGGTGTGGGCCTGGGGGCAGCTCTCCAGACCCCACTGCTGCTGCCCGACTAGGAAGTGCATCCCACTCAAGGTTCAGAGCAGAGAGCTAGAAAGTAGAAAAGGGCAAGTTGCGGGGGCAGGGATGGTGGGGACAGAGCACCGGAAGTGTGAGATAAAACTGGAAGTCTCCCACCCCAGCTCTCTGTGGGGCCAAGGGTCAGTGGGCAGGGTGGGGCTGAAACCCATGCTGCTCCATGAGCCGGAAAAACAACTGCTGACTCCATTCCTTCTGGGACTGCTTGTCTTCTAACGAATTTTTCTAACACTAAGCTGCGAACAGCAGCACACGCCCAACATGCCTGCACATGTGTGCAGAGACCTGTGTGTGAGCACTCGTGCGTGTGCACCCTGGTACGTATTGCATGCACGTGCAGCCAATTAACACATTAGCCCATTCACACTTGAGCACACATACGTAAACATGCATGCCAGCAGTTACACATACGCAAGTGTGTTGTCCACCAGGGCCCTCCCGTAAGGCAACATTCCTGAGCCCAAAAAGTGGCTGCAGGTGGGACCATATGAAATATTGCCCAAGGGAGCCTGCTGTGTTCCAGTAAAGTGGGAGGAGCAGAGAGGAGAGAGGGTGGAGGGTGCTTTGAAGGCTGTGTGTGCCTTGGCATATGTGACACTGGCTGGCAGTGGAGAGCCAGGCTGCAGGGATGGCTGGTATTTGTCTCTGGTCATCCGGAGAAATCCTTGGCAGGATGCTAAGAGGAGAGCACACAGATCAAACCTAGATTTGGTGACTTTAGGGCCACCTGTAGCTGAAAAATAATGTAGCACAAAAGCATCTCTGGGCATGCAGGCTGAATGTTTAATTAACTAGGAAGGCAGGGCTGCAACTGGGGCCCCTTTGCATTGGCTCCGTGAAGAAACATCTCCATTCCTACATCTGAGCTTCCGAGGGCTTCTTGAGCCAAAACAAGGCCAAGAGGTGCTTTCTGCCCATGCTCAGCAGGACCAGGACAGGGAGGTGGTGCCAGGCTTCTGTGGAGGACAAGTGGAAGAGGGACATACTCACCCACACACAAACACCCTCTCTCCCAAATGCCCATGTTCCCTCCTCCCTCCCTAATTTTTCCCTAGCTGTTCAATGCTGAGCTTCAGCACTGCTCCACCCAGCCTCTGCCGTATGCCTGGGAGCATGTGCCAGAGACCCTCTCCCACCCTAACGAGTAGGTTGGGGGTTTCTATGATGATAAGCTTAAGGGAGAGTCAGCCACCTGGCCAAGTGCCTGCTACTGGTGAAGGTGGAGATTTGGGAGGAACCTCACTGGGATCCACAGGAAAGGGGCACAGCAGGCTCCCTAGGAGGAGATGGCCTGCATGCCATTTGGGGGAGGAACACCAAGGAAGCCACTGCCAACAACCTTACTTCCTCAGCCAAGGGAGCCAGTAACAAAGGAGGAAGCAAACTCCCGTGGGACAGACAGGGCTCATGACGATGGTAGTGGTGATGAGGATAATGACCACGAATGTCATTCATTCAGTGACATCTACTGTGCCTCCACTAGATTCCAGGCACTATTTTAGGTTCTATGAATACAGCTATGCTCAAAATAGACAAAAATCCCTGCCATCAGGGAGTTTACATTTTAGTGAGGAAAGGGATCCTACGGTAAATACCCCAGAGATGTCTCCTGTCAAACAGGAGAGAGGCTGAGAGTGCCAAGGAGACGGGGTTTGCAATTTCAAATAAGGCGATCTGGGATGGGCTTCCTGAGAAGAGAGGGTTGTGTAAAAACTTAAGTCAGCTGTCATTATTCCCAAAATATGGGACTTGTTTTAACTAGAAAATCAGTGTCTGACTTTAGTGATTAGTTGGTTCAACCGCTCCATTTTGCAGATGAGAAAACTGAGGTTAGACTGGATGGTGATGAGGAGGTGCCTTGCCCACAGTCACTTAAATGGGTAGCAGAGTCTGGAACCGGGTGTTTTGGGTTCCAGGCATGGCTAGTGCCCCATCTCCGTGCTGCAAGGGCAAAGAAGCCCAGACTTCCCACGGCGCACACTCTGCTAGCAGGTGCAGTAAATAAAAGGCTCCATCTCAAAGAGAGATGATGAGAGACACCATTAAATGTTTCTGAGCTGGGCTGGTGGTCAGCACGCCTTCCTCTGTGCAGCACTCCCAAACAAGTGGCCATAAAAGCTTTATGGTGACTGGACACTGAATGGCCTGCCTCGACCACTGTGTCTTCTCAGCCACTCAGGCCTCTGCCTCTTCACCATTGCAGCACCTTGCTAAAGATGACTGTGGCCAGAGCAGGGCTTCTGGGGAGAAAGCCCTGGGTTGTGAGGCATTCATGCCCCCTACATCCAGCTGCCTGCTAGGGACACGCTGGGACTCGGGGGCAGATCTGTAGGCTGGACTCCACAGTAAAGAGGGCCCAGGTCATCACCAGGGTGCAGGGGGTCAGACCCCACCTCCGGGAGGATGGCTTTCCCAGAAATGGAAATGGCCAGGCACACATGCAGCTACTAGCCCTGAGCACTGGAGAGGGCGCCGCTGACTCACAGGTCAGAAGGCAAGCCCCATTTGGACAGCCATGTACATATATGGAGGAGTCCCCACCCTGCTTTGGAGACCCCACTCACAGCACTCCTAGTACCGAATGAGCTGGTGGAGGAGCCATGATCCCTGGGCTCTCTTCCCCCTCCAGGCTGCCCGGTGTGTGTATTGACCGGATGTGAGTGGCTAGCCTGGAGTACCAGCCATGCATCGCACCTGCCCATCCCCCAGAAGCAGGGTTGGAGAGGAGCGAGGAGCCTGCCTTGGGCCTCTGGGAGGTCATCTGGTCATCTGCCTCCCAACAGCCCTCTGGGAGCGCGGGACCAGCCCAGCTGCATGTTTAACTCCCCAGGATGGATGTTGGCTACTTCTTCTTCAGTGGCCTCTCGGAGCTGTTGATGTTATTCAGAAGACCAGAAGGAATGACAGCCCCTTGGCTCAGCCTCCTCCGTCTCCTTCACCCCATGTATTGTTTGAAAGCATGTGTGTCCTTTAACTCTCAGCTCAAATTCCACTCCTCCATGAAGCTGCAGTCACCCCCAGCCGATGGCATCGCCCTCTGCTTGAGCTCAGCATCTGTATATCCAGGCGGTCCTTGTCTAATCATCTTTGGGGAAGTATCTTGCCTTCCCTAGTAAACGAGAAGCTCCCCGAGGCTCCGTCTGTAGCTGAAGTGTGTTTCTACTTTCCCCAGCCCACACGGAGCATAATGCCTTCACAGAGGAGCATTTCATAAATATTAGATGAATTAGTTAATTAATGAATTAACCTGCCTTAGTAACTTGCTCCATTATCTAAATTCCTCCTTACTGAGAGAGACAGTCTTCTTGCCTGAACTAAACCTTCCTGCCTGATTTCACTATGTCTCTATCCACTGGCTCTGGCCTCAATGGAAACATGGTGTTCTGGCCGTCTGTGCCCGGGCTTGGCCCTCCAGACTCCACAGCCCCTTAGCTTTCTCTCGGCTCTGCAGAACCTTCTACCTCCTTGCTTTGCCCATACATCCTGTTCTCCAGCTCCTCATCACTGCCTCCACCCTCCCCTTGCTCGTGTTCAAGCGTACACAGGGCTCTCAAATCACAGCAGCTTGTTCGGTGCTGTGACAGCAAGGGCTTGGCCCCTAGGAGGGACCAAGGGACCAAGGTTCCAGAACCCCAAAGCATCTCGAGGAGCAGCACAGACCCCCCCTCTTATTCTAGCTGAGCCCCCATCCTGTGCTTGCCGTACCCCCTGCCCTCTCGCAGGTGAACTTCTGAGGTCACCCTAGGAAATGATATTGAGACGTATGTTTGTGCATTTCCTCACCCGACAAGCACTCATCGGGCACCTACAGTTTGCTGGGTGAATAAGTCCTAGTTATATAAGGACTTATATAGGGAGTTACCCCAGGGAGGGGGTAATGCAGTTACCCCGACAGCCATGTGATACGTGCCCTAATCCAGGTGTGGACCGAAGGCTTCAGGGCTGTGTGGAAGGAAGGTGGGCTTCACAGAAGAGGTAGCATTTGAGCAGGATCTGAAAGGATATAGGGGAGTTTCCCAGGGGAGTTTTCCAGGAGGCCTTTGTGAGCAGGAGAAGGACTTGGCCAGAACTGGTTCTTCTAGGCCTAAGGAAACAAACTGGGCGGCACATCTGGGTCTCTGCTACAATCCATCAGAAAGCCCAAGGGAGCTGGGAGGCCTAGATCTGACCTAGGGATACACACCAACTAGGAGGGGGGTCAGCAGGGGCCCAACAAGAGAGATCTCGGGGAGGTCTCAGGAATGGGCATTGAGCCATTGCTAGAGTCAGGGCTCCAGAGAAATCTATCTGAAGATGTCTAAGGCCCGATAAACCACTCAGAATACTGGGGGCAGAGTCCCAACCCAGGAAAAGAGGCCGCCAGAGACTGGGATGAGGTGGTCCAGGCCATGACCAGAACCCCGGAAAAGCTGGCTGGGATTTAGGTTCCAGGTGGATCTGGAATAAGGTGGATCAAAGCCAGCTGGTAGGTGAGGAGCCCATGTGCTTGGGGATGAGAAGGACAGATGCCCAGTGGTGTTCACTCGGGCAGGCTGAGGTGTGGGGCTGTGGCATTCACGGCATGCTGGTGGGAGCACAGGCTGGAGTGAGCGCGAGGTGGAAGATGACATTGGAAGGGTCACCTGAGGGCCCTACTGACGGTCACAGAGGCCACATCCCTCCTAAATATCACTTCCTCTGGACCTAGAGCTCCTGATCAAGAACTCTCCCAGGATCCAAAGGGCTGCCTGGGTTTTTCTGTGTCCACACCTGGCTGCTCCCTGCAGGCAGCTCCCTTTTGAGCCCTGAAAGTGCAGGGGTGCCCTGAGGGCGGAGGGCCATGCATCTGATGCCATCCGTCTTTGCCCCCAGAGCCCATCCCCCACTGTGGCCACTCTGGATGGGCCCAGGGTAGAGAGTAGCAGGCTTCCAGGGAGGGGTGCGGCTGGTGCCTGGGAGAAGGCTAGAGGACTGTGCATGGCCTTGTAATTTAATTATTCGACTGCAGAAAGGAGATCTCATCTATTGGGTGCTCATCCTTGTTAAGCTAATTGTCTATCTCCTTCTCTCTTCTGCCCCACTTGCTGGGGAAGTCGCTGCAGCCTAATTGAGTTATCATAAAGATAATGGCTGATGCTCTAGCCAGAGCCGAGAAAGGAGGATCCATCTCACATCGACTCAGGCTCCAGACAGGCCATCCAGGGGCTGAGACATAGGCAGTGTTGGCAGGGGGGTGCAGGCTGCATTTCTAGCGGGAGGAAGGCTGGGTGGATGGTGCTTTGCCCAGAGGCATCTAACCAACTGGTTGTCCTGCAGAAGACAGGGCTTCCTCTCTGCTCTTTCCTGCCACCCAAGGAAGCTCACCTACAAGACAAAAAGATCTCTGGACCTGGTGTGGTGGCTCTTGCCTGTCAACCCAGAACTTTCCGATGTTGAGGTGGGAGGATCACTTGAGACCAGAAGTTTGAGGCCAGCCTGGCCAACATAATGACACCTGTCTCTTAAAAAAAATTAAAAATTAGCCAGGCACAGTGGTGTATACCTGCATTCCCAGCTACTTGGGAGGCTGAGATGGGAGGATCACTCGAGCCCAGGCTGCAGTCAGCCATGTTCACGCCACTGTACTCCCGCCTGGGTGACAGAGCAAAACCTTGTCTCAAAAAAAAAAAAAAAAAAAAAAAAAAAGTTATCTCTTGTCTCTTGTCTGGGCATGTCTGGGGCTTTCTTGGAGAGGCAACCAAGCCACACGGTGATGACACTTGGACTTGAGGAGCAGACCATGGGTTTCAAATCCCATGGTCATATCTTATGAACTGGGCAACCTAGGGCAATTTCTTTTCTGCTCTGAACCTGAGTTTTCTCATCTGTAAAATGGGGACATTATTGGTAGGAGGATCTGGTGAGATCATGTGTATAAAGCAACTGAACAGTGATGTGAGCTTCCACTCGCCTGTCCTGACACTCAATGACAATAAAGAGGGGTGAGGTGGCTGAGGGCCCTGTGGGAGACCCAGAGTTCAGTGCTCTGGTTTCAGATGAGCAGCCGTAGGACATGCATGGGGGACAGTCCCAGCACCACGCTTCCCCTCTTGCCACCGGGCACCTCACCTCTATCCCAGGCCCCCAGAGAGCTGTGAGCTGCATCACTGGGATGAGAAGGTGGGTACAGGGGTGCCGAGGAGCAGCAGGGAAGCTGGAGGGAAAGGTGAGCAGAGATCAGCAGGCATGAATCAAATTCCAGGACACATCAAAAGGTCAGAGTTAATCCAGGCCAGTCAAGGCCCTGAACAGAGACAGTGGGTCCCAGCCTGGGCGGGCAGAGGGACAGGAGCCAGGCATCATTAGGAGACCCTGCATGCATAGGAGAACAAGGCTGCAGTGCCCCAGGGGATCTTTGTTCAAGGCCCAACCCAGAGCCCCAGGTAAGGCAGGTGAGGCGGCGTTGGCGGCCAGGTGAGAATGCACAGGGTCCTGACGGCAGCACCCGCTTGCCTTCCCAGTGCCCCCTCTGATCCAGCCCTTCGAATTCCCACCCGCCTCCATCGGCCAGCTGCTCTACATTCCCTGTGTGGTGTCCTCGGGGGACATGCCCATCCGTATCACCTGGAGGAAGGACGGACAGGTGATCATCTCAGGCTCGGGCGTGACCATCGAGAGCAAGGAATTCATGAGCTCCCTGCAGATCTCTAGCGTCTCCCTCAAGCACAACGGCAACTATACATGCATCGCCAGCAACGCAGCCGCCACCGTGAGCCGGGAGCGCCAGCTCATCGTGCGTGGTGAGCAGGGACAGGCCAGCCTCAGGGGAGGGAGGAGCCCATTCTGCCTGCTGCTACTGCAGTCTCTAGATTTCCAGTTCCAATCACGGGCTCATGGAAGGTGGGCTCCAGCATCTTGAAGGGCCTGTTGGAGCCTAAACCTCTTATTTTCCAGGGCAGGAAACCGAAGCCCTGAGCAGAGAGACACTTGCTCAGTTAGTCAGTGGCAAAGGCAGGACTGGAACTCAGAGCTCCCAAGTCCCTACCCAGTACTCAACAAAAGTTCTCAGCATCTTGGGTTTCAGAAACTGCCCGCTTCCAACTTTATAATGGCCCGGGCAGGGCTGACCTCAAACAGAAGGTGCTCGAAGCCCTAGGAGACCCATCAGAGACTAAAATGGTCTGTTTCCCTACCTTCCCTCTTTCTGCAGTGCCCCCTCGATTTGTGGTGCAACCCAACAACCAGGATGGCATCTACGGCAAAGCTGGTGTGCTCAACTGCTCGGTGGACGGCTACCCCCCACCCAAGGTCATGTGGAAGCATGCCAAGGGTAAGCCCCTGGCCCAGCCAGAATCTCCAAGAAGGGCAGGGACGGGGAACGGAGGATGCTCTGTGGGATTTGAACCTGTTCCATGCAGGCAACTCCTATCCCTGGATGGGAGTCCTCTGGTCTGCACCCCAGTGGACCCCAGGCTACACCTCACCTGGAGTCATCCTCAGCCACCCCCGGGGGTCTGTGGACCAGGAACAGCCATCATGCTGACTCCGTATTTCCTCTTGTCCCCCCAGACGCGACCTCTCCTCTCCCATCTCCGCCCCAGAACTCAGTGTATGCCTGCTTTCCCTACCGCACCCTCCCCTGGGGCCCCAGAGCCTCAAAGCCCCCTGCTTCTCACCAGTCAACCTTTTCTGGGGTCAGGGTCCTTCTTGGAGCCCAATTTCATCCCAGGGATGCCTTTGCTTTCTGACTGAGGCCCAATCCTAGACTGTATTCGTGACTGACACTGGGGAATGGAGGGACAGGGGGTGCCCACAAGGCCCCCTTGGAGGATGCTGGCCTCTCTCCCAGGCCTGGTTGCCTGAGACCAGACAACTGCCATTTGAAGGCTCAATCTTCTCTCCACCTGCAGCCAACTGGCCAAACACAGCTCTTTCTTCCTCTCCAAGGAATTTACCCCAAAGAAGCTCCATGCCAGTGTCAAAGTGGGCATTGAGCTGAGACTCCCAACCCCATCTCCTTGCATCAGAGCTGGGGCAAGGCCAGTCCTCTGGTGGGGGGGTCTTTCCTGTTGCCCACCAGGAGCCATGTGGCCTCAGCACTTTGGGGATGGTGCAGCTCTGCTACAAAATGGCCCTAGATCTGCAAGAGCGAGGTGTCAGGGCCACTCCTGGGGCACTCTCAGCTTATGCCCCAGTGCAGACTCAGCCCTCCTAACAGCTGCCTCCTTCCAGGGAGCGGGAACCCCCAGCAGTACCACCCTGTGCCCCTCACTGGCCGCATCCAGATCCTGCCCAACAGCTCGCTGCTGATCCGCCACGTCCTAGAAGAGGACATCGGCTACTACCTCTGCCAGGCCAGCAACGGCGTAGGCACCGACATCAGCAAGTCCATGTTCCTCACAGTCAAGAGTGAGTCCTGTCCCCACACGCCCCCTAGCACCCCCAAATCACAGCCAAGCCCCGGCTCTGCACTCTCCCTGCCTACTCTCTTAGTCTCCGTCGTTTCATCTATGAAGGGGAGGCAGGAAGGCTTCCTAGTGAGAGGTGGCCTTGGGACCCTTGGATGGGGCATTCAAAAGCACTGTCATCTAAAACAGCGGCCTCACCCTGAGAGGCCCCAACTCACCCCACCCTGGTCACAATAAGCTCATGATTTGCTCTGCTGCAATATCACGTAGCATCCTGTTTACTTTGGTCTGTAGATTGGCGATTCGATCTGAATAATCCTATCAAACCATTTATTTTTGCTACTTAATATACACTTGCTTGTGTACAACCTGCTTGTGGCTTAGAAAGGAAAATAGCATATACACAATGTAGAAGAAGGGGCTATAGGTCAGAAAACCTGGGTTCCAATTCCAGATCAGCCTGATGAGCTGAGTGACCTTGGGCGAGTCACTCCCCCTCCCTGTGCTCCAGTTTCCTCACCTGTACGAGGGTTCCCTTCCCAGCCCACTGATCTCACAAAATTGTTGTGAGTCCTGCAGGAACTGATCTTGGAAAGAGGAGGATGCTTCAGAAAAGCCCAAGGACCAATGCAGCTCATTACAACTCGGTGCTGCCCCCACGGCTTCTAAATCCCCCTGCCCAGAGCCAGCCTCAACGGCCCTAGAAGCACACTGCCTATTTGCTATCCCAGGATTTTCTTAAGTCTCATACAGATATCCCTACTGGGTGAGCCTCTCCCTTTACGCTGCAGGTGTCTGTATAATGGATTCCTGGGAATCACATCAGAAGGGCCACGTCCATCTGGCCCCATGTCAAGACATGGCTATAAGGGCCTGAGTGTTAGCGTCTGACCCGGCCAAGTATGAATCTGGGAGCCAGGACTTACTGTCGTGGGACCTTGATGAGCATACTTGGCCTCGTGCTACTTCATTTTCCTGATCTACACTATGAGCGGGGGGTTGGGCTCGTAATAGGGCCTTACCCGTTACATTTCATGTCAAGAGCGAGTCAGATGGTGTAAGTGAAGCAACCGGTATGGTAAGTGGCCAGCAAAGATTTCATGACCTGGCCAGCTTTGTTATGTGTAGTGGCAGTCCCTCCAGGGTGCAGGTGGGAAAGCCTGCTGATAGCATAGCCCCGTGTGTGGTCTGCCCAGCCTCTCCCCAGAGTTCCCACCTTTAAGAATCATAGCTTCTTTATCACTTGCCAAAGCCCGCGTTCAGCTCAGCATAAGACAGGGAAGCCCCAGCGATCGATGCTCAGGGAGCTCCGAGCCGGAATCCCCGCCCTGGGGAGCCACTTCCCTCACACTATCAAAAAGCACTTTGTCCTTAATAAAACCAGGCAATCAATCTACATCCCTCAGCTTGGGAGAGCTTGGCTAATTCTGGCTGCGCGAGGCGGGGGAAGAGCAGGCACCTCTGCAACCCTCCTCATCTCCCAAACTCGTAGATGCTTTTTCGCTGTTGTTGTTCTTTGCCTTTTCCTTTAAGTTGGGGGATTCCGCTGAGCTGCCGGCTCTGTGGCAAGTAGTTGTTCCATGGAGATGCAGGGGTCGCGGGTGCCGGAGGACACAGCGGTCAGGAGCTGGGCTGTGTGTGAGGGGACCCCACGTGCCTCAGGCTGTCACTGATGCCCTGGGCCCTGGAGCAAACCACTTCCCCTGGCGGGCCTGTACTTTTCCTATGCCATCCTCACTTGGCAACCCAGCAGCAACTGCAAAGTGCTCTGAGGGGTTCAGAAGGAGCATATTTGGTAAATCCAGGGCCACCTCCTGAACACATGCTGCACAAAACCTCACGCACCACACACACGCTGGGGCTCACCTATGGGGCCCCATCTTCCCAAGGGAATGGCAGGAGTTTCCCACTATGCCAGTCACTGCTGGGCAGAACCTGGACCTGGCTTCCTCCTTCCTTTCCTCCCCCATGTCCTCATCTGCAGGCCTCGGTGTCTTACTTCAGTTCTCTCCTGGTAGGGCTAGCGACACACCTTTCTTACACAGCTGCTGTCTCTCCACACCTCGGGGTCACGTCATCCCGCTCAGGGCACCTCTGATCACCCTCAGAACCTCTCAACACCCACTCATGGCTCCTGCGTGGCTCTCAGATGGGCTGCTCTCCAGCCTTGCCACACACACACTCCCTCTCACACATCCTCCGTTTCTCACACCCCTCCTGTCACAAATGTCCCCTCCCATTCCGGCCCCACTCTCCCCAGTGACCTGCCCCAGCCATCCCAGAGGCCCTCATGCCACCCAGAATCCAGCAGGAGGGGAAGAGGCAGGGCCAAGGACATCGAAGGCTCCAGGGCAGCAGTCATGGAGGCTGGCAGGGGCAGGGCCTCTGTCTGGGGTTGGAGGAGCTGACTGTCTTTGTGTAGCAGCCTGCGTGAATCTGCACTGTATCTGGCTGCCAGAGGACACTGCTGTGACAAGGCAACACTGTCGGGGGGCGGGGTGGAAGTGGGCACTGGGTGGACTGCTGGTGCACCTGGCCTTCTTTGGAATATTTGTTCTGCCTCCTGCTGCTTCGAGGCAGGTGCCTGTTCCAAGTAACCCCCCGCCCCAGCTACTGCCCTGCACAGCCTCTCTCCTTGCCTGCTCTTTTCTTTCCCTCCTTTGCTTTTCCTCAACCTGATAGCAATTCTCCCACTCCCCCATTCTGATTTCAGTTTAAAGGGCACAGGTAGGTAGAACCTTCGGGACCTGGTTACCCATGCCCTCAGCAGGAGAAACCATTCCTCGTCATCCCTCAGTCCATCTCAAACGCCCACATCATCGCCCACTTGCAGAGCCAGCCACAGAAAGATCTACCATTTGCAAAGCCAATTCAAGGTTTGCCTCAATGCCCCTAATACACTCGGGAAAGTTTTGACCCAAAATAACTTTACCTTTCCAGAACTCACACTTTCATGAACTCTCAGAAAGCAAACTGATCTTAATCCCCACTTTGCCCAAGCAGAAGAAAGAAAATAAATCTATCAAAGGGAATATAATAGCAGAGAAAGCCTCCAAGTGTCAGATTGGACGTTTGTGGTTGGCTTCTAATGGGGAGTGTCTATACCATTGATCCCTGCAGCTTCCAGTGATAACTCAGCACTCACTTAATGGTGCTCCCTGAGCACTCACTAAATAGGTCAATAAAGTGTGGTGATTAAAAGCACAGACTTTAGAGCCAGGCAGCCCTGGGTTCAAAGCCCAGCTCTGCCACTGGATAGCTGTGAGGTCCAGGACAACAATCTCTGTCACCCCAATGTCCTCCCCGGTAAGTTTGGAATTACTGTGTAGTACTTTGTGCGTTGGTAAGGTCTAAAGGAGACCATGCACTTACAGCAATTAATACAGTATTTGGCACAAAATACACATTCGATAACTAGCAGTCATTAGTTTTAGGTGCTAGAAACCTGGTGATGAGTCAGACAGAGCTGCCGTTCTCAGGGAATTTAGAATCTTGAAGAGGAAATAGACAGACACCCAAAACAACTATGATACACAAAATGATAAATGCCTTAAAAAGCTACAAACAAGGTGATACAGAAAGAATCTGAGATAGAGTCATCAATTTTAACTCTGGGGGTGAAGAAGCACGTGTCAAGAAAAGCTTCACAAAAGCAATAGTCTCTAATTAGGGCTTGAAGGATGAGAAGTATTTGGACAAGGGCCAGCAGGGATGAAGTTCACGCCCTTCCAGGGATGCAGAAACAGCACAGTGTGGAGACAGGAAGGCCTGTGACTGTCCTATGTTGAGGAAACTCAGGGTGTCTGGCAGAGAGTGACAGGGAGAATGAAATGTGAGATGCTATGGCCTTTGGAAGCTAAATGTTTTCTTTCTATGTAGAGTTGACTCTTGACACTAAGCTTCAAACAAGAGTTCCAGGAGTCCGAGGGTCTGGATGGGAGTCGGAATTCCCAAGCTAGTTCTTGGAGAACTGCTATGCGGAACCCTTTTCAGGACCACAGGGAGCTAAGGGCTTATTAGAGCAGGCAAGTGGTTTTCCAAGTCCTTGGACATCTTTGATGGCAACCAACCAGGCCCAAGTGGTCCCCACTCCTCCCTGAGTCTTGGTGTGGGTTGAACTCACGAGTGCCTAAGCACACAGTCCAGCATCGCCGCCTGCATGTACAGCATTTTACAGTTTACAAAGCCGTTCCCATACCTTGCTTGTGAGGTTGGTAGGCAATAGCTCCCTCTCAGAACGTCAGAGATTAGATCAAGGTCATTGGTTTAAGTATAGTCCCAGCTGAGGCCAGAACCTGCTTCTACGGACTGATGGTTTGGTAGAAGGATCACAGAGTAAAAAGGCTGGGTGCTAGTCCTGGCTCAGACCCAGTGGCTCTGCATCCGTGAGTTGTCCCTTCCTTTCTCTGGGCCTGTTTCCTCATCCATACAGTGAGAGGCCTGAACTAAGATCTAGTCACTAGATGACCCCAGTTCCCTTCCAGCTCAGACTAGCTGTGACTGTAGCAGCACGGGTAGTCTTTTCAAGACACCAGACCACCTCCCAGAACTTGGTTGAAAATAAATTTAGTTAACAGAAGAAAATACCACGTCCACAGAGCTGCCTTTTATTTCCCTTTTAAAATGTATTTTTAAAAAAAGGAAGGGAGATAATGACCAAAAGGAGGAGGAGGTCATTCCCCCTTCAACTGACACATGGGGAAAAAATAAAGCATCTTCAAAGAGAATTCTTCAACGAGAGGCAGGTACAAAGCCAAGCTGCCTAGTCCCAGGCATAAGAAGGCTGGCTGTGTTTTGAGGCAGCCATCGAATGGCAGTGCCCTCCTGGGACTCGGCCATCCTCTTATCCAGCAGGTGACCTTATTAGACAGGTCTCGTTGGACCTCCCAGACTCTCTTCCACTCTGCGAAGGCACCAGTGATTGGGTTCTAGACAAAGCCCATGGCCAATTAAACCCATAAGGGCTCTTTGTTTGGTCTGAGTTTTGATTTATTTGTTTAGCAAAATGTCAGACCAATTAAAATAAGGTCCCAGTGCCCTCAGCGAGCACACACCCAGCTGCGCAGCCACAACATCAGGAGCGGGGAGCTTGGGGCCAAACTCTCGTGGGGACTTGAGAAATGGAGGGGGCGGGCCTAGCAAAGGAAGCCCTCGGGCCTCCGTGGACCAGGTCACCCACCATGATTGGCCACTGGGACTGAGGTCAGGATGCAAAACTTTGGAAAAGTGCGTCTGGAGATCCAAGATGGTCCTCATTTCAAATTTGCCCAAAGGAAACTCCTTCTTGTCAAACAGAAGCAGCACCTCCCTGAGACCTGGGGGACTGGGGCCCCCACCCCTTCCACAGGGCAAGGAGTCTATGAGCCTGAGAAAATGGCTGCTCAGAGCCCACAAATCCCTTTCTAGACCACAGTCCAGGTACCCAGGGAATTCCCTGCTTCCAGGACCTCCCGAGGGCTCCTCCACAGACTGTCCTCCCACGGATGGGCCCTGCCACCGCCGTGACCCCTAGAGCTGAGGGACGGCTGTTGGCAGAGCATGTAAGTGGAGCCTGGGCACATGGATTGGGTGTCCACACACTATACTCACAAGGCCCCTCTCAGCACAGGTGACAAACTGAGGCCCCAGAGAGGGCAAACAACTGGCCCAAGATATTCCTGTGTGTTCCCCGGTGGTGGGTCCTATCTCGTCACAGACTGAAGCTCCTTGGGGGCTGGGGCTGGTCTTCGCCTCCCTGGGTGGGAACTCTCACTTCTGGCACCCAGCTCAGCACAGGCCTTTGCCCACTCTGGAATCTGGACTGGCTGACGGACCTCTAGTCCACAGGTCTGGTCCAATCCCATCCGGGCTCACAGGTCACCCCCTCTGCTCTTCCCTTCTCCCCTTGTGAGTCCCCCTGATTGGGCGAGTGGGGGACGGGATGGACTCTCTGCTGCATCTGCAAGCAGCAGGGGGAGGAGGCGGGGCAGCACTCAAGGGCTGAGGCCTGGGTGCTGAGTTACGCTGGCCTGGGCCTGGTGCTTGGCCCTGCCACAGCTGTGGGATTTGGGAGCCATCACCTGCTCTCTCCAGCCAGGTAATGATCATAGTCGGCCTCACCTGCCCAGCCTCCAGGTGGCAGAAAGGGCCCCACCCTGGCCCATGCCAAGCTAGGGAGTCCCCTCTGGAAACCTGGGGCCCAGTGCCCACCCCCACCTCCACCGCTGCTGGAGGGAAGGAGGGAGGGAAGGGAAGAGAGAATGAGCCATTGTGATGATTTCCATGGCAATGATCATCCGGCTGTCTCTTTGGCCTCATTGATTTTGAGACTTCACAGAATAAGGAGCAACACTCTGACTCCTGCTTCATCAAACAGAGGTGAGGAGAAAGGCTGGACACTTCCTCTCATCAGGCCAGGCTCCCCGCCGCAGCCCCCATTCTCAGAGGAGCAAGGAGTCAGTAAACCTCCTTGGGCCCTCGCCAGGAGGTCTGCAGCCCTGAGCCAGCTGCAGGCTCTCCCCACCCTCTGCAGAGCCCAGGGAGGCCAAAACAAGTGGTTCATTTAGGGGACAGAAAGGTTCTGATCCTTGTTCATGTCCCAGTGCTCCTCGCTATGCCCTGGGTAAACTGGGCATAGTCCTTCTCCCAGGGACTCAGTTTGCTCCTCTATTCAGAGGGGTCACCATCCTCCTGTCCCTTTCCCTCACCCACTAAGGCATGACTAGAGCTCAACAAGTGGGTTGCGTTCTGTTGTGCCAGTGGAGACTCGAGGGCATGTGTCGCCAGTTCCAGGCCCCAGCATTCAGAAGCTGTAGGCTTTTGTGCTTCAGGGAGCTATAGGAAAGATGAAGATAAGCCTGAACCAACGAAACATGGGAGATCTTACTGACCTCCCAATGCCAACAGTATCACTGGAGCAATCACATCGCATCCCAAACCTAACCCCAAAGTGGACGTTTGTACAAAAGTTTCAAGGTCGAATAGAACAGTCTCCATGTGGAACAATCTCCATCCTCGCCCTGGTCCCCTGACAAGCAGGGAGGTTTTATTAAAGGGATAGGAGGGATGAACCTGCCCATGCATCCTCCGGTTCCAGTTTAAAAGTGCTTGTCCCTAAGGGTCTCATCTGGGCTCTTACCTCCTTCTTAGAGGCCTTAGCCAGTGGTGGCAAAAAGCACATCACCACCACTTCACTCTCATCCCTGCAGTCCCCATGACCACAGCACTGAAGAGTTTCCAGATGGATCTGAGCTCCAAGGTACCATAAAGGGCAGAGACCAGATGAATCACAAAATTGTGTGTATCCTGTATGTCAGTTAAGGTGAAGGTGCCAGGAAATGCTCCGAGACAAAAGAGAGTCAAGGTTATCATGGGGCAGCTCTACTTAATAGATAAGAAAATGCAGGCAGGCACAGAGCTTAGCAGTGCCTCCAAGCCCTGCCCTAAGTGGGCAGCCCAGAATTGCTCCCCCAATGACAGTTGAAGCCCCTCTGAATGGTGGGGCCAGAATAAATTGTTGGATGAGCCAAGTAATAACCAGGTGCTTCCTGAGCAGCCCCCGGGTGTCCAGCCTGGTGACAAAGACTAACAGAGAGAAAGGCAAGATTGAAGCACCCTCCCTGCCCTCCAGGAACATACAGACTCGTTAGGAAGCTGGAACTGACCTTCAGGAAACAAGACAAGATCACGTGCTAAAATGTTTGGCACTGGAAGTGTGATGTGAGGTTAGAGAAGGAAAAACCCAAGGTGGACAGACGTGGTCAGATGGAGCTTCCCGGAGGGATGGGCTTGATTGGGTTTGGAAGGGCAAAGGAAGAAAGGAGGCATCCAGGTGGAAGGAGGAGCATGAGCAAAGACCCTGGGGGCAGGAAGCCCAGGCAGGCAATGAGGCGCTCACCTGACCAGACGGAGGCTGCTGGAGACTAGAGGAATGGGAAGTATGGTTCTGAAGTCTGGACATGATGCACTAGATGATAGGAATGATATTAAGATCTTGAGCATGGAATGGAGAGAAAACGGAACTCTAAGAGTCATTCTGAAGGAACAAATACCAGGCTTTGATGAATGGGACAGAGGAGCTGGGAGAATCTAGGGCTCCAGGCTGAGAGATGAGGATGATGGTCCCACCAATAGAAATGGAGTAGATGGGAACGGAGGGGTGGCATGTTCACTGTGACTGTGTCAAAGTGGAGGTGACAGGGGGTGCCCTGAGCAGCCGGATGCTGGCTGACACTCTGCCAGGATCCTCCCTAGAGCTGTGTGCTAGACCAGGCAAGCCTAAGGCTCCCACCCCCTGCCCCCCGCTAAAGTGACTCATGACTCGTGTGATTGGCAGGTGTCCTGTCCTGAGCCAGAAAGCAATGAGACTGGGGGCTGAGTGCAGATTCGCCTAGAAGCCTGAGCCTCCACCCACCCCTCCCTGCCTAGTCCTCTGGGCCTCTCAAGTCCACAGAGACTCTAGACGTGGCAGGATTCAGTTCTAAAGAGCATCTTCTCCTGTCTGTGTTTGCTTGCATTCAGCCCTGGCACTGTTCATCCATTACACAGCAAAGAGCTTGAGCCAGGTGCTGGGGAGGATATCAGGGGCAAGATGGGCTTGGTCTTTGCACACTCCTGCACCTGCCTGCCTACCGCCAGCTGGGGCCTTTGGGGCTGGGAGCATAACAGGGGGTGCACTCCCCATAAAGCAGGGAATGTGAAGCCAACCTGGCACCTAGGAAGCCCCCCTACCCTGGCCCAGCTCCATGGGGCAGAGGCTTGGCTACCATCCCTGGGCACTCTGCACTGAGAAGGTCTTATCACACACTGGATCCCTGCGTTAGTTTCCAGTGGCTGCTGTCACAAAGTACCATAAGCTGCATGGCCTGAAACAACAGGAACTTATTCTGTCACAGTTCTGGGAGGCTGGGAGTCTGACATCAAGGTATTGGCAGGCCCATGTGCGCTTGAAAGGCAAGAAGGCTTCTTTGCCTCTTCTGGTGGTTGCCAGCAGTCCTTGATGTTGCTCGCACTGTAGACACATCACTCCAGTCTCTGCCTCCATCACCACATGGCCTTCTCTTCCTGTGGCTTCACATCCTCTTCCCTCTATGTGGGTCTCTTCTCGTCTTATGAGGACACAAGTCCTATTGGATTAAGGGCTCACCTTACTCTGGTATGACCTCATCTTAACTTACATCTTGATTACATCTGCAAAGACCTTATTTCCAAGTAAGTCCCCGTTCACAGGTACCAGGGGTGAGGACTTCAACATATCTTTTGGGGACACAATTCAACCCACAACAATCCCATGCCCAGCCGGTGATCTGTTATTGACAACTCCATGCTTTCCAGCATCTGAAACTGACATGCTCTCCCTCCCTGCATCCTATAACTGCTGCTATCTGAATGCAAAATAGTTTCCTAGCCAAAAAATCCCTCTAGGTCAAGTCTAAAAGCCCAACACTCCTGTGCACAAAATCTCAGGGCAGGGTTCAGTAACCGGGTCTCATATCTGGCCAGTGGTCTATGTAACTGGAAGCCAGCCACACCCGTTCTGTATGTTGTGTTGTCTGTGGCTGCTTCCAGGTACAACAGCAGAGTGGAGTCCTTGCAACGGAGACCTATGGCCCACAAAGCCTAAAATATTTACTTCAGGCCCTTTACAGCTCTAGGGTATTCACAGCAATGACCTGGAAGTACCTTCCAAGTGATCAAAGGAAGATGGCATCTCCTTCTGTTTCTGAAAGGATTCTGATGTTCAGAGTCATTTTTCTCATGTCTAAAATGGAAATAAAAAATACTACCCACATCTTAGGGCTGTGTTTGGAGAAGTGAGGGTTAATGAGATAATTCATGTACAGCATTAGCCATGGTGCGTGCACATAATAAGCTTTCAATAAATGTTAGCTATTATTATTACTATCATTTTTCCAACATTCTTGGGAAAGTAGAAGACCAGGCCAGGCACAGTGGCTCACACCTGTAATCCCACCATTCTGGGAGGGAGAGGGGGGCGAATTGCTTGAGCCCAGGAGTTCAAGACTAGCCTGGGCAATCGGGCGAAATCCCATCTCTACAAAAAATACAAAAATTAACCGGGCATGGTGGCACACACCTATAGTCCCAGCTACTGAGGAGGCTGAGGCAGGAGGATCACTTGAACCTGGGAGATTGAGGCTGCAGTGAGCCATCATCATGCCACTGCACTCCAGCCTGGGTAACAGAGTGAGACCTTGTCTCAAAAAAATAAATAAATAAAAAGTAGAGGACCAGGCCTGGTGCGGTGGCTCATGCCTGTAATCCCAGCACTTTGGGAGGCCAAGGTGGGCAGATCACGAGGTCAGGAGATGGAGACCACCCTGGCCAACATGGTGAAACCCCATCTCTACTAAATACAAAAAATTAGCTGGGCATGATGGCGCACCCCTGTAGTCCCAGCTACTAAGGAGGCTGAGGCAGGGAAATCACTTGAACCCGGGAGGGGGAGGTTGCAGTGAGCTAAGATCGTGCCACTGCACTCCAGCCTGGTGACAGAGCGAGACTCTGTCTCAAAAAAAAAAAAAAGAAGAGGACCAGAGGCAGGGGGAAAACTGGGTCCCCATCTTCATTTGAGAACACTCCCCGTCCTGCGCGTCTACTCTTTAGCAAGGAGCCAAGAGAAGAGGTGACTGGCCCCATTTTAAAGCTGGACAAAGTAAGGCCTGGCGAGTTTGAGGGCCTCAACTGGACCCCCAGTGCAGCAGAAACAGCTCTGCAGTCCAAGTCCCCAACCATTCTCTGTGACCCTCACCCCTACCCCTTGCACACATACTGTTCGGCCCAGTTCTGCTCCCTGTGTACTGGAGCAGTGGACAGCCAGGGTCCCATGGGCCCCAGCTCCCCTGGCACCTCCCCACTGGCTCTTGGCGCTGAAGCTGATTGCTTCCATGCAATCTGAATTAATCTCATGCTTCAGGTGGAGCTTGGCTAATCAGGAGAGACAAGAAGCCGAAGTGGGTGCAATCAAATTAACAACGCCATGGCCCTGGCTCTTTAAGAAGGGAAAAACAAAACAGGCACCAGAAGGCACCCCCTCCCCACTCCGCCCCCAGCCTTTCCCAGGGGAGGCCTGGAGATGCCGCTGCCGTCGAAGGCTGAGTGAAGCGCTGCTCCCACCCGCCCCGCCGACCACCCGGCGCGCCAACAATGCCCCTTTGTGGCGGCTTATCTCACACCGCCAAACAGCACTGCAGCTCTTGTCGGGAACTTGTTAACAAGGAGCAGCGACACAAGGCTTTTGGGGGAGAAGGGGAGTGGGGTGGGTTGGGGAAAAGGAGGGGCCCCCTCACCTCTCAGGGGTGCATGTAATCCTTTCAGAAACAAAAGGCGATCCGAGCCTTGAACACACGGGCTCCCTGCTCCCTGACAAGGTGGGTTCACAGAGCCCTTGAGAGGCTTCAGGGTACCTGCTGTCCCTTGGAAAAGCCTCTCCCAGAAGGCAAAGAAGAGGACATCCAAGAAGGCATTTTATCGTCCCCAAAGCATCTTTTTTGGCGAAAAGCACTATGAGAGTCCCGGAGAGATTTCAGTTAGACTTTCAGGAGGACTTTCTGACAAAGTCAAGTCCCTTCCTGATGAAGGACACCCTAAGTTTGCTGCCCTTCTTCCAATCCCGTTGCCTCTGGGGTTGTCCTGCCAGAGGCAGCTGCTGTCATAGGAGGTAGAGGAGGGCTCATCCAGCCCTGGGGTTCTTCTCCAAACCACGTGAGAATTACCTCGGGGTAGGGATGGGGAATGCAGGCGGCCAGGCCCACCATGGAACAATAAGTCAGAGCCTGGGGGGCAGGGTAGGATCTGTGTAATATTTTTTAAAAGCTTCCAAGGTGATTCTCAGGTGTAGCCAGGCCTGAGAACCTCCTCCAGACCCTCCCCCAGACCACCCACCTGGCAGTGCAGACTAGCCTAACCCCTTGGTCCCCTGGCTCCCAGACCAATCTTCTTTCCCCCAAATTCACGTGCATTTTTCTTCAGAGAAGCTCAGCTTGGCACCCCTATTCTTGGGCCCCTGATTCTACTTCGATGTCTACTGGCCTTCTCTGATATTCATGGGGTTTTTTGTTTTTTGTTTTTATTGACACAGAGTCTCACTCTGTTGTACAGGCTGGAGTGCAGTGGTGCAACCTCAGCTCACTGCAGCCTCCACCTCCTGGGTGCAAGCAATCCTCCCACCTCAGCCTCCCGAGGAGCTGGGATTCCAGGCACACGCCACCATGCCCAGCTAATTTTTGTATTTTTAGTAGAGACGGGCCATGTTGGCCATGGCTGGTCTCAAACTCAAGTCAAACTCAGGTCAGCTCAAGTGATCCACCTGCCTTGGCCTCCCAAAGTGCTGGGATTACAAGCGTGAGCCACCACACCTGGCCAACATTCACATTCTTACGTCATGGATGAGACCACGAATGACCTGGGCCATGGCCTGACTCTGCCAGTTACTAGCCATGTGACCAGGGGCAATTTATTTATCTCAGCCTCAGTTTCCCCATCTGTGAAGTGAAAATAAAAATAGGGTTGTGTGAGGATTCCATGAGTTAATGCAGGTAACAGAACTCAGAACAGTACCTGGCACATAGTAAGCTCTCAGTATAACAGACTGTGATGATTATTATCGTAGTCATGCCCATGAATGGGGTGAAGATGTACCCAGGCTTCCTTTTGGAGTTCAACATTCCATGCCTCTGTTGCATTTTAGCAGCCTCTCCCGGCAGCCCGTGGCATTCTCATCCTGTTCCTTCAACATCCTCCTTCCCACACACACTGCTCGCTCGCTCCTCTCCTTTGGGTATTCACAACTGAATCTTCACTCCCTGGTGACTTGGGGACTTGTCAGAAACACCAGCTGAGCTCCAATCACCAGAGGAAAAGAGGCCAGGAGACAAAGACAGGGAAGGCCAGACTCACCGTTCTCCCCAGATCCTGCCTCCAGCCCCAGCCTGCCCTGGACTGGCCTCCTGGCCCTGCTAGCCCGGACCTCCTCCAGTGTTCAGCCTCTTTCAAAATCCCCCACTCACCTTCACTCTCCCCAGAATCTCTCCATGTGAGGAAGAAAAACCTACACAGGAGAAGGCTAGGATAAACCGAAAGAAAGGAGCTGGCCAGTTGTCAGAGGACTTGGGGTTCAGTCTCCTTCCTGCCACTCACCAGCTGTGTGACCTTACATAAATCACTGAACCTCTCTGGGCTTCCATTTCCTCACTGGTTCTGTAGGGGATAATAGAGCCAGGCCACCTCCTTAGTAAGAATGAAGCTGGAGGCAAAGGATGCAGCACTGCTTTGTAAACTGCAAGGAGCGGGCCTGCCCCAGCTTATTAAGTTGGACCCCAGTGGAAGCGGGGATCTGGGGGTGCTAAGTAGGGGCCAAGTAGGAGCAGAGTTTGCAATCCCCGTGGCAGGGTCTGGGGACCCCTAGAACTCTACCTCCACGCCTGGGGGTTGGTCAGAAAGTGTGTGGATGCCGGGAGTGAGTGAGGCAGCAGAGCTGTCTTGTGGTGTTTTAAAAATCTATCAGCCTCTCACATCAAATTAAAATGTAAATAGCAGCTGGTCCAAGCAGGACCTCAGGGGTGACAGGAGCCGGCCTGCGAGTAATTTCACAGACGGGAACCGGTTACATCAGATTCTGACAACTGTCTTGTTTCTGAAATTGATTTCCTCCCACCTCGGCTTGCTGCCCTGAAAGAGCCCTGGAGCAAGGGGAGGGGGTGATTCCTCTACGGCTCTGGTGCCTTTCTCCTCTCCGTGGTGCTTCCTCTTTGAGGGGTGCCTGCCCATCTCAACGAGCAGAAGGAAATCTGGAGTTTCCGCATGGTTATAAGGCAGCTTCCTGAGCCCCAGTGGCCCAGCAAGGCTCCCCGCTCCCCTGAGTGAGCCTAAGTGTGGACTGGGGCAGGCTGCCCTGGGGCACTGGAGGAGGACGGCAAAGATACCCAGTAAAGCTCTCCTTTCCACAAACACGAGCTAAGCCCTGGAATAGAGATGCTTCTGCCCTGGAGAGTCTCACAGTCACACACAAGGAGGCAAGGACGCTGCCGGAGGACACGTGCCATGCAGGGGATGCCCCGCAGGAGAGGCCTGCATGCAATGTGGGGTGTCAGGGAAGAGCCCTGGAAGTCATCAGGAAGCCTCCTTGGCCTCCACCAGAGTATGCCCCAATTTGGTCATCACAGTGCCAGGCACTGTAGCAGGTGCTGGGGACTGTAACTGAGGCTTGAATGAAATGGGCCGTCTTCACACCAGGGTCTTCACTCCCCCAGGGTCTCAGAGAGAAGACCCTACCCCACCTAAAGCTGCTGTATAGGAAGGAGCTGTGTATTGAGAAGGAGCTCACCCACACCACTGTGCCTAGCCCTAGCCCTTCCCTTCTCTCAAGTCCCCAGAAAGTCTCCCCTGCACCCGTTTGTAAAGAGAAATCAGATTTCCCTGGCTGTTAATTGAATTAGATTGCAGGAAAGCAGAGAAGTTGTATTTCATTAAAGCCTCCTGTGCCCTACAGAGCAGTGAGGTGCTTTTGTGGCTGTCATTAGCATTTGTCACGCAGGACCCAGCCCTGTGCATATACCCCACCCCGGCTCTCCCGCCTGCACCCCTAAAGCAGCAGTCCCCACTGCCTGCCCCAGGAGTACCTGCTGCAGCTGCCCCGCCGCAGAGGCCACAGCTTTTTGGTGACAGCCAAATTCCATTTCCAAAAGCCAGGGACTGTATGCAAGGGTGGCAGACAAACAGATGGCTAGAGGTGGCCAGCCCCCTTAGAGGTGGAAGAAACACTTTCTGGAAGCCTCAGTTTCCTCATTTGAAAAGTGGAGATGATAAGACTTGCTTTCGTGGTTGCTGTTGGGAGGAACCACTGAACAACAGGCCAAAAGGCAGAGGCATCCAGCTCAGGGCCTGCTTTGTCAGGGGAACCTGGGCATGCGGGAGGCCATGGAGCTTCGTCAAGAAATACACTGAGACACAGGCTTTGGAACCGGGGCATAATAACAGTGCCTACCTCAGATGAGTTCATTCATGCAAAGTACTTAGAATCCTGCCAGGACATGGTAAGCACCCAATAAAAGGGAACTATACAAGTGTGTGTGTGGAGAGAGCCTGTGCTTATGGACTACAGCAGTGTGGGGAGATGTGTGTTAAACAAGCACATCAGGGTATTGACATGCAATTGATCATTGCATCGGGTTATGTGTGTGTAATGCCGTCCATGGGTTTATGGTAAGGGTGTCAGAGCATAGGCTGTGAGGGTGACTGTGTTTGTGACTGTCTGTTGAGGTGTGTTTCTGACACTGCCCCTCTGTGTGTGGTGTGTGTGTGTGTGTCTGTGTCTGTGCATGTCAGGATTTGTACTCCTGGTGAGTGCATATGACCATCTCCCCAGGGAATTCGTGGTGGCCGCCTTCACCCAAAAAGCCCTGTGAGGTACAGCTGGTCTCCATATAGAGAGAGTTCAATCTTGTTTATTACTGCGACTCAATGAAGCAGAGAGATCTTGTAGTCCAGAGCAAGAAGTAAGGGGGAGGTGGAAGAAGGTGAAGGATCAATGGGGCAGGCACCTATGCCCTGAACTTCCCCCTATTAAGGGGCTGCCTTGTTAAGCCCAGCAGTACAGCAGCCAGGAGGGCCAAAGCTCCTATTTGTGGGCACAGGAGGACACCGTGGTCCTTGGAGGCTGGGTGCAGGGCCGGATGGAGGGGCACAGTGGCAGAGTTCTCTGTTCTGGTTAGTTGGCAGAAGAAGAGGGGAAGAGGATTCCCTGCCTCTTACTGAGGACAAGGGGCTGAAAGCGCCCATCTGCAAGGACACGAGTACTCTGATTCATAGAACCACTTCATCAGACAGTGAGCCACATTCCCAGACCGTCTTTCCCTCTCCTGAGACCCGGGCACCCCCAAGGGCCCAAAGACAAGGGGCCCAGATCCAGGCCTTAATTGACTCCTTTCTGTGAGGCCACAGGTTGTCTACTTCCAATGCAGGGAGCTTGCCACTTCCCACTGTGGCCCTTTCCCCAAACAGCAGAAAATACTAGAACATTCCTTCTTAGGCCAAGTAGGAGGTCTTCCCTTCCCCCCTTGCAGTGTCTCTCCCTTGCTCCCTGGGTTACTAATTCCCAGTTCTCAGCATGCTTTGAAATCGGCCCATCTTACTGGTCACACTCCAGCCTGTCAATGTCCTTCGTCAAATAGGGTCCCCAGAACAAGACCTGATATTTCTTGGTTAATGTTAGGAACAGATAACCTGAGCTTGTAATTATGAGTCCTAGAGAGCTGAGAAATCGCATTCCCAGTGATACCGGGCCGCCCACCCTTCACAGCATCGCTGTGTGTTCAGTACTGCCCTCTGCAACCCATCCTCTTTTAAGATGCTCTTCTGCTTACCAGCAACGTGACCTTGGGCAAATTGCTTCCTTGCATCACCTCAGTTTCTCCATTTGCCAAAGGAAGGGTCTGTGTCACTGATCTATACCAGTTCCATTCAGTAGAACCATAACGTGAGCCAAATAATATGTAATTTGAAATCCCCTCTCTGTCACATGTTCAAAAAAATAAAAAACAGGTGAGATTAATTATAATAGTATATTCTATTTAACTCCATACATCTAAAATATTAACAGATAGTCAATATAAAACTTAATGACAGCCAGGTGCAGTGGCTCACACCTGTAATCCCAGCACTTTGGGAGGCTGAGGCGGGTGGATCACCTGAGATCAGGAGTTCAAGACCAGCCTGACCAATATGGTGAAACCCCGTCTCTACTAAAAATGCAAAAATTAGCCAGGCGTAGTGGTACGCGCTTGTAATCCCAGCTGCTTGTGAGACTGAGGCAGGAGAATCACTTGAATCCAGGAGGCGGAGGTTGCAGTGAGCCAAAATTGTACCACTGCACTCTAGCCTGGGCAACAAGAGCAAGACTCTGTCTCAAAAAAAAAAAAAAAAAAAAAAAAAAAAAAGGTATTTTACATTCTTTTTTTTTTTCTTCCTACATTTTTGAAATCCACTATGTATTTTATACTTATCACACATCCCAATTTGGGCTGGCTGTATTTCAAGTGCCCATTAGCCCCATGTGGCCAGCAGCTGCTACAAATTCAGTAGAACAGGTCTTCATCTGGGCTCTGCAATGCTAGGATGCTAGGATTCTGTGGAATCACCTGGCAAGTAACACCTGAAGCCAGTAACTTGTACACGTGTATTTTCTGAACTTGTAGGAGTAACAGACATGGGTCTTATACAGTCTTGCACTTCCCAGATTAACTTTTAGGGGCAAGGCCTGGAAGGAAGCTGGCAGTATTCCCATGGAAGGATATACATCCATCTTACTGCACCAGGTCTCTGCTTTCCTTCTTGCCTGAGACATGCGCCTTTCACATCCACCATTTTCACATCCACCATTTTCACATCCGCTACTTTCATATCTGCCACTTTCACATCCGCCATTTTCACATCCGCCACTTTCCCATCCGCCACTTTCACATCCGCCATTTTCACATCAGCCACTTTCACATCCGCCATTATCACATCCGCCATTTTCACATCCGCTACTTTCACATCCACTACTTTCACATCTGCCATTTTCACATCCGCCACTTTCCCATCCACCACTTTCCCATCCGCCACTTTCCCATCCGCCACTTTCCCATCCGCCATTTTGGGAGTTCAGCAGACCCAGTTTAGCTAATTGGCTGATTGCATTCACTTGCGCTGGCGAGGATGGAAAAGAAAATGACTTCTGACCTAGTTTTTTCTTTGAGCCTTTTCCATGGAGTCTGGTAATGCATGTCAAGCCACACACCCTTTTCCCTGCCACTTGTACATGTGAGGTAGTCCTTATTACCTGGCACCCAGTTGTTTTGAATTCAGGGGCTAATTATACCAGCCCAGTGGGGTTCTGGTTATCAAGCTAGGACCGGCCAGCGCTGGCTGACACCAGTAGGTGTAGCCTATGACACAAGGAACCATTGGCCAGGCCAAGAAGAGCCACTTTTGACACTTCAATGGAGGTTGACTCTGGCCAGGTCCTCTTTTGCCTAGGACCACATTCTCTGACATTTGCTTTCAGTACCACAGTCTGTCTTCAGGCCACAGACCTAGGCTTTTTTCCTCTACCCAAAAAGACCCTTGTCCTGACACACAAAATGAAAGGCAATAATCTATGTTGCACGTCACACGTTTCTATAAAAAAGAGCTCCTGTCTTGATGGAACCCCTTGGGGATAGGACTAGAATCCAGGTTTCTTAAGCAAGTGCTGTGTGGCAGGCAGTTTACATATGTGGGTTCACTTTGTCCTCACAATGCTCCGTGGGGCTCACAGAAGTTAGCTTTAAGGGGTGGAAGGCCACATAGCTCGCAGCCACAGAAGCAGATCCCAGGCTGGCCTGGCCCCAAGCCCCTCAAGCTTCTCTCCTCTTCCTCATGAACGGGCTCCCCTGAACTAGCCCTGAGCTAGGGGACTGTAAGAGTTGTGGTGTGTGATGCTCATTGCCATCCTAAGCTGGTGGAAGGGTGAAGGGACCCTGTCTCAGGCTCCAGGTATGGTTGTTACCACACACAGAAGGGCTGAGGGGCCAAGGATCCCTGGGGACCCTGCTGTCCCTGGCTGCCCACAGGGCTGAACAAAGCTGACTAGAAAGGCAGGTTCCCTGAAGTGGGAATGGCATGTATGGATACACAGGTTGTGCACTGCTCAAAAGTACATAGCCTCAGGGGTGAATGGGGTCTGAAACATGGTCCCTGCTTCATTGGCCAAGCTGTGGCTCCCGGCACCAGGCAGCACCCAGCCAGAGGCATGGTGGGGTTGCCTTTGTAATTCACACACAGGTCCTGGAAGGGTTAGTGCAGGCCTGCCTGGAGAACAGAACAGAGGTGTGCTGCAGAACTGTGAAGTCCTCCTACCAAAGAAAGACCCTCCCAGCCCCACTTACACACACACACACACACACACACACACACACACACACACACACACACACACACACTGTTCCTCTGCTTCTCTGTGGCTTCAGCAGCAACCTCTCAGGAACAGGATTCCTCCCCAGGAAGGAGGCCTCAGGGCCCGACCCATGGGGGTCCCAGTCCCCAGTCCGCTTACGAGCCTCCCCGACACCCGAGCTCAATTCTCCAGTAAAAAATGGAGGCATCTGCAATGCAAGTCCTGACTTGTTGGTGTAAAATCTTACTCTATATTCCACCCAGGTTTATACGAGTGAATTATGCAAATCTTTGATGGAAAAATATTCCTCCGCACATCCTTGAGAGTGTAAAACCTTAGTCAATAATTCATACTCGGATGTCTCTGACTGCAGGCTTTTTCTTCATTATAACTTGCACCTCGTTATTTGTCTTTTGCATTTTATTGTATATCCTAGTGTAATGCCGTGCATTATAAAATTTATCTGCTTCATTATTTGATGAGCTGGGGCTGGGGAATGTGCTGAGAGGCTGGTGCGGGGGCCTGGAGGCCAGGGCTGTCGTCAGCATCAAGTCCTGCATGACAAGGCAGCAGAGGAGGTGGCTTGCTGTGTGGTGTGACTTCGGGGAGCCTGAAACCTCCCTTCATCCACCCTACTCCTGTCCCAGACGCCTCCTCACCCACGGACTGGTGTCAGATGGCACCGTGGCAGCTCTGTGGCTCCCCTCATTTCTTCAAAGGCTTATTTGTCCATAAAAGTCAGACGTCCCTGGAGAGTTTGCTGGGAACAACTTTGCCTGAGCAGGCCTTTAAAACTAGGAGAGAGAAAAACCCTGAGAATACCCGGAAGGAAGGAGGAGAAAGGGCCAGCTGTTGAAATGGAGCAGAGACACGGTGCCGGGGCAGGGGCGGGGGGCAGGGGCGGGGGGCGGGCAGGGAACTGGGTTTTGAGGACAGAGAAGACAAAGCCCCTTTTTGCACGATTGCCCAAAGCAGGCCAGTGACCAGGATAGGGTGAGCTGGTCTCTGCTGTGACAAGAGGTATTCCCCTGAATGGGGGTGGGGGGTTTCCGATTCTTGCAGCCAATGACAGCCCCTCCCCATTTATATACTCCAGGATGGCTCCTGGGCATCCCTCCTGAGACAAGAGCCACTGGAAGGCAAATTTTCCCAGAGAAGAAAAGGACAAGGGTAGTCTCCAGCAGCACCAAATCACTGACCTTCCTGGGACCTGCCCCGCCTATGTCTGCCTTGGAGCCTTGGCTCAAGCAGATTCTCCTGCCTGGGCGCCCTTCCCTCTGCTCTCCCCATTTAAGTCTTGCTGGGTCAGGGGCCGTGCATTTCTCCCAGCATAGGACTCACCACTCTTCACTGAAATTGCTAGTCTTGTCTGTTCTCACCACTAGAGTGAAACTCCCTGAGATCATAGGAGTTTCAAACATGAGATCACGCCATGTTTGTCCTATTCACTGTCAGCTCCAGAACCCGGGACAAGACCTGGCACATAGAAGGTCTCAATGAATCCTTGCTGAATGGATGGACTATGCTTTCCCTGATGCCCCTCAGTCAAAGTTAATGTCTCCTAACCCTTTGATGAAACACTCATCAGATTTTCCTCCAGTTCATGTTGCCGGTGCAGGTATCTGTCTTCCCCTCCCTCCAGAGGCAAGGACCCTGTCTCATTGTCATGCGTACCCCCCAGCCTGGCACGAGGTCTCATGATGGCATAAGTGCCCCATGTGTGTTCATTGAGTTGGGCGGAGGAGAAAGGGGACAGGGTTTCGCTGCAGCTGAGACCATTTTTCCCCTGCCCCTTGCCTCCTGCTGCTGCCGCAGGTGCTCAGGCCCAGAGGAGGGGCCGGTGATTGACAGGCTTCTTGTCTGAGCAGTAGGGACGGGGGCTTCCGATGACCAGCCTGGGCCCTGGTTGTTTGGTGGTGATTTTCTCAGTCCTGTTAGCACTGCTTGTGGATCTTACTTCTTGTAGTGGTGTCCAGGGTTTTCCTTTGTATCTTGTTTGAAGGAACAGGAGGGAGATAAACAAGCCTTAGCTATAGAGAAAAAGCAGAGCCTTGGTGCTTTCAAGAAGGGTTCTTAACCTGGGGTCCAGAGGCCGCTAGAAGCTCTATAGATCTGATTCAGGGGGATCCATGAATGTGGGAGGAGGGAAAATCACATTTTTTCACTAACTTCTAACTGAAATTTAGTATTCCTTCCATTTTGAACATAAGCGACAGAATGCAGCAATAGCAGCCCCGTGACTGTCACCAGCAGAAATCCTCGGATATGCTCCCATCACATCACAGTGATTGCAAATATCTCAAAATATCACTTATACGCAGCACTATTACAGGATCATGGTAATATAAGACAGCAATTATACGAGCTACCACTGGATCTTATTTTGTAAAGAGTAGTAAAGAACACATACTGATAGGTGATATACGATATCGAAGGTTTGCTTGTTCATGTTTTTAATATTTGCATAACCATATTTCAATACAAGTGGTTTCCTTTATAGTTCTATGTATGGCATACCTGTAAAAGCATTCTGAGCACAGGCCACTCCCTCCCCAGAAGAGGAATGTGGGACCCCCGGTGAAGAGGGAGGCTGCCCCAGTCATGGATGGATGTGGGAGAAGGGACAGGCCAGTGGGGTTCCCTGTACTCCTTTATTGGAGCCTCTCCTGGGGGAGGAGGGCTGGGGCGGGGGCTTCTGCGCAGGGCACGCGTGCCTCCTCCAGGCTGGTCTCCCGACCTTCACTGGGCCTTCTCTGCCTCCGCCCCCCAGTCCCGGCCATGATCACTTCCCACCCCAACACCACCATCGCCATCAAGGGCCATGCGAAGGAGCTAAACTGCACGGCACGGGGTGAGCGGCCCATCATCATCCGCTGGGAGAAGGGGGACACAGTCATCGACCCTGACCGCGTCATGCGGTATGCCATCGCCACCAAGGACAACGGCGACGAGGTCGTCTCCACACTGAAGGTGAGCACCCCCACCTCAGTGCTGGGGGACCCCAACTCTCAGAGAGTGGGGAGCCCGCAGCTATCACATCTGCATCCAGGAGGCAAATGGGGAGCCTGGGAGCCCCTCCCCACACCCCAAAAATGTACCTCCCCTTTCCCACCTATTTCCCCTCTCCATCCAGGAATCTGTGTCTCAGAACTTCACTGTATCTCCTTTCTGACAACCCCACAGCAATCAAATGTGGTTTCTTCAGTCCCACCTTCTTTTCTGGAACCCCCAGGGCTCCATTCTCCCTTTTGGGACCCCTCAGCCCCTCCCTCTCTCCTGGATCCCTCAGCCCTTCCCACTCTCCTGGACTCCCCCCTCAGCCCCTCCCACTCTCCTGGACCCCCCCCTCAGCCCCTCCTACTCCCCTGGGACCCCCTCAGCCCCTCCCACTCCCCTGGGACCCCCTCAGCCCCTCCCACTCCCCTAGGACTCCTCAGCCCCTCTCTCCCTCTGGTGTCCCCCAGCCCCTCCCTGTATGAAGCCCTCCATACTTCCATCTTTGGAAGTCCCTGGGAAGAGAAGCCCTTGACAAAGCCCCTGTGGGTCCCCCTCCCAGAACAAGAGGGCCTTGCTGAGAGCCCTGGAGTGACCCCTTCAGCTGACCAGCTCTAAAAGACTCTCCCTGTTTACTCCCTCTCCTGCCCCTGCTGGTGGTCTCCCAGCTCAAGCCCGCTGACCGTGGGGACTCTGTGTTCTTCAGCTGCCATGCCATCAACTCGTATGGGGAGGACCGGGGCTTGATCCAACTCACTGTGCAAGGTACCTTCACCTGCCCCACCCTTCCCATCCCACCTCCCCAGGGCCCAGGGGCCCACCGCTAACTCCACCTCAAAGAGCAGGGGCCACAGCCTACGCCATGGTGGAGGATGACAGGAAACTGCCTTCTGGGGAAAAGCCTCCCTCCACCTGCCCTCCTGCCCAGAGTAGGGAAATAAGACCTTTCCAGGAACTTAAACAGCAAAAGTTTGCAATGGCTACAGCCGCTATAGATTCCACTGACCCTTCTGGGGAGGGGTGGGGGAGTCAGGTTCCTGGGTCCAGGCCCCTGCAGCAGGTGTGGGAAGGGAAAGTCAAGCTGGGGAAGTTGGAAGGGGAAAAATGCCGTCAGCTAACAGGAATCCCTGCAGAAGAGTCAGCCCTCTCCCAGGCCAAGAACAAGATGGCAGCAAGACAGGAGAGCAAGCCAGGCCTCCTCAGCCTCCAAGCCTGGCTGCTGGCCTCCTCCAGCCCCCACCCTGCTCAAACCCTAGGGTGCCAGAGTCCTTGGCTAGACCCAGGTGATGCCAATCCTCAGGGCCAAGCAGGAGGCCAAGCTCCCTGCTGCCCTCCTCACTTCCCTCCCCTCCACTGCCGCACCCTAGAGCCCCCCGACCCCCCAGAGCTGGAGATCCGGGAGGTGAAGGCCCGGAGCATGAACCTGCGCTGGACCCAGCGATTCGACGGGAACAGCATCATCACGGGCTTCGACATTGAATACAAGAACAAATCAGGTAGGCGCTGGGCCAGGAGGGTGACAGCGTGGCCTGCCATGGCCCCTTGTGCCACGTGTCCTGCCTGTGCCCTCTGGGAGGAGAGCCCCTGAGCCTTAGGGCTGCCCATCCAAGCTAGACACACAAGCACCCACCAGTGCACAAGCAGCTGTGGCTTCTGAAGGGAGGGACACTGGCCGGGCTAGGAGTCCGGGTGGAAGATGGAGACCCCCAGTTGATGGGTAGTGATGTCAGCTCCTTTCCAGGACTGTCCCTGGGCCAGGGTCCCCAAGGGTGGTCTGATTTGAAGCCATGTAAGGGCACTGAACCCAGGGCTGTGGGCTGTCTCTGGCATCAGAAGCATCACGGGTTTGGCCAGGTCATATGGGTGCTCCTGGTCTGGGATGAGGAGGATGATTGGAGATCAGAGAGCTGGTCCTAAGAATGGTCCCCATGAGTGGGGGATAGGAGGCCCTGGAAAAGCTTGGACCTATATTTCCTCTAAGAGCCCTTCCCAGCTGGGCGCAGTGGCTCATACCTGTAATCCCAACACTTTGGCAGGCTGACGCGAGTGGATCACCTGAGGTCAGGAGTTCGAGACCAGTCTGGTCAACATGGCGAACCCCATCTCTACTAAAAATACAAAAATTAGCCAGGCGTGGTGGCACACCCCAGTAATCCCAGCTACTCAGAAGGCTGAGGCAGGAGAATTGTTTGAACCCATGAGGCGGAGGTTGCAGTGAACCAAGATCGTGCCATTGCACTCCAGCCTGGGCAACAGAGTGAGACTCTGTCTCAAAAAAAAACAAAAAAAGCCCTTCCCAGAGCCCTCCTCTCAGGTGCCAACTGGCTGCTGTGCGGCCGCCCCGCCACTGTGAGGCACTGTGGGGCGCCATGGGCACCCCGCATCTGGGGAGACTGTGGTAAGTCCCATGGTCAGGTGGCAGGAATGGCAAGGAGGGGCCTCAGAGGGGAACAGAGTGCACCTGGGTGGCTTCACAGCAGGGTGAGAAGAAAACAGCTGTCTCACTCTGGATCCTTCGTACCTTTTGAATTTGATACCATAAGCCTGTATTCACTCCTCAAAATAATTACAAATTAAACTATAAATAAAGCATAGAAAACAGTAGAATCTAGATTACTCAATCTTCCTCAGTCTCCTTCCCTCACCAGCTCAACTCCTCTTGTGGGTCCTTACTTAGATGGAAGGTTTCGTTTTCTCCTGAAGCTTCCAGACCCTTCTTCTCCCACTTAGCACGGCAGTGGCCATTGGCCGGCCGGCTGTCCTCTCCTCTTGATTGGCCAAGTCCTGTTCCCTTTGCATTTCCAGCACCTGGCACAGGGCCCAGCCACATGGTAGATGCTCAGCAAGTGTTGGTGAGTGAGTTGAAGTGGGACATGTGAAAGCAAATCTCTGAGCTGCATTCACCCCTTGAGAAGCCACTCTGTCCAGGGACCTGGGTCAGTCATCTTTGATACACATGTCTACAGAGACAAACCGTATTCTCAGACACTTCCGGTTGAGTTGCGGTAAGCCACCCAGGAGTTCAATCTGAGTGCAGGAGGGCTACAGATCCAAGGAGGGGCGTCAGCCAACAGGGGTTGTCCAGGAAGGCATGTGTCTGGTCCCCTGTAGATGCTGCACTGAGATGGGTCTTGGGTACTGAAAGGCAACAGGCCAAGATCTTGAGAAAGCGAAGGACAGAGACCAAGTGAGGGTGCAATGCACACCAGGAAGTGGCCTATGATCTAGCACAGGGCTCATAGATGCAATTCATGGGCAATAAATCTACAAAGGTGCTTTGGGACCAGGTTGGGAGGGAGGCGTCCGGGCTGAGCTTTCACTTTGCTGGGGAAGGTCACTGAGAGCCGCTAACAATGTCTGAGCTCCCGGGGGAGACTTGAGCAAACATGGTGCCTTAGAAGAATGAATGTGAGTGGAAGAAATTGGTATCCAGGAGAAAAGAAAAGAGGCCATTGCAGCCCTGCAGCTGGGGATATGTGATGAGGCAAAGGGGACAAAAGGGCTGACTGTGTCCATGTCACATCTCAGGGCTCCCTGAGGTTGGGCACAGGCCACCCAGGAGTAAACAGGAAGGGCTGGGTCCAGAGGGTGACATCCCTCATGGCACTGCACACACCGCCTCCCTGCCGGCGCACATCTGGGATGGGAGGTGGATGCCTGGGCTGTCGCTCGTGCCCCTCCCCCCGTTCCTCCTCCCCCATGCTGCCCTGATGCCCACAGCCCCTCCACTGACCAGTCTCTAATGCGTGGGAGCCTCTCCTGGGGCACCCCTCAGCAGGGGCAATGTGGAGAACATCACACGTCTGGAGAGCAAGGCAGAAGGCAAGGTGGAAAGGGAAGATGCTATTCTTACAGCACATCCACGTCTTGCCCTTCTGGCTCCCTGCAGAATGAGGAACTGCGGTAGACCACCCCAGCTAGGAATGCCAGGATGGGTGGGGAAGGTGGAGGGAGAGATAATGAAAGCTCAGCTTCAGTCTCTGCCTACCACAAGGGCTTTGCACTCTTAAAGAACTAAGTCACAGGACCCAGAGCACTGAGAAGGCAGCCGGTCCTTTCCACACCTTTGGGTGGGATGGCTCCAGCACAGCCCACCCAGGCAGGCATCTGTCACATCCTGGCATTTAGGAACAGGAGTGCCATGAGAACTGCAGTGTGCTATCACTGGAGGCCAGCAGAGACCCTGGGCATGGCACGGCTTCCCCATCTGTGAAGTAGGGGTGGTGATGCCTACCTCATGGGATTGTTTAGAGGATTAGAGAGAAAGCATCTATGATAGCACGGGGCTAGAGCAAACTTTTAATAAATATAACTTCTTCTGTCTCTTCTAACTCAAATACCTCGTGCAGCAATTTATAGTCCTGTGGGACTTGCAGGCTGAAATATATGTGTCTGTCAGTCAGCCACATGTACTGAGTGCCAATTTTTTTTTTGCAGAATCATGCACCAGCCATGTGGTAGAGGAAGAAAAAGAAATAGGAGACAGAATGTTGCCCTTGGAGCTTACAATGCAGTTGGAGTGAGAATATACACATACACACACACATACACACACACACACACACACACACACACACACACACACACACTTTCAGAACCATTACAAAGCACTATCCAATCAAGTATAATATGCCACAAACTGTATTAGGTGAGAACTGAAAAAGGTATCCAAGGGAACAGAGGATGACTCAAAGAAAGGAGAGAGTGTGCACGTGTGTGTGTGTGTGTGTGTGTGTGTGTCTAAGGACAGCTTCCTGCACCTGTGGACTAGTGGAACAAGAACCACTGGCAAAGCTGAAGACTTGGGCTGACCAAGTGTCACAGCTGCATGATCTTTAGCGAGTACTTAACATCTTTGGGCATCTCCTTATGTATAAAATGGAGACAGTAACATTTCATTCTCAGGGTGGCCATGAGGATTTGGGGAGTGTGATGACATACATGGAGGTGCCTAGCACCCAGCCTGGCACATGATAACCTCCCACAGATTCCTGTCCTGTGTCTCTGCTTCCCTTCTCCACTTCCCGCTGCCCCAGGCCACACCCATCCTGGGTCCTGACCATCGGCTCCCGACCTTCTTTGCCCCAAATGTGCCTTTGCCAGGATTTCTGCCATGTTGCTCATCATGCTAATTTTCCAAGAGAAATTACTGAGTCTGCCCTTTCTAAGCCATCCCACTCATGCTGACTTCTCCTGGCCCCAGGCAGCAGAGTAATAATACATGAATGCCGAATGATAAATAGCACCATCCACGCAAATCTATCAGATGGCGCTGTGCAGATTTAAAAATGCAGACACCACATTTCGCCCCTGTTCACCAAGCACAGAGCAAGGATGGGTTCTTTGAGGATGGCCCTCCCCTACACCAGCCTCATAGCGCAAGCTGGTGTAGGGGCTGTGCCGGCCACCATGGGGTGAGCTGGCCTGGCATGGCATGGTGTTCTGTGGGAGCTGGAGTGTGGCTGTCAGAGGGACTGGTGTTGAGATGTCGTGAGCTGTCGTTGTGACGCAGGAGGCCTCTTCTCCGTGCTGTGAAGAGATTGTCATGGGGGTCTCAAAGGTGTGATCCAAGGAGAAAATTAGAGATGCAGAATGAATGTGCTTCCTGAGCCCAGGCAGCTAAACGCTCCAGATGTGGCTTTTCTCCAAGCTGCGTCCCCTCTACAGTGAATGTATCTCCTGAAAAACCAAAGATTCCCAGTCCCCTCTCAGCAAGCAGCCCACAGAGCAGAAGGCACTGACATCTCCCCAGCCGCTTCCTTATTTTTAAGAAGAATATTTTGCATCATAAACCCTTTGATGAAGAAAGGGAGAGAGAGCCCTTAATGAAATATGTTAATCTGGGTAAGCCAGGCTCATATGAAAGGGAATATTAAAAGAGACAATATTCACCAAAGCCAGCTCAGTACTCTGAGAACTGAAAAGGAAAAGGAAGAAAATAGGGCCCCTGGTCTCAGCCATTCAGGGTCAGGGAGATGACAGTGATCAAGTTTGGCAGATCAGCCAGAGACTTCCAGATCTGACTCTGATGCATTAGCCTGGAAAGGTTATGGAGAGGGAGCTATTTTGTGCTAACACCAAAGATGGTTTGGGAACACAAGGTCAAATCCACCTGCAAACCACGGGAGGCAAACGCAGAAGAAAAAAAGGAGTTGTTCTCCGGGACACTCCCCCGCCCAACCTTCCTGTGATTTGCAGCTGAGCAAGGCAAGGAGGGGAATGGCAAAGAGTACACTGTGGCCACAGAGTGCAGAGGAACTTCAAGTCCCAAGTAAAGGGGAAAAACAGTGGCTCTGGTTTAAAATCAACAGCACATTTTAAGTGCCCAACACATGTGAAACTGGGGAGAGGACCAAAGGTTTAGACATGGCTCCTGACTTCAGGGAGCTTAGCATCTCCTTGGGCAGTTACCACCAAACAGTGAACCCTTGAAAGAAGATACTGTGGACTGAGGAGGGGCTCTAAATGCTGGAAGAGTTCAGAG